>NC_000002.12:99307799-99610830 GCF_000001405.40 Homo sapiens
AGGGCCAAATGCGACGTCATATTTGTTAACTGAAAGCCAAAAGACTAAGGTGTTTGTATTTTGCCAGACGGTAAATCCCTTGCCTGCCCTCATGGGCAGTCTTGCCAATGCTACATTAACCCATAGACCATGAGTATTGGTTCTATAACAGTCTTATTTTCTCTGCAAGCTGTGTAAGAACTAAGGCCAACATGTCTAACAGCCTCGGCTAACAGACTAAAAAGACAGATACACCTCTAGAGTCCATAGACGGAACAGAGGGGCCAAGTCTCTCTGATTTGCTCTTTGTGCAGAAGGAAACATTCATGGGGAAATCTCCAGCATAGGATGATCCTTCCTGGAGTTCTGAACTCTCAAAAACGCAAATGGGAAAAGCAGGCACAGAGGACGCACTGAGAGAAGGAACTCCCTTCCAGCTCACAGTGTCTCTATGCAGGGAAGATTTGCCTGCCCAGAGGGAAGAAAATGATCAAACTTTCAGAGGTCTTCTAGGCTGGTAATTATTGATTACAATCCAAATTCAGTGAATAGGTATTTTCACAGGCCATGTGAAGGTGCAGCTCTACACAGCATAACAGCTTAAAATGAGCCTTCCTGTTGCTGCCCTATATTTTTGCTCTAAAAAGTTGTATTTTTCTCAAGAAAACATGATCTTAGTGGCAGAATAATTTTATATTATTTTATATTTGTGACTACACTGCTATTACTATTTTAATTTTAGGCCTGTTGGTGCATAGCAATCTGTGAGGCAATGGGCTGGAATGTTGCTGTACATGCATGTGTGTGTGTGTGTGTACGTGTGTGTGTGTATGTAGGGAGGGAGAAGATTAGAATAACAAGAGGAGGATGAGTACGATGTGATTCAACTGGAAAGGCCTTTAACAAATTTAAAAATTTAAACATTTTTAAAATAAAATAATTTTTTTTTTTGAGATGGAGTTTTGCTCTGTCGCCCAGGCTGGAGTGCAGTGGTGCAATCTTGGCTCACTGCAAGCTCCGCCTCCCGGGTTCATGCCATTCTCCTGCCTCAGCCTCCCAAGTAGCTGGGACTACAGGTGCTCGCCACCACGCCTGGCTAATTTTTAGTGGAGACGGGGTTTCACCATGTTAGCCAGGATGGTCTCGATCTCCTGACCTCGTGATCCGCCCGCCTCGGCCTCCCATAGTGCTGGGATTACAGGCGTAAGCAGCCGTGCCTGGCCAAAGTAAAATAAATATTAAAAAAATTTAAAAACATTAAAACAAAAATTTTAAAAAATTAAAAAGTACAAATAATAAAAAATTAAAAATAGCTTTAAAATAGGCCTGGTGCTGGTGGTTCCCAGCACTTTGGGAGGCTGAGGCAGGTGGATTGCTTGAGCCCTAGAGTTTGAGACCAGCCTGGCCCGCATGACGAAACCCCGTCTTTACTAAAAATACAAAAATTAGCTGGGCGTGGTGGCACACGATTGTAATCCCAGCTACTCAGGAAGCTGAGGCAGGAGGATCACCTGAGCTCAGGCAGGTCGAGGGTGGAGTGAACCGAGATCATGTCACTTCACTCCAGTCTGGGTGACAGTGAGACTCTGTCTCGAAAAAAAAAATTAAAACAATTTTAAAAATTAAAGAGTAATCTAATGAGACATTCTTACAGGCTTATAATGGTGAGATGATTCCACAATTTTGGGCCACTGCACTCCAGCCTAGGAGACAGAGTGAGACCTTGTTTCAATTAAAAAAAAAGAAAAGAAAAGAAAAAGCAAAAAACCCAGGGGCTGGACATGGTGGCTCATGCCTGTAATCCCAGCACTTTGGGAGGCTGAGGTAGGTGGATCACCTGAGGTCAGGAGTTCGAGACCAGCCTGGCCGACATGGTTTATCTTCATGGCCTCAGGCACATTTCTTTTTTCTTTTTGCTTTTTTTTTGAGACAGAGTCTCACTCTATTGCTCAGGCTGAAGTGCAGTGGTAGAATCTCAGCTCACTGCAACTTCTACCTCCCAGGTTCAAGCGATTCTCTTGCCTCAGCCTCCTGAGTAGTGAGATTACAGGCATGTACCACCACGCCCAGCTAATTTTTGTATTTTTAGTAGAGATGGGGTTTCACCATGTTGGTCAAGCTGGTTTGAACTCCTGACCTTAGGTGATCCACCTGCCTCAGCCTCCTAAAGCGCTGGGATTACAAGCGTGAGCCACTGCACCCAGCCTCCTCGGGCAAATTTCTGAGTCGGCTTTGTCGTCTGTAAAATGGGAATAAAAAGAGTACCTACTTCACAGGGTTGTTGTGATGATTACTCAAAATAAAATATTTGTGAAAGATCATGACAATAGTAGCACAACTAACTCATCACAATGCCTGGCATGTAAATGTTACTTGTTAACTAAAAATAAATAGGTCTTTGAGAAGGTTAAATGGGACGTACAGAATAAACACATCCATGGCAGTGCCAGGTACATGTGTAGAAATAGAATATATGATCTCTTTGGAGCAGAAGATTTTGGGGTTTTCTTTTTTTGAGTCAGAGTCTCACTCTGTTGTCCAGGCTGGAATGCAGTGGCCCAATCACGGCAGCTCACTGTAGCCTCCAACTCCTGGGCTCAGGTAATCCTTCTGCCTCAGCCTCCCAAGTAGCTGGATCCTTGGCCTCGCAAAGTGCTGGGATTACAGGCATGAGACACCACTCCTGGCCAGAGCGGTGGTTTTCAATGGCTGCTCATTAGAATGATTGGAATCACTAATGTGATTCCAGCCTACTCCCTGGAACCTATGTACATGTTAAGTTACATGGCAGAGGAGACTCCAGTTAGTAGATGGAATTAAGGTTCCTCATCATCTGACCTTAAAAGAGATAGGATATCCTGAATTATCAAGGTGGGCCCTTAAATGTGGAAGATGGAGGCAGAAGAGTCAGTTTCACAGAGATGGAACCAGCTCTTGCTGCCTTTGAAGATAGAGGGAAGGGGCCAGGCGCTAGGGACTCTTGTCTCTAAAAATAAATAAATTAAAAAAAATAAACTTACATTGTTTTAAGCCACCAACATTGTGGTAATTTTTACAGCAGCAGTGGGCAACGCAGCCACATTTATGAACCACTGCAGGAGGGGTTCTGCTGCCTCTTGGCCATCGTTTGCCAAAATCTTTTCTCCGTTCCTTCCTGAGAGGCAAAGGCTAGTCCCAGCTGTTTCCAGTCTTCTTGATCAGAATTTTTCCCTTTACTTAAGAGATTCACCCTGCTTTAGTTGTAATTTGTGTCTTTTTTTTTTAAGAGACAGGATCTCCCTCTGTTGTTCAGGCTGGAGTGCAGTGGCACAATCATAGTTCACTGTAACCTCAAACTCCTGGGCTCCAGTGAACCTCCCATCTCAGTCTCCCCAGTAGCTGGGACTACAGGTGTGTGCCACCACACTGGGCTAATGTTTAAATTTTGTTTTCCAACTGGTCTTCTGACACAGGAGAATTTTTTTATCTTTTGTGGAGATGGGGTCTTCCTATGTGGCCCAGGCTGGTCCCCCTGCCTCCTTTTTTTTGAGGCAGGGTCTCTCTCTGTCTTCCAGACTGGTTTGCAATGGTGTGATCACAGCTCACTGCAGCCACAAACTCCTGGGATCAAGTGATCCTCCCACCTCAGCCTCTCAACTAACTAGAATTACAAGTGCGTGCCACCATGCCCGGTTAATTTTTAAATATTTTGTAGAGATGGTGGGGGAGGGGGTCTCACTATGTTGCCCAGGCTGGTCTCGAACTCCTGGGCTGAAGTGATCCTCGGCTTTGACCTCCCAAAGACGAGATTACAGGCATGAACCACCACACCCAGCCCTCAGGCTGGTCTTGAACTCCTGGCCTCAAGCCGTCCTCTATCCTTGGCCTTCCAGGCATGAGCCACCATGCCCAGCCCTCAGGCTGGTCTCGAACTCCTGGCCTCAAGCCATCCTCTGTCCTTGACTTCCCAATCCCCTGGGATTACAGGCATGAGCCAGCATGCCCAGCCTGATTTTTGTCTTTATGATCAGATCCTTATTGTTGCTATGCAATTTAAAACTTAGAAAACCATAGTTTTAAGTAACAAAGTTTTATTATATTAGCCCAAGGATGCTAATGACAAGCTCAAAATTATTTGTCAGTTGGTTTAAAAATACATGAAAAGAGTTAAGCATTTATATCCTGTATAATAAAAAAGGAAAAATAATAATACACATTTAATCAGACAGTTTTATGAAGGCCATAAGTTGTTTGTTTGGATGAACCTGGGAGGCTGAGGGGGCTCAGGCCCCTCAGAGAAGGGGCAGAAAGTAGGGATGGAAGACCCTGGCAGTCATCTCTAAGGGAAGGGAAGCCCCTAAAGGGGCCAGCCCTAGCAAAGAAATAGCAGGAAGAGCCTTGGTTCCCTCTCACCTCTTCAACCACTCTCCACTGACCAAGCCCACACCCCTTATTCTGTGGACATTTTCCCACTAAAATATTTCACTTGGCACTTTGGGAGGCTGAGGTGAGTGAGTTACTTGAGGTCAGGAGTTCAAGACCAGCTTGGCAAATATGGTGAAACCCCGTCCCTACTAAAAATACGAAAAATTAGCTGGGCGTGATGGTACATGCTTGTACTCCCAGCTACTGGGGAGGCTGAGGCAGGATAATTGCTCGAACCCGGGAGGTGGAGGTTGCAGTGAGCCAAAATCGCACCACTGCACTACAGCCTGGGCAACAGAATGAGACTCCGTCTCAAAAAAAAAAAAAAAAAGAAAGAAAATATTTTCATATGTACCATCTGCACAATAGAACACTTTGCATTAATTAGAGAGGTGGCACTACTGTGATGACATAAGAAAATGTGCTGGCTGTACAGGTAAATGGGAAAAAAACAAGTTGCAAAATAAAATGTACTCAGTGACCCCATTTTAACAAAGACAAATGTTAGTGTATGTCTAGAAAATAAAAATTTGGGAGAAATGCATCAAATCTTGAAAGAAGTTATCTGTGGAGATGAGACTAGAGAACATGCTTATTTTACATATTTCATATTTCCTTAATGATTGACATTGTATGCCTTATTGCTTTCATAATCAGAAAAAATAATTGTATAATTAATGGTAAAAACTGCCAACCAAGGCTGGGCACGGTGGCTCATGCCTGTAATCCCAGCCCTTTGGGAGGCCGAGGCAGGAGGATCACCTGAGGTCAGGAGTTTGAGACCAGACTGACCAACATGGAGAAACCCCATCTCTATTAAAAACACAAAATTAGCCGGGTGTGGTGACGCATGCCTGTAATGACAGCTACTCGGGAGGCTGAGGCAGGTGAATTGCTTCAACCCAGGAGGCGGAGGTTACATTGAGCTGAGATGGCACCATTGCACTCCAGCCTGGACAACAAGAGCGAAACTCTGTCTCAAAAAAACAAACAAAAACAACAACAACAACAATAAAACAAACAAAACTGCCAACCAAGTCTTTTTTCTTCTTCTATTTTTTAATTGAAATAGAGACAGAGTCTTGCTTTGTTGGCCAGGTTGGTCTTGAGCTCTCGGCCTCAAGTAATCCTCTCACCTTGGCCTCCCAAAGTGCTAAGATTACTGGTAATCATGCCTGGCCTAATCCAGTCTTTCCCCCTACTTTTCCCTAGACATTTAGAATATGGTGATATATAGTGATAGGGTTATAAAAGTCAGTCATTTTAAATTGTATCCCTAAATAAATGCCTGTAATCAAGACCATCTTGTGCTGGGTGCAGTGGTACATGCCTGTAGTCCTAGCTACTCAGGAAGCTGAGGTGGGAGGATCACTTAAGCCCAGGAGTTTGAGGTTATGGTGAGCTATGACCACCACTGCACTCCAGCTTGGGCAACAGAGTAAGACCTGTCTCTTAAAAAAAATCTTCTCTCAGCAGATCAGCCATCAAAATTATTGTTAGCCTGATGAAATATAGGTGGGCATACAATGTTAGAAGCCACCCTGACCTCTGCAGGGACTCCAAGTCCTCATAAGCACAAACAGTTCTAGCCTGCCATTGACAGTTTAAAGAGGGTGTCCTTTTGTCCCTCCTACATTTCTCTGTTTATTCATATCCTTCACATTTTTCTTTCTTTTGACCTATTTCATTCCTAAAATATTCTAACATCTGACTTCTCTCCCAATTACAATAGTAACAATACATCATGGGTTTTCCAGTGTAGTTACTTTTTAGTATATATTTTTTCAATAATGGCTATTCATTAAATATATATGATTTGTTTTGGGGCCACTGAAAGACTTCATATAGGTAAGTTCATATCATACTGTGATAAAGTTTTTGGTTTTTGGTAATGAAAACATGGATTTTGCACTGATTGCTCTGCGGAATTTCTCTCTGGATGATGCTTGATGACCTTCACATGGCCTCTTAGTCTTTTTTTCAATTTACCTCCTTTGCAGCCTTTAAAACTGTGAATCAAGTCTTCCTGTTTCAAATCTCCTTCCTTAGTTTTCATGAATCTACACTGTCCTTCCTCTGTAAATGCTTCTTTGGCCCTCCATATCCTTGGGTTCTGCATCTGTGGATTCAACCAACAGCAGATGGAAAATATTCCAGAAAAGGAAAAATATCTGGCTTTGTCTGTACCTATTAGGTGTAGACTTTTTTTGTTGTCATTATTGTCTAATCAATACAGTATAACAACTATTTATATAGCATTTACAATGTGTTAGGTATTATACATAATCTGGAGAGGTTTTAAAGTGTACAGGAGAATATGTGGCAGGTTACATGCAAATACTACACCTTTTTTTTTTTTTTTTTTTGAGACAGAGTCTCACTCTGTCACCCAGGCTGGAGTGCAGTGGCGCGATCTTGGCTCACTGCAACCTCCACCTCCTGGGTTCATGCAACTCTCCCATCTCAGCCTCCTGAGTAGCTGGTACTACAGGCGCATGCCACCACGCCCAGCTAATTTTTGTGTTTTTAGTAGAGACGGGGTTTCACCATGTTGTCTGCCTTTTTTATTATAATCATCCTGGCTGGTGCAAAGTGGGATGTCATTGTGGTTTGGATTTACATTTCCCTGACAGTTAATGATTTGAGCATCTTTTCATGTACTTACTGCCCAACTGTCCATTTCTTTTGGGAAGACGTACAGATCCTTTACTCATTTTTTTTTTTTTTTTTTGAGACGGACTCTCACTCTGTCGCCCAGGCTGCAGTGCAGTGGCATGATCTCGGCTCACTGCAAGCTCCACCTCCCGGGTTCATGCCATTCTCCTGCCTCAGCCTCCCGAGTAGCTGGGACTACAGGCGCCCACCACCACGCCTGGTTAATTTTTTTTTTTTTTTTTTGAGATAGAGTCTCACTCTGTCACCCAGGCTGGAGTGCAGTGGCGCGATCTTGGCTCACTGCAAGCTCTGCCTCCTGGGTTCATGCCATTCTCCTGCCGCAGTCTCCTGAGTAGCTGGGACTACAGGCGCATGCCACCATACCCGGCTAATTTTTTTTTTTATTTTTAGTAGAGACGGGGTTTCACCGTGTTAGCCAGGATGGTCTCGATCTCCTGACCTCGTGATCTGCCCGCCTTGGCCTCCCAAAGTGCTGGAATTACAGGCATGAGCCACCGCGCCCGGCCCCTTTACTCATTTTTTAAATTGGGTATTTATATTCTTTTTATTGGGTTGAAAGAATTCTCTACACATTCCGGATACATTTTATCAGATATATGATTTGCAAATATTTTTCCAATTCTGAGTTGTTATTCTAATCTGTTGGTATCAATTGCAGCAAGTGTTTTTATATTTGGTGTTCATCTATTTTTCTTTTGTGACTTGTCACATCAACAAGGCTTTGTGTAACCCAAAGTCGTGAAGATTTACCCTTAGATATTCCTCTTAGAGTTTTATAGTTTTAATTCTTATATTTAGGTGTTTGTTACATTTCGAGTTTAACTTTTGTATATCGCATAAAGGAGGGGTCAATATTTACTTGTCCCAAAACCATTTGTTGAAGAGACTATTCTTTCCCATTTGAATTGTCTTGGAACTTTTGCCAAACATCAACTGACTACAAAACACAAGGGTTTATTTCTGGACTTTTATTTCGCTTATCTTTATGCCTGTCTTATAATTGTAGTTTTGCCCTAAGTTTTGATATCCGAGTGAGTACTCCAAATATGTTATTTATCAAGATTATTTTGGCTACTCTGGGTCCACATAAATTTTAAGATCAACTTGTCAATTTTTGCAAAAAGGTATCTGGGAGTGGAGGTTTTTGTTTTTTTGAATTTGTTGAATTTGCAGATTAACTTGGCAGGGGCAGTATTACAATCTTAAGACTTAGTATCAAGTCCTCTGACTCATAAAATAAAGCTTTGCATTTCTTTTTCTTTTTTTTTTTTTTTTGTTTTAAACTTAAGAACACTGAAAAATGAAAAAACAAAAACAAAAACAAAAAACAAAATAGAGACAAGGTCTTGTTCTGTTGCCCATGCTGGAGTATAGTGGTGCAATCATAGCTCACTGTAGCCTCAAACTCCTGGGCTCAAGTGATCCTCTTGCCTCAGCCTCTCAAGTAGTTATGAGGTGGATGCCACCACACCTGGCTAATTTTTAAAAATTTTTTGTAGAGATGGGGTCTCACTATATTGCCCAGGCTGGTTTTGAACTCCTGGCCTCAAGCACTCCTGCCTCAAGCTCCAAAGCGCTGGGATTACAGGAGTGAGCCACAGCATTGGGCCAATGGGTTTTCTTATACACAATGAGTAGTTTTTTTTTCTGTTTTCAAGATTTTTTTCTTTCATTGTTTTCACTATAGTTTTGGTATGCATCTTTCTATGTTATCTTACAACTTGATCTTGGATTAATGTTTTCATCAAATATTTGATTTTCAGGCATCATTTCTTCCAATAATTTGCTGATTCTTTCTACTGTGAACACAATCTACTGTAGAGCTCCTCTAATGAATTTTTCATTACAGTTACTTTACTTTTGAACTCTAGAATTTCTATTTGGCCCTTTTATTTATTTTATTTTATATATTTTTTGAGATGGAGTCTCACTCTGTCGCCCAGGCTGGAGTGCAGTGGCGCAATCTCGGCTCACTGCAAGCTCCGCCTCCCGGGTTCACGCCATTCTCCTGCCTCAGCCTCCCCAGTAGGTGGGACTACAGGCGCCCGCCACCACGCCCGGCTAATTTTTTGTATTTTTAGTAGAGACGGGGTTTCACGGTGTTAGCCAGGACGGTCTCGATCTCCCGACCTCGTGATCCGCCCGCCTTGGCCTCCCAAAGTGCTGGGATTACAGGCGTGAGCTACCGCGCCCAGCCTATTTGGCCCTTTTAAATTCCTTTCTTTGTTGATATTCTGTTTGATGGAATATTGTAAGCATACCTTCCTTTACTTCCAGCAGTTTCCTTTAGTTTTTTTTGGAACACACTTATAATAATGCTTTGAAGTTTTTATCTGCTTCCAACCTATTGACCCTCTCAGTTTCCTTTGATTGCTTTTTCGCTCCTTGTATGGATTAGTTTCCTGTTCTTCTGTATGTCTTGTAGTTTGTTGTTGAGGACTGGATATTTTAGACACTGTGTCACAGCAGCTCTGGATAGTAATTTCCCTCCAACCCCTACCCTCTGCCCTCCAGCGCATTTCTTCTTGTTTAGTTTCTTGGCTGGATGATTTCAGTTAAGTCCACTTACCCTGAAGTATGCAGGCTCTGATGTCCCTCCTCAGAGTACAGTCTGGGCGTGTGCAGTCACCATGACTACTCCCTCTAGCCCCAAGGACAGTGGTTTTGATAGGGCTCTCTTTTACCTTTTCCTGATCTTTCGGGAAAGGTTCTAGTTAGTTAGAACCTCTTTTGTTATCACATCCTACTATTAGCACCCACTAATTTACTAGCTAACCACTCATTTTTTTTTTCATTTTTTATAGAGACAGGGTCTCACTATGTTGCCGAGGCTGGTCTTGTACTCCTGGCTTCAAGTGGTCCTCCCGCCTCCGCATCCCAAAGTACTGGTATTACAGGCATGAGCCACCACACCTGGCCACTCTTTTGTTTCTGACAATGCTCTGGGGCACAAGTCGCCGCAGTTTAATCCAGTTAAATTCAGGCCCCTGTAGAGTATCTTTGAGGCTTGTCTTAAACCTAGGACTAATAACAGCTGCCTCTATTTTTTTGAGACAGGGTCTCACTCCGTCACCCAGGCTGGGGTGGAGTGGTGTGATCTTGGCCCACTACAACCTCTGCCTCTCGCGTTCAAGCGATTCCCATGACTCAGCCTCCTGAATAGCTGGAATTACAGGCACGTGCCATGATGCCTGGCTAATTTTTAAACTTTTAGTAGAGACAGGGTTTCAGCATGTTGGCCAGGCTGGTCTTGAACTCCTAACCTCAAGTGATCTGCCCGCCTTGGCCTCCCCAAGTGCTGGGATTACAGGTGTGAGCCACCGTGCCAGGCTCTTTCTGTTGAGCTTGTTGGCATTCCCTTTTGCTTGTTGCCATCAGGGAGCTGTCAATACGCTCTTAATTGCTCCCCTCCCCAGATCCAACGTATTTGGTGGCACCTTTACACTTCAACATCTTCCCTCATTCTATTCTAGTCAGTCCCTTTATTAAATATTTTTAGTAGAGACGGGGTTTCACCAAGTTAGCGAGAATGGTCTTGATCTCTTGACCTTGTGATCCACCCACCTCGGCCTCCCAAAGTGCTGGGATTATAGGCGTGAGGCACCGTGCCCGGCCCAGAGCTGTTTTTATGACTTGCCATTTCCACTGGACAGAACCTCTGTTCTGCTGCTCCAGAGCTACGGGTGGGGACAGTGGCCTGCTTTTCTAGGAGTTATACTCACAGTCTACAAGGGGGAAAGGGGTGATATAACCCCTGGTCTCCTCCAAGTGCATCTCCTTGCATGGAACCTTCACTCTACGTACGAGTAAAGAGCCTTCATCCTATGAGTAAGCTGGGGCAAAAGCAACTAAGGCCCAGTATTCTCAGTCTGATATTCCTGGGTTAGAGTTTCTGTGCTGTAAGTGGGGACTAGGTGGAGGAAGGAGTGCCAAACCTCTTGGCTACTCTTGCTTGCAAAAGGGCTTCTGCAACACAGAGCTTCAGGGAATGAGGCATGCTAATAATCTACTCTTCCAGAGGAGAAACTGTAGTCCAGGATTGGGAACTGGAGAGAGGGAATGGGGTCATGGCTCCAATGCCACAGACTCCCTATTCTAAAAGATTGACTTTCTTGAAAAACTGTTTTTGTTGGATGTATGCTTTTATGACAATTTCCACATAAACTTCCAGTTACAGGTATTTTATTGAGCAGAGACAGTGAAGTTCCTTATGCTGTTATTTCAAAAGTGTTTCCTGGTTTCTTTTTAATGAATGTCTTAAAATACAAGCAATCAGGACCCTTTAAATAAGGCAGTATGTTCACAAATCAAAATAGCTTTCTGCTGGCATCAGTTGATTCAACATCAACATGCAGTGTCCAGAATGAATAAGCAGTTCTTTAATGGTTATTTAAATATATTCCAGAAGAGCGTTTATAATTCATTTACAAGTGCAGTATTGCGCTAGTAAATGTTACTTGACCTCTTGTATAAATAATGCCGATTAAGAATTAGTCCTGGAATAGTTTTCGAATTTCTAACTCTGTAGATCTAAAACACAATTGTAAATGGTATAAAGATGTAAGAATCATATTGTGATAAAGTCAATCTCAAAAATAGAGAATCCAGACCCTTCCCAGATAATTTAAGAACTGAGTTTTCCTCAACTTAAACATGATGGCCACACAGAAAACAGTAAAGACACTTTTCGATGTGATACAACTGTATAAAACTCGAGAATATGAGTATTTAGGTGACCAATGTATAGACATTAATAGAATTTTAAAAACACATTTAAATCTGAAGCAGAAAAAAAAAGACAATTTACAAAGAATTATTGAGCTCTAATCATCATCAGAGTCTGAATCATATTTCTTTCCTCGGATAGTTTTCTTTTCCAGCTTTGTGAAGTTTGTTCCAAATTTCTTTTGGTTCTGAAATGGTGGCTCCATTAAATTTCCACTTAAAAAAAAAAAAAAGCATTTTATTCTTTATGATTTAGTACTAGTATACTAAACTGCACAAAAATCTATCTTTGTTTTCTTCCTGTAACATAGAATAAAATTTCTTTAAAATGCTGGTGTCAGGGAAGAGGTATAATGCTTATATTGATATTGATGGTTAATAGCCTTAAACCTTATTGTGTCCTACTGAATGTTTTAGATCAATTTTATTTTCCTTTCTTTTTGAGACAGGGTCTCACTCTGTGGCCCAGGCTGATGTGCAGTGGTGTGATCACAGCTCACTGCAACCTCCAGTTCCTGGGCTCAAGCGATCCTCCCACCTCAGCCTCCCGAGTAGCTTGGACTACAGGCGTGTGCCACCATGCTCAGTTAATTTTTACATTTTTTGTAGTGATGACATCTCACTACATTGCCCAGGCTTGTCTTGAACTCTTAGGCTCAAGCAATCCTCCTGCTTTGGCATCCCAAAGTGCTGGGATTATAGGTATGAGCCACTGCACCAGACCTATTTTCCTTTTTATCATTAATTATGGATTAACATTTGGTTAACACAGTGCTCAGTTGTCACCGGAAATGAGAGAAACCATCACACACCTCCCGATATGATGCATCACTTCCATAATATGCCCGTCAAAAATCGATAATCTGAATCTAATCTTGAGGAAATTTAAGACAAACCCAAACTGGGAGATGTTCTCCAAAATAAACAGTTTGTACTCTTCAAAAACATCAGTCTTAAGAACCAAAGAATAACAATGGTAACTAAAGACGTAATAACTAAATGTGCTGCATTTTTGGTATGAAGGACAATTATTGGGACAATGAGAAAACTTGAAATAAGAGCGGTAAATTACACAATAATTCCTGTTTCAATAATTGTACTGTCGCTACGTAAGAAAATGTTCTTGTTCTTAGAAAATATATATGGAAGTCTTTAGGAGTAAAGGGACACTGTATTCACAATTTCCACTCAAATGGTTCCCAAAATACTTCATAGTATCTATAAAGACAATGATAAAACAAATATAAAATGTTTAAAATTGGGTAATATGGGCAAAGGGTCAATGAGGATTCGTTGTACTAGTCTGCAGGGGGTTGTTTCTACTAGTTTTTTGTAGAGACGAGGTCTCATCTCACTATATGTTGCCCAAATTGGTCTCAAACTCCTGGCCTCAACTGATTCTCCCACCTCAGCCTCTCAAAGTCTGTAATCTTCTGAGATTACACAAGTGCCCCACCCGGCTGCAATTTGTTTAAGGCTTAAAATTACTTCAAAATATATAACTTTATTTAATAAATATTAATATTTTATGTTAATATTAAGGAAATGAAACCAATTTCTACAACATAGGAATGATTTCGGCATGTCTAGGAGAGTCAGAGAAAAGACGGGAGGGAAATGGGGGAGAAAGAAAAACGTGAGAGAACCTTCTACTTCCTGAAAGGCACCATGACTCTGGAATGGTAAGTGCACAATTTTACCTGTTACTTTTGCAAATCAAGAAAAGGCAAAAAAGACAAGATGATATGCTCTGATTTGTGGAATTAGATAAATTATTTGTCTGAAGAAGTGGACAAAGAAATGGAAGTTGGATTTTAGATTGTTTTCAAACTAAAACTGTTCTTCATAGCAAGCAATGTAAGCTAGGCATAGAAACCTTTTTCTATTCATCAGCCTCTATAAGTAAAACAGAAATATCCATGTTAAAAATCTAGTATTTTAAAATATAACTTTCTTTGCAAGAGTCTGCTTTTAATTTTTATTTTATCAAAGAGAATCACTTAAGTCAGAATTCATTTGAGCAATCTGGCTTAAATTGGGGAATAGTCAACACTGGATTGCCATTTTAAGTTTCCAGATTAATACAAAATTAGTGTCAATAGTATACGTTAAGCTGAAAACTTTTATAGTCAGGAGTACGGTGAGACTCAGTTTTACCTATTAAATCAGTTTAATCTGTAAATCTGATTTTGCCGTAAAATCACGCTAATATTACACACTTCAAAAAAACATGCTTTTCCTTTGAGAAACTTTCCACATCTCAGCCAAAATGCCTTAATTTCATAAAATAAATGTTACAATACAAAAATCTTTTGTAAAAATATCAACTATATATGAATTAAAATCAATCTCTTCTTTTGTTAAAAGTTACCTGTAATTAAGAATGTCAGAAGAACCGAGCCTCCATTCTAAAGTTTCTGTGGTGAAGTCATCTGTATTTCCTAGGTCAGTAAACCCAACAACATAATCTTGTGTTTTCCCATCTTTTAGCAGTGCTAGTGTGGGAATGACTTTGATATGCAGTCTCTCACAAAGGAAAGGTGCTTTTTCCACATTCAGCTTCAAAAATTTGGTCTCGAGGTGTTTCTTGGACAATATTGCCAGATGTCTGTCTAGTATTTTACACCTGTAAGTGACCACACATAGAAAATTATAAGCTAAAACCACAGATCGCTTTTTTCAAAATAAATATCATCAAGGGAAATCTAATTATGTAGTTTTTCTGTTGACTCTCATAACATGGCAGCCAACTTAAACTTGTGTCAGATGACCTCACTTCCAGATCAGAGGTTAGCTGCCTGATTACGAGATGGGAAAACAGCCTATAAGATTCTAGAAAGTCAGATTTGCATTAATGATATTCTCTTTTAAAATATTAAATATATGCTTTAAGTCATAAAGGAAGTTGTCCTATCTCCTACACAGGAAACTTGAAGAGGAACAAACTGAAACTTGACAAAACTCGGAAGAGACTTACAAGAATCAGAAGTGCACACATGGTGCCATATTTGGAAGTCATGAAGAAAAACTGAACAGCATTACCGAGGAAAAACTTCTTACTCCTAAATATGCAACGCTGTCAGTAAGAAGCACATTAAGGCTAAGGGTTACTAATAATATTTAAATAAATGTGGCCATTATGCTTCTAGGAAATTAAAAAATACCAGTAGTAACTTTTTTATTTTTTATTTTTTTGGAGGTGGCGTATTGCCCTGTCCCCCAGGCTGGAGTGCAGTGGCACAAGCTCGGCTCACTGCAAGCTCCGCCTCCCTGGTTCATGCCATTCTCCTGCCTCAGCCTCCCAAGTAGCTGGGACTACAGGCGCCTGCCACCATGCCCGGCTAATTTTTTGTATTTTTAGTAGAGACGGGGTTTCACTGTGTTAGCCAGGATGGTCTTGATCTCCTGACCTTGTGATCCGCCTGCCTCGGCCTCCCGAAGTGCTAGGATTACAAGCGTGAGCCACTGCACCCAGCCTACCAGTAGTAACTTTTATTAAGCCATCTTCCAATGAAGACGGAAACAGAAGTGAGATTTTCTTGGCCAGGTGCGGTGGCTCACATCTGTAATCTTGGCACTTTGGGAGGCTGAGGCAGGCGGATCACTTGAAGTCAGTAGTTTGAGACCAGCTTAGCCAACACGGTGAAACCCTGTCTCTACTAAAAATACAAAAATTAGCTGGGTGTGGTGGTGCATGCCTGTAGTCCCAGCTACTTGGGAGGCTGAGGCAGGAGAATCACTTGAACCTGGGAGGTGGAGGCTGCAGTGAGCCGAAACTGTGCCGTTGTACTCCAACCTGGGCAACATAGTGAGACTCCATCTCAACAAACAAAAAAAGTGACATCTTCTTTACATTAAAATTTATTTTCTGGCCTGATGCAGTGGCTCACGCCTGTAATCCCAACACTTTGGGAGGCTGAGGCGGGCAGATCACTTGAGGCCAAGAGTTCAAGACCAGCCTGGTCAATATGGTGAAACCCCATCTCTACTAAAAATACAAAAATTAGCTGGGCGTCATGATGGGCACCTGAAATCCCAGCTACACAGGAGGCTGAGGCACGAGAATCACTTGAACCTGGGAGGTGGGGGTTACAGTGAGCTAAGATTACACCACTGCACTCCAGGCTAGGCGACAGAGTAAGACTCTGTCTCAAAAAATTCATTTTCAACTGGCCAATTCACGAGTGTTTCTAAAACAGACTATTGTAACAATCTTTTAGACCGGTGGTTCTTAACCCCAGGTGTTCATTATGATCAACTTTTATTTATTCATCTTTTTTGAGTTGGACTCTCACTCTGTCACCCAGGCTGCAGTGCAGTGGCGCGATCTCGGCTCACTGTAATCTCTGCCTCCTGGGTTCAATCGATTCTCCTTCCTCAGCCTCCCGAGTAGCTGGGATTACAGGCACCTGCCACCACGCCCGGCTAATTTTTGTATTTTTAGTAGCGATGGGGTTTCACCATGTTGACTAGGCTGGTCTTGAACTGCTGACCTCAAGCAATCCACCTGCCTCAGCCTCCCAAAGTGCTGGGATTAGAGGTGTGAGCTACCACACCCAGCCTGCCGTCAACTTTTAAAATATCCAGATGAATCAAAATTCTCTGGCAGTGGAGTTGGGAAACATACAGCTGTTCTTATGCTCAAATAAAGCTTGAGAACTACCTCTAGATGACTCACACACAAAATACTTCATGGTTATTTTTACCAGTAAGCTTTTTGTGCACTTGATGTAGTTTTTCCTGAACTAAGTTTGGCTCTAACATAAGTTATGTGTAACCTTGGTGCCTCATCACTTTTTCCCCGGATATGTTTTTTCATATGTTACTCATGTAGTTCAGTAACGAGATTTCAGTGAAAAATGGTAAGAGAGAACAAATTAATAAATGGTTTTTAAATAAAGCTCAAAACAAATGATAAATCAACCTTTATATGAGAAATATGTTCCTGAAAATTTGTAAATAAATCAACTCCATACTTTAACTGCAGTAAGGAACGTATTTTTTTTTTGAGATGGAGTCTCGCTCTGTCGCCCAGGCTAGAGTGCAGTGGCACGACCTCTGCTCACTGCAACCTCCACCTCCTGGGTTCAAGCAATTCTCCTGGCTCAGCCTCCTAAGAAGCTAGGATTACAGGCACCCGCACCATTGCCTGGCTAATTTTAATTTGTATTTAAAGAGCAAGACAGAGTGTCTTGCTCTGTTGCCAGGCTGGAGTGCAGTGGCACGATCTCAGCTCAATGCAACCTCCGCCTCCCAGGTTCAAGCAATTCCCCTGCCTCAGCCTCCTGCACAACTGGGACTACAGGCACGAGCCACCATGCCCAGCTAACTTTTTGTATTTTAGTAGAGATGGGTTTTCACCATGTTGGCCAGGATGGCCTTGATCTCCTGACCTCATGATCCACCTGCCTCAGCCTCCCAAAGTACTGGGATTACAGGCATGAGCCATGGCGCCCAACCCGTCAATCAATTTTTAAAAATCCAAAACAACAGTCATGGTATAAATAGCTATAGGCCTTTACGTATGTTTAAAAATAACTAAAAGAGCATAATTAGATTGTTTATAACACAAAGGATAAAAGCTTGAGGTGATGGATATTCCATTTACCCTGATGTGATTATTAAACACTGCATGCCTGTGTTAAAATATCTCATGTACCCCATATTTACCTACTACTACCCACAAAAGTTAAAAATTAAAAAAATAGCAATAGGCTTAAAACATGGGTTCCAATCTCTCTCTTTTTTTTATCATTTAGTATCTGAGTGATACTAGGTGAGTCAATTTCTCCAAATCTTGGTTTCCATACATGAAATACAGGAATAATAATAAGTGCCTCTGAAGATTATTGTGAATGTTCTAGGGATAATATACATGAAAGCATCCTGCCTACTATGTGCTAGGAACTTTGCTAATATATAAAGTTCACTGGATGATTTTGATTTTTCAGTTCTGTTTGAAGGTGAGTACTCCTGGTGATGCACTGTTTATACACCATCAAATGTATTTATTGACCACCTACTATGCGTCAGGCAGTTGCTTTAGGGCTATGATCCCAGAGAACAGTAGGTCACAATACAGGCAAATGCGCTGCCTCTACAAAACGAACAATCTAGTTGGGAAAGACATAAAAAAAACAAGTGAGGCCGGGTGCCGTGGCTCATACTTGTAATCCCAACACTTTGGGAGGCCAAGGTGGGTGGTTCACCTGAGGTCAAGAGTTTGAGACCAGCCTGGCCAATCTGGAGAAACCCTGTCTCTACTAAAAAGACAAAAGTTAGCCGGGTGTAGTGGTGGGTGACTGTAGCCCTGGCTACTCGGGAGGCTGAGGCAGGAGAATCACTTGAACCCGGGAGGTGGAGGTTGGAGTGAGCCAAGATCCTGCCATTGCACTCTAGCCTGGGTGACAGTGTAAGACTCTGTCTCAAAAACAAAAAAAAACAACAAAAAAAAAACAAGTGGACAAATAATATTTTACATACTAGTATATTTATATATCACCTCATCATATTTGTCAGAGGTTGGCAACTTGAGGAATGTGTGCCAATGCGAGATGGTTGTGTACCATAAGGGCAGAGGTTTCTCTGATACCTTTCTACCTGCCTAATCCCTTCTCTCACTGTTCCTCACAAGGGATTTCACCATCTCAATATTTTGTTTCATTTTTATTCTCTTAGTCAATGAATACCAGGCAATCAATTCTTGAAAGGTGTTAACTAACAATGAAGCTGTTGGGTTGTGAGATCAAGACAAAGGGGCAAGAAGGCCACAGAAATGAGAAAGAGAGCAGGGCTGAAACCACAGTGAGTGCCAGAGACTCTAGAGCACAGTGCTTGTCTGTCCTGGGTAGGCAGGTGCCAGTCAGCAGATGACTGCCATCATAGTTCCAGCTATGCTATTAGCAAGTTTTCTGATTTTTTAAAGAAAAATTCTAAGTGTGGATATTTTCAAAAGGAGTTATCTCTCGATTTTTAAGTGTTGGCAACTAATCAAATCTGTGCACAAAAAACCACAAAGGCTTGGGTCCTTTGGTTTACGATGTGACCTCTTCTGAGGAGGTATTAACATTTTATAAGAGATCTGCTTCCTTAGAGAAATTTGGAGACCTAGGGTGGTCTAAGAAAAATCACTTCTCCTTCTAGCCAAGACTGGCAGTCCCAACTCTGCTCTGGTGAAAGGTTTGGCCAAGCCACCATCTCCCCACCACAGTTGCTAGTTCCTTCAAGGAGGAACTGAAGGAACACTGACTCTCAACAGCTGTTGCCCGTTCCCAATATCATGGCTACATCACAATACTAGAGGGAAATAATTACTGTCATGGTGATAAGAATTTTAAGTGTACATTTCTAAGATGTTTTTAGTTAGCTAGTGAAAATACAATTCAAAAATATAAGCCATTTATATGGGAATATTGACTTTCAGTAATATTCATTTATACTTTTGCATGTAACTGTTCTTTAAGTTACTCTTTAAAATAACAATTAACTTTTTTTTTCTTTCTTTTTTGAGATGGAGTCTCACTCTATCGCTCGAGCTGAAGTGCAGTGTCGCGATCTCCGCTCACTGCAACCTCTGTCTCCTGGGTTCAAGCAATTCTCCCACCTCAGCCTCCCCAGTAGCTGAGACTACAGGTACCTGCCACCACACCCGGCTAATTTTGTAGTTTTAGTAGAGGCAGGGTTTCGCCATGTTGGCCAGGCTGGTCTTGAACTCCTGACCTCAAGTGATCCACCCCCCACTTGGCCTCCCAAAGTGCTGAGATTGCAGGCTTGAGTCACTGGGCCCCTGCCTGCTTAACTTAATACTAAATAACATATGAGAGAGTACAATGAAACAACTTAGGAAGTTTTTTCTTTTAGTTTTCTTCATTTCTCTAGTAAGCCAGTATATCTCCAGCCAAACAATTCACTGTGTTTTTTTAGAAAAAGTCACAGATGGAAACAAAGTTACCTGAATGTGGAGTCTCTGTAGAAATGGCAAACCACATTTTCACTCTCCTTGACTTCTTGAAAAAAGTCTCTTTCACTAGGGATTTCTCTGTATTCCCCATGTCCTTTAGAAAGCCATTCCTAATTTGGAGAGAGGCAAAACATTACACATGTGAGATATCTCTTTCAGAACCACTTGACATTTTAAGTGTCCAAATCACCATCGTATTTTGTAATGAAGTCAATTAAAAAAAAAAGTTTTTTTTTTGTTTGTTTTTGTTTTTTTTTTTTGAGACGGAGTCTTGCTCTGTCACCAGGCTGGAGGGCAGTGGCGCGATCTTGGCTCACTGCAACCTCCGCCTCCTGGGTTCAAGCAATTCTCCTGCTTCAGCCTCCCGAGTAGCTGGGACTACAGGCGGGCACCAGTATGTCCAGCTACTTTTTGTATTTTTAGCAGAGATGGGTTTTCACCATGTTGGCCAGGATGGTCTCGATCTCTTGACCTTGTGATCCGCCTGCCTCGGCTTCCCAAAGTGCTGGGATTATAGGTGTGAGCCACCGCGCCCGGCCCAAAAGTGTTATTTATTTATTTTTTTTTTGAGAATGGGTCTTGCTAAAGTTGCCCAGGATGGAGTGTGGTGGCATGATCATAGCTCACTGCAGCCTCAAACCTCCTGGGCTCAAGAGATCCTCCTACGTCAGTCTCCCAAGGAATTGGGACCACTGGCGCATGCCACACCACGCCTGGCATTTTTTTTTTTTTTTTTTGGTAGAGACGGGGTTTTTACTATATCGCCCAGGCTGGTGTCAAACTCCTCGGTTCAAGCAATCCTCCCACCTTGTCCTCCAAAAGTGCTGGGGTTATAGGCATGAGCCACTGTGCCTGGCTGAAGTCAAAGAAAAATGAATGTTTTTTAGCAATTTACTTTCCTGTTTCTACTGTCAATGCAAAACTAGTCTACGGACAGTGAACGTCTCCACAGCATGGCCTGGGTTCAAGACAATTACCTGTCTTTGTAGCTTAAAACATCTATTTTCTCAGAACTTTCAAAATAAAAATTTAGACTTGAGAGACTCAGAATGTAAATATCCACTTAACTCTATCCATGTACTCTTAAACTACTAAAACCAGAAGCATTTGATCCAAGTTACTACAAGTCTTTTAAAAATAATGCTCATGAGGCTGGGTGCAGTGGCTGATGCCTGTAATCCCAGCACCTTGGGAGGCTGAGGCGGCTGGATCACCTGAGGTCAGGAGTTCCAGACTAGCCTCGCCAACATGGTGAAACCCCGTCTCTACTTAAAAAAAAAAAAAAAATACAAGAAATTACCTAGCTGTGGTGGTAGGCGCCTGTAATCCCAGCTACTTGGGAGGCTGAGGCAGGAGAATTGCTTGAACCCAGGAGGCAGAGGTTGCAGTGAGCTGAGATCACGCCACTGCCTGGGCAACAGAGTGAGACTCTGTCTCAAAAATAAATAAAAATAAAAATAATGCTTATGAGATAAACCCAATTCGTCTTGGGGAGAAAAGGAGGATACTGCAGCTCTGAAGCTCAAGAGCCCTGTCTGCTTTTGATAACCACTTTATAAATGCTTAAAAAGTCTCTATACCTGCACTAATTGTTAGAAAGGTCATCTCACACTGAACTGCAATATATCCATAATTCTGGTCTGTGGATTCCAGCTTGGATAAAGATTAAAGTTTTAATCTCTTTCCCACGTGGGCCCTTCAAACATCACATATTGCCTAAGTTTTCCCTTCTCCACACTGAACACTTCCAGTTCCTTTTAACTGTTCTCATATGAAAAGATTTCTAGAGTTCCTACTCTTCCAGGATATCAACTAAACACACTCTAATTCACCAATGTCTTCTTAAAATGTGACAGAGGTCTGAATCCAGCCTCCAGAAGGGGTCCAACCAAAGAGCCAGGAGGGCCATCTCCCTTCCTCCTCTGGACGTCAGTGAACGTGGCCCAGACTATATTGATGACTGCGGTGTCAAAATCACATCCATTTACATCGAGCTGACACTTGCAGGATACCCTGATATTTTCTTATGTGAAATTTCTACACACAGTTTAACTCTCAAATACAATTCCCTAATGACATATGACATTTCATGACTGCTTTCACAACTTACCAATGATATGTGCCCTTAAAAAGTATTTGTTAGGCTGGACGCAGTGGCTCACACCTGTAATCTCAGCACTTTGGGAGGCTGAGGCAGGTGGATCACTTGAGGACAGGAGTTTGAGAACAGCCTGGGCAACACGGCGAAACCCTGTCTCTACAAAAAATATGAAAATTAGCCAGGTGTGTTGGCACACACCTGTAATCCCAGCTCCTCGGGGGCTGAGGCACAATAATTGCTTGAACTCCGAAGGCGGAGGTTGCAGTGAGCCAAGATCACACCACTGCACTCCAGCCTGGGTGACAGAGCAAGACCCTGTCTCAAAAAAAAAAGTATTTGTCTTTTAAAAAGCTGCTATTTCTAGGCCGGGCGCAGTGGCTCACGCCTGTAATACTAGCACTTTGGGAGGCTGAGGTGGGCGGATCACCTGAGGTCAGGAGTTCAAGACCAGCCTGGCCAACATGGCGAAACCCCACCTCTACTAAAAATACAAAAATTAGCCGGGCATGGTGGCAGGCGTCTGTAATCCCAGCTACTTGGGAGGCTGAGGCAGAAGAATTGCTTGATCCTGGGAGGTGGAGGTTGCAGTGAGCCGAGATTGTGCCACTGCACTCCAGCCGGGGCAACAGAGCAAGACTCTTATCTCAAAAAAAAAAAAAAAAAAAAAAAAAAAAAGCTGCTATTTCTTTTCATTATTTATTCTCAGGTATTTAACCAAGAGGCTGAAGACCCGAACCTGTCCTGGGCTCCTTTGAGGGAGGATGTGCCCATTCCAAACCTCTACCAATGCTCAGGGCCTCTCCTGACACATTCACTACACCCCTGTGCTCTTAGCATAGCCCCTTTTGGACAGCATGTGCTCCTAAGGTATCTGCAGAACAGAATCAAGCAGGATGGGCCTACCTGAGGCATGGCAGCTGGGCAGCACCTGGCTGTCAGTGGCTGTCACCCAAGCCTCTGCTTAACTCCTATTTCTTACCTTATCCCTCTATTCTGCTCCCTACCTAAGTGTGCCAGCTCTAGTTAACAGTAGGAGGGTGCTTGGCTGACAGAAGAATATAGATTCACCTAGGTCTATTAAGTGCCGACTGTAAGTCAATGCATACAATGATCTCCCCAATACCCTCGTGGATCAGAAAATCAAAATTACTGCATAATCTAATTACTGTATAATCTCTTATAAAAAGAATATCTATACAAATCACTAGGTTTCTTGACTATTTCCAGAAAATATTTTAATAAAAGACCTACTAAAATGCAGTGAAAGTTCTAAAATAAGACCCTCTGAATTACTCGATGACAAATTCATTTTAAATTGATTTATACATTAATAATAAAAAAGGCTTATAGCCAGTCTGCCTTAGTTGGTTTTAATTATATTCAGACCACTGTTTTGAACTGCCAAAAAGTTCCTTTAAGACATTATTTAACGTATGTTCATCACTGCAAATCAGGTGAATTCAGTCTCTCTACAAAAATATCCTAGTTACAAATAATTATTTTTAGTTGCACATTAGCAATTAGTACTTAAATGTGACTATGAAATATGAGTTTGTGGCAGAACCTAAACATATATTACCTTAAATTCCAATAATCCGTCCTTTGCATACTAATTATCAGCCCTATACTATGAAAAGAAGCCAATTGGGCCTGGTGTGGGGTGGCTCACACCTGTAATCCCAGCACTTTGGGAGGCTGAGGCAGGCGGATCATTTGAGGTCGGAATTTGAGACCAGCCTGACCAACATGATGAAACCCCATCTCTACTAAAGTACAAAAATCAGCTGGGCATGGTGGCAGGCACCTGTAATCCCAGCTACTTGAGAGGTCAAGGCAGGATGGGCAACAGAGTGAGACTCCCTCTCAAAAAAAAAAAAAAAAAGAAAGAAAAGAAAAAGAAAAGCAGCCTATTTTTTAAAATACGGTAGGGTACAGGTAAAAGCCATATAACGTACTCTATTTTAGAAACTCAAAATATAAAAATTTGGACTCACTTATAAAAGATTATTTCCTTTTGTAGTAACTCTTCTAAACATGAGGGTGTAAACATATCAAAGTGATGCTACAGCAATACAAACAAAACTCCTTCTCTTTTTTTGTGGGGGAACTGGGTCTTGCTCTATCATCCAGGCTGGAGTGCAGTAGCACAATCTCGACTCACGGCAACCTCCACCTCCCGGGTTCAAGAGATTCTCCTGCCTCAGCCTCCTGAGTAGCTGGGACTACAGGTGTGCGCCACCACACCTGGCTAATTTTTGTATTTTTTGTAGAGACAGGGTTTCACCATGTTGGCCAGGCTGGTATTGAACTCCCGACCTCAGGTTGTCCGCTCACCTTGGACTCCCAAAGTGTTGGGATTACAGATGTGAACCACCATGCCCGGTCAAAACTCCCTATTTCTTCAGAAAAGTTAAGCCTCATGTTTAAGTCACAGTCAACTGAAAAGGAACCAGAGTTGGTGATAAAGTATTTCCATGTAACCCAGTGGAAAAAATGTTTTAATCAAAATTCAATTTGGCCAGGTGCGGTAGCTCACGCTTGTAATCCCATCACTTTGGCAGGCTAAGGTGGGCGGATCACTTGAGGTCAGAAGTTCAAGGGCAGCCTAGCCAACATGGCGAAACCCCATCTCTACTAAAAATACAAAACTTAGCCAGGCATGGTGGTGTGCGCCTGTAGTCCCAGCTACTCGGGTGGCTGAGGCAGAATAATTGCTTGAAGCCGGGAAGCGGAGGTTGCAGTGAGTTGAGATGACACCACTGTACTCCAGCCAGGGTGTCACAGCGAGACTCCATCTCAAAAAGCAGAAAAAAAAATTTCAATTTACAGAATTTAATCCACTGGTTTCAGTCAGAGTTTACAACTCTGCGTTTATTCTACACAAACATTCTAAGAGGCAACAACGATAGAGCTGTGGCCACCTTTGTTACAAAGCATGCATTCTTTTGAATATGCCACATAATTATTTCATTGGAAATGCCTGAAATACATTTTTCAACATAAATTGACTTAATTGCTCTTATCTCATCTGTCTTATCTCGTTTGCTTTGAAAATAGCTAAATCGGCTTTAATATTACCTGAAATGGAAACCAATGACTCCCTAGCCCTCCATTCAACCAAACAAATCCAAGCTCAGAAAAACGATCTTGGGCAGATCTTTCTTTTACTCGACTGTGGATTAATATAGAGATTGGGCTAATTTTGAATGTCTTTAAAACATATTTTTTTCTGGGCAAATTTTTAACAGTAATAGGTATTCTGAATTTTAAAAACCCTAAACACAAAGAACGAAATGTAACTACTACAGCACATGTATATATAAGTTGTTAGGCGCATACTGTTATAGCAATTTCAGAAAGCAGGGCAGAGAGGTTACTTGTTTCTGCTGTTGAGCTTTCCTTAGTGCCTGGAGTCTCTTTTCTTTAAGGCGTTCCAATTCATCCTCATCCATCTGATCCAGTTTTTGAATTTCAGAATCCAAATGTTCTTCCACCAGTTTGGTAGTCTGAAGCAGCTGATGCTCCAGGACTTTGGAAAACATGTCAACAGATGCATCAGCTTCCATTCTTCCAAATGGTACAGAGTTCAGCCTGGGTGCTGGGGAGAAGATTTACAAAATACATTTTAAAAAATGCAAACAATAAGCAAGGTTTTCTCTACCATTTTCAAAAATTCTGGCAAGTGTATAATGTGTACTCTATGGAGTATTCTAACGACATCCAAGCACTTGATGCTGGGCTTAACAATTTTTATGTGTTTTTAAATTTAATTCTCAGTAGGTTCTAGTCACACCACTCAAAAACTACTTACAGCAAATTTAGGGTGCTTCTGATTTAGCATATGTTTTACTATACTAAAGCCAAGACAAGTCTTTAAGACCATCACCAAACCACAGAGAAATGAGTTGTGAAGTTATACCTAGTGATATATACTGACAATCAGTGTTCTTTACCAATGGGAAAGAGAAATCAGAAACAACTGCGAACAATAGGAAGGTATACCTACTGAGGTTTTACACATAAATATATATATTAAACTTTACTTAAACACAGAGTACAGTTGAGCAAAACACAGATTTTTTTCATGGCTGCTGCCCAAATGAGTTTCATTTAACTCCTAAGACGTCTCATTACCATTTATGTAAAGAAGAGTGCCTGGTGTTCCCTGAGCATTAATGTCCATTCCTGTTCTCCCATTACCTAACAAAAAAGTCTATGAGGTCACAAAAATTAATACTGGTTTCCATTTACTGACAGTGTTAACTTTGATGTAAAACACTCCAAATACTTTTCTAAATTTTGGGTTTTTTTCCAACATCACTCCTCTGTGTAAAATCAGAGTTTCAAAATAGAACTAATTCAGATTAGAAAGGAAGACCTATCTCAATTAGTCATGCATCACTTAACAATGGGAATATATTCTAGGCTGGGTGCTATGGCTCACGCCTGTAATCCCAGCACTTTGGGAGGCCAAGGTGGGCAGATCACTTGAGTTCAGATGTTTGAGACCAGCCTGGGAAACATGATGGAACCCTGTCTCTACTAAAAATAGAAAAATTGGCCAGGCCCGGTGGTGTGTGCCTGTAGTCCCCGCTACTAGGGAGGCTGAAGTGGGAGGAGGATACCTTGAGCCCAGGAGGCAGAGGTTGCAGTGGGCTGAGAACGCACCACTTGCACCCCACCCTGGGCAACAGAGCCAGACCCTGTCTCAAAAACCAAAAACCAAAAACCCACAAAACAATGAGAATACATTCTGAGAAATGCATCATTAGGTGATTTTGATATTGTTTCAAACATTATAGACTATTTACACAAACCCAGATGGTACAGCCTGCTACACACCTAGGCTATGCCATACAGCCTATTACTCCTAGGCTACAAATCTGTACAGCATGTTACTGTACTGAATACTGCAGACAACTGTAACATAATGGCATTTGTGTATCTAAACATAGAAAAGGTACGATAAATACAGTATTACAATCTCATAAAACTGAAATGTCCTTATGTGGCACATGACTATATATTTTAAAAGAAATGGAGTATTTTGTACTAGCAATTAGTACAAAATTTTACTTTTTTTTTTGAGACGGAGTCTCGCTCTGTCGCCCAGGCTGGAGTGCAGTGGCGCATCTCCGCTCACTGCTAGCTCCGCCTCCTGGGTTCACGCCATTCTCCTGCCTCAGCCTCCCGAGTAGCCGGGACTACAGGCGCCCGCCACCACGCCCGGCTAATTTCTTTTTGTATTTTTAGTACAGACGGGGTTTCACCGTGTTAGCCAGGATGGCTACGATCTCCTGACCTCGTGATCCGCCCGCCTCGGCCTCCCAAAGTGCTGAGATTACAGGCGTGAGCCAGCCGCGCCCGGCCAAAATTTTACTTCTTTTAAAAGAAATGGAGTATTTTGTACGAGAAATTTTATACCAACAATTAGAGGGCAAGTTTATGTGTATCTCAGGGTTATTACTGCAGAAATGATTTATAATTTGCCTATCAAAGCAGGAGGCTGTTGCATATCAATGAACTATGATACATTTGCAAATAATACTGAAGCACCCCAAACTTCACAACAAACTGTGAATTCATTCACTCAGCTTCTGACACAGATTCTGACCCACACAGGCCCTCTATAAACGTTGAGCTGAAGAGAAATATTCTTGCAAACTTCAATTCTGATTCCTTTTTCTTTACAGGAAAAGGATTTGAAAAGCATACTTGATTTCATCTTTGTATCTCCATAGAACACAGCAGGTACTCAATAAACATGTATTTAACGTTGAATGAACACGTGCCTGACTTCTGTTCAAATTACTACACTGTTAAGTTTCAAAAGTATTTGAGTCTAAAAAACCAAATTGTAAGCTCCTCGTGAGTGCTATAAAATTGGAAAGGTGCTGTATTTCAAACACAGCAAAGATTTCCACGCTCCCTATCGCCCAAGAAAAATGTCAGTAGGACTGTGACCCTCAGTGAGGGGGCTGGAAGGAGAAGATAATAAGATACTGAATTGAACGTTGGAAGCTGTGCTCCAGGGATAAGCACAGAGAATGCCTACCCTGGAACTTTATAGAATGAGCCCAGAATTTAATTATGGGATAACTGGAAAAAGACGAGATTAAGAAGAGCTATTCTGGGTGTAGGTGTTGGTGGTCAGAGCATTGAGAATGGGGTAAAGAGACGATGCAACCCCTCGTTAGCTTTTCATTTTTCAAACCACAGCCTCTGATTCTTCCTTTTTACAGCTCCGCTGGAAGGGTGGGACGGGACACAGCGCGTCCTCAAATTCCCTAGTCATTTCCTGGACACCCTTACAGGTATCCGCCAAAACAATCAAGGGGCCTGGTCCTTAACTGAACCCCAGGTACCTCCCCAATGGCAAGCCGGCCACTCCCTGCGCCCGGGGAAACAGAGGAAAGCACAGTCCCGGTGGCCCCAACTTCGACGCCTCCTGGTGCGCTTGCGCAAGAGCCTCTGCCAGGACACCGACACCGGTGCTGGGGCCGCGCCCCTCCTCCGCTCCGGATGTGGAGCAGCAGAATGTTCACCAGCACCCGGACGTGGTGGTCGGATTCTTCTCACTACCCTCTGCCTCACCTGAGCTCTCGGTGACGCCTGAGAAGTGAAAGAGCAGCAGTTTCAAAAGACACGTCCACTCCGGCTTTTGCCTTGCAGTAGCTGCCGGCGGCTGCAAACGGGCCGTCACATCCGCCTCCTTATTGGCTGCGAACCTCGCGCGATATCACCTTGGACGCCAGAGGAAGGGGCGGGCGGTCGGGTGGCGAACAGTTCTGCGCGTGCGCCTCCCGCCCAGCAGCCCGGAACCCAAGGTGTCCGACCCTTGCTTTCCTCCGGGTACACGGCCGAACTGGAAGGCCGCAAAGCATTGTGGGAGTTGCAGTTTCTTAGTGCGCAGGCTGTCGTGGCCGGACTTTCTCAGGAGCGTGCTTCAGTATTCACGGTCCAGTGCGCCAGACTGGAAATGAGACAGCTGTGCTCTCGCTCAGCCGTGACGCTTGAACTGCGTTTCCATTCTGTTAGTGTTGAATGAACATTTTTCTTTTTTTTGTTTTCTTTTGTTAACATTTTTCCTAAAGTCGAGGCATAAACATATACAGCACAATTAACTTTTGCATAGTTAAAACCCAAAATATCACCGGCCAGATCCAGATATAGAACATTTTCCACCACCCCTGTAGGTCCCCTCTTGACTCTTCGAAACACAGGAATTTTTAGAACTCGCCCTCGCTTTGAGGGTGAAGCTGAAGACCTATGTTAGGGAATTGATCGGCTGTGTCCTGTTCTGTTTTATTCAGTGACTGTACATAATGCATAATGCATGGATGTTACTGAGAGGTCCCTATTTTGTCCTGAATTTATCTCTCTCGCAAACCCCCAGAGGACTCTATTGGTTCGTTGTGGTTCTTTACTGAACTTCGTGCGGCTGAGAATACAAAGATATAAAGGGAAGCCCAAAGCCCACTCCTGAACCGAAGCGTGCGTTCCCCGTTGGGAGAGGGGTGAGGTGGCGAAATTGACAGCTTCATTGTCCACCTCCGGGTTCTAGAACGTGGAAAACCCGCGGGTGTCGGCTCGTGGCGGACGCTTGAGGGCAGGGGGCGCTCGGGCTGCTGCCTGGTCGGCCGGTCAACCGGAGACGCTCTACCCGAAGCGCAGCTCTCGATGAGCCGCGCCCTGCGTCCTCACGCCGAGGCGGCTGGGCGATGCGCTTGCGCACTGAGAACTCACACCATATGTGTCCTGTTCCAGTGCGCGGGTCTGTGGAGAGCCGGGTGCGAGCGGCGGCAGCACGAGGGGAAAAGAGCTGAGCGGAGACCAAAGTCAGCCGGGAGACAGTGGGTCTGTGAGAGACCGAATAGAGGGGCTGGGGCCACGAGCGCCATTGACAAGCAATGGGGAAGAAACAGAAAAACAAGAGCGAAGACAGGTAGATAGGGGTTGGGTCCGTACGGCGGCGGCCGCCGTGGCTCAGTGGAGTGTGCGGGTCTCGCCGGGCGCGGCGTCGGACCGGGGTCTGGGCTCGCGATGAGCTTCGCGGGGTACCAGGCCTGGGCCCAGAGTGTGCGGAGCGGGCCCAAGCCCCCGGGCCGGGTGGGCACGTAGGGCCTCGACGGCGGGCGGGTCCTCCCAGTCGAGCCTCGCTCCCCCGGCACCCCTTCCCCGGCCTGAGGAGCGGGGTAGTCATTTGAGGGTTCCTGGTCGCGCGGGGAGGGTCAGGCGGCTTCGCCAGCGTGGCCCAGGCCAGTGTGAGTTTTTTTCCGCGCTACTCTTGGCGAGGGTGGGGAAGTTCTTTTTATGCCTCTTATACCTGTGAGTACTTTGGGAGGGAAGGGAGCTTGAATGTGATGTACGGCCGGGTTTCTCTACTCGCGGTTTCAGGTACGTTAGAGTTATGGGGAGGTGTTTAGCAGTTCGCTGTCTCTCAACTTAATCTGATTTGGATACAGTTTTCGTTTATTTAAGGGCTGATTGTCCAGCCCTCATGCTTTTCGCTTTCCTTCTTCCGGCCTGTTTTTTTTTGTCGTTTCTTTGCTCTCTAGCCTTCCCCTAAGAAAGGAAGGGAAGAAGAAGAAACCAACCAACCGAGGTCGCTCCTTTCTAACCACCTGCAATGCTTTGGGGAGGGAGGATAAGGGTATATGCGAGTTACTTACCTAGAGATTTTTGAGACATTTCTGTGTGTCACATTCGATTGAGTTCTGTTACTCATGATGGAAAGAGTTGACTTCCTGGGAGTGAACAACATCTGTTACATTACACGTTCGTACACTACCCACCAAACTTAAATACGAGGCGGAGAGTAAGGTAAATTAAAAAAACTAGTGCTAGTTCATCAGTCTGACTCAAAACAGATATGTTGTCTTGAAGTTAAAATAAGTTTACTAATTATAAATTGGAAGCCTGGATCGTTTTCTCACCTAGCGTTTGACTAGCTTATGAGTAGAATTAAAAGACAACAAAGATAGTCTTGTATTTCAGTTTTAGGTCTATTGGAGGAAGTTAATTGGTTTGGAGAATTGAATTATTGTTAAACCAGATGAATGAGAAAATAAGGATTATGGGTGATGTAGGGGAACACAAATTTCTGTACTTTTGACAGGAATTTTTGATGTATAGGGTACTTTTTTCCTTGCTAATGTTCAGCTGTCTCTAGAAAATAGAGAACTGAGTATAATGAGCCTTTATGTATTAATTACCTGCCTTCAACCATTGTTAGCACATGACCTGCTTGGTTTCATCCCACCTACTAGAAGTGTGTGTATATATATATATATACAAATATATATACACACATATATATAAATATATATATATACAAATATATACACAAATATATATATACATTTTTTTTTTTTTTTTGAGACGGAGTTTCCCTCTTGTTGCCCAGACAACAAGAAACTTAGGGCAATGGCGCGATCTCGGCTCACTGCAACCTCCACCTCCCTGGTTCAAGCGATTCTCCTGCCTCAGCCTCCGAGTAGCTAGGATTACAGGCATGCACCACCACATCCGGCTAGTTGTGTATTTTTAGTAGAGACGGGGTTACTCCATGTTGGTCAGGCTGGTCTCGAACTCCCGACCTCAGGTGATCCGCCCGCCTCGGCCTCCCAAAGTGCTGGGATTACAGGCGTGATCCATCGCCCCTGGCCCCCACCTACTAGATATTTTAAAGCAAATCTCATTAGCTTTTCATCTGTAAATCCACCAAGTATATCTGTAAGAAATATTAATAGTGATTCTTAAACATTAGCAAATATTCAGTCAGTTTGCTGATTTCCCTGATTGTCTTATTACAGTTTTTTTTTCAATTCGTTCGTTTGGTTTAGGATTACACAAATGTGTTCTTTAGATTAAAATTACATATATATGTGTTTTTGTTTTGTTTTGTTTTTTGGAGATGGAGGGGCAGTCTCACTATGTTGCCCAGTCAGGTCTTGAACTCCTGGCCAGTGATCCTCCCACCTCAGCCTCCCTAGTAGCTAGGACTACAGGCGCGATCCGGCTTATATGTTTCCCTACTTACACTTTTTACTTTCCAGGCTCTTTCACAATAGAAAAAAGCCATTGGGAGACAAGATGTTTATTCTTGTCTGTGTCTTTTTAGGGAAAAGTGAGTGTCTCATTGATTTATAAAGATTTTCAGGGATGCTGTAAAGTTTAAATTGCACACTAGACCCTGTTGTTAAATGATTGGTTTGGTTGTGTAGAAGAAATGCTGTTTTTTCCCCCTCTCAACCTAATCTGTGTTTTGTTGTTGTTGTTGTTGTTGTTTTGGTTTGTTTGTTTTTGGCTCATGTTGAAGGGAAAGTGGTGGCAATATAATTTTAAAACATTTATTTTCTCATATACCAATATATGAAATTGATACATTTTGTGAGTGTGTGTGTGTATAAATGCCTCATGGACTCCTTTTTATGAATGGCTTTCAGATTGTGTTTAAGAAATCCTGAGCTTTAGCAGAGTTCCCTTTGACTGGAACTGCTTGGGTTTTTATTTTGGTCTTCCACATGAGATATTGGGAGATGGGGAATGGGAAGTTCCACTGCTTTGTGAGTCAGCTTTTTACCTTTATTTTAATATTTCTTTCCTTTCTTCAGGGATATTTTGAATATTTGTAAATGGGACAAAAACACAGACTGGAAAGAAAATCTAGAGGGAGAAAGTCCAATTTTAGGATTAGTATTCTTGTTTGTGTAAAATGAGATAGAGATCCGGTTTTATTCTCCTGGGTGAAGGTCCACACTTTAAAGATTTTACTGTCATTCCACCTCCCCTCCTTGGCTATGTCAGGCATGTTTCTGGCAAGGTGTGAACTGTGTGAGAAATGACAACTGCTTATTTAGTTATCAAGAGAAGGCATGGAGCCACTTTTCAGTTCTTGGACAGAACATACAATACTCACTGTCCTTAATTCTTATATTTAATTAATCCTTATTTTAACTTCTTAGCCACTCAGTATTCATTTAAAATTAGATTTTAACTTACCTAATTTTATTTGTACAGCATGTGTCAGTGATCAAGATATTTATTCTTGTCTGTGTATTTTTAGAATTCTAGAATTTTGCTTAAAGACCAAGTTCTAGAATTCTGTTCCAGTTTGTGAAAAATCTTCTTTTTTTTTTTTGAGATGGAGTCTTGCTCTGTCACCCCGGGTGGAGTACAGTGGCGCGATCTCCACTCACTGCAACCTCCGCCTCCTGGGCTCAAGCGATTCTCCTGCCTCAGCCTCTCAAGTAGCTGGGATGACAGGCGCCCAACACCTGGCTAATTTTTGTGTTTTTAGTAGGGACAGGGTTTCACCATGTTGGCTGCCTGGTTTCAAACTCCTGAACTCAAGTGATCCTCCCACCCTGGCCTCCCAAAGGCCTGGAATTACAGGTGTGATTCACCACGCTCAGCCCCAGTTTGTGTAATTCTAAGAATGAGATTTTGATGTGGTGTTTGTTCAGCAAGTTTTCCTGACCTTTTTCAGTTGACTCGGGAAACTTGTTGAGACAAAGGCTAGGATTCAATATCCACATATCAAACAAATATAATACACATAGCCTAGGTTTAATAAAGGAATTCATTTCTTACTTGCATATATTTGAATGAAACTCTTGTCTGCATAAATTACATCAAAAAAAGATGCATAATCAGAATTCTTTTGGTCTAGCCTGTTCCTATCCTGACGCTTTAGGAAGTGGTAGGGGAAGAAGTCCTAGTTTGCTATAAATTAATAAGAAAACAGATTATAGATTTTTGTTGATAGTAACCTCTCTAGCCTTCCATGCTGTCCCTGTGGGGAACTCATTCAGCTACTTTTAATGTTACTTGCTCATTTGTTGTGCTTTATTTATGCTTCTAAGTTTATTCCAGTATTGCAGTTGATCTATAAGGTGGGCAGAGTGTTGTTTTACCAAGGAACTGAGTGTCAGTGGTTAGGTTAGAATAGCAATTCTCAAATTCTGGTCCTAGACTCCTTTACACTCTTAAATTCCTAAGGAACACAAAAGGCTTCTGTGTATGTAGGTTATATCTACCAGTTACAGGTATTACAAACTAAAACTGAAAAGTTCTTCAAATATTTAATTTAAAAATAAAAATAAACTTACACTATGATACATAACATTATTAAATAACCATATTTTCAAAAATAGAAGAGCTAAGCGTTTTTGCAAACATCTTCACTATTATATGACTTAATAGAAGATAGATCCTCACATTTGCTTATGCATTTGATCTGCAGCATCATCACACATCATTTAGCTTCTGAAAAACTCCCCTGTACAGTTGTGAGAAAATGAGAATGAAAAAGGCTAGTATCCTCTTAGTATTATTTTGAAAATAGTTTTGACCCCCTAAAATAGTTTAGATTCCCTAAAGAGACCTTGGGAATGAATTTGAGGACTGCTGGCCTAGGGATTTCTAAACTAGATTTAGGCATTTGTGAGACATTTCTCAAGCTGTTTGACCATCGTTCATGTATGTCTTACAGGTGCTGAGAATGCTTGAGAATCACTTAAAGGCAACTGAAGACATCTGTGGGCATGTTAATGTTCTTGATATTTTAACAATTTGAGATTTTTCCTTTTTTTTTTTAAATGTAATACTTGCCAAGGTAAATATCAGTTGAGATTGATTTCAATTGGGAGTCCATTAAGTTTATAGATTATTTGTGACACTTGACATCTTTATGGTGTTGAATCATTCCATTCAAGAAATATATTGAGATTTAAGCACTTGAGTGCCAGATATTTTTCTGGATGCTAGAAATATATTTGTGAACAAATAAGTAATATGATTTGCCTCTCCATTTAGTTGGTTAATTTAATTCTATAACAGTAAAATATTATTTTCTTCATTTTAATCTTTAGGATTTGGCTTTTTCCCATGTATCACAGAATTTTTGTTGCTGTTAATGTAATCATTCCTCCCCCTCCTTTTTTTTTGGTAAATTGTAAAATTTTGTCTTTTTTGTCTCCTTTTCTCCTTCCTTTCTGTTGAGAGATGGAATCTCACTCTGTCACCCAGGCTAGAGTGCAATGGTGTGATCATCGCTCCCTGTAACCTTGAACTCATGGACTCAAGCAGTCCTCCCTCCTCAGCCTCCCCAGTAGCTAGGACTGCAGGCATACACCACTGTACTCAGCTAATTTTTAAAAATTTTTTGTAGAGATGGGGTCTCGCTTTGTTACCTAGGCTGGTCTTCAGCTCCTGGCCTCAAGTGATCCTCCCATCTCAGCCTCTCAAAGTGTTGGGATTACAGGTGTGAGCCACTGTGCCTGGCCTGGGTTGTCTTTTTCTTTCTTTCTTTCTTTCTTTCTTTTTTTTTTGAGACCGGGTCTTACTCTGTTGGCCAGGCTGGAGTGCAGTGGCGTGATATTGGCTCACTGCAACCTCTGCCTCCTGGATTCAAGCGATTCTCATGCCTCAGCCTCCCAAGTGGCTGGGACTACAGTGCCACCATGCCCAGCTAATTTTTGTATTTTTAGTAGAGATGCGGTTTCACCATGTTGGCCAGGCTGGTCTCGAAATCCTCACCTCAGGTGATCCATCCGTCTTGGCTTCCCAAAGTGCTGGGATCATAGGTGTGAGCCACCGCACCCAGCCTGGGTTGTATTTTTATTGTTGGGTTGTAAGAGGTCTTGATATAGTCTGGATACTAGATCCTTATCAGATATATGATTTGCAGATACTTTCTCTGATTTCTGTAGTTTGTTTTTTCCACTGTCTTTTAAAGTTTCTTTTTCACAAAAGTTTTAAATTTTGTTGAAGTCCAGTTTATTTTTGTTGTTGTTGCTTGCATTTTGGTGTTGTATCTGAGATAATCTGTTGCCAAATCCAGGGTCGTGAAGATTTACCTGTATGTTTTCTTAAGAGTTTTATTGCTGGCCGGGCACAGTGGCTCATGCCTGTAATCCCAGCACTTTGGGAGGCCGAGGTGGGTGGATCACCTGAGGTCAGGAGTTCGAGACCAGCCTGGCCAACATGGCAAAACCTACTACTAAAAATACAAAAATTAGTCGGGTGTGGTAGCACGCGCCTGTAGTCCCAGCTACTCGGGAGGCTGAGGCAGGAGAATTGCTTGAACCTGGAAGGCGGAGGTTGCAGTGAGCCAAGATTGCACCACTGCACGTCAGCCTGGGTGACAGAGTGAGACTCCATCTCTAAAAATAAAAAAAAAACAAAACTTTTATTGCCTTATCTCTTGCATTTTGGTCTTTGTTCCAGTTTGAATTAATTGTTGTATGTGGTATGATGTAGGGGTTCATCTGCATTCTTTTTTTTTTTGAGACGGAGTCTCGCTCTGTCGCCTAGGCTGGAGTGCAGTGGCGCAATCTCAGCTCACTGCAAGCTCCGCCTCCCGGGTTCATGCCATTCTCCTGCCTCAGCCTCCCGAGTAGCTGGGACCACAGGCACCTGCTACCACGCCTGGCTAGTTTTTTTGTATTTTTAGTAGAGACGGGGTTTCACCATGTTAGCCAGGATGGGTCTCGATCTCCTGACCTCGTTATCCGCCCGCCTCGGCCTCCTGAAGTGCTGGGATTATAGGCGTGAGCCACCGCACCCGGCCTGCATTCTTTTATATGTGGATATCTAGTTGTCCTAATACCATTTGTTGAAGAGAAGATTTCTTTCCCTATTGAAAGGTTCTGGCACCCTTGTCAGATCATTAGATGCTAGATATATGGATTTATTTCCGGACTTTAAGTTTTATTTCTTTGGTCTGTATGTCTGTGTCAGTGTTGCCACCACAGTTTGTTGTTGTTGTTGTTGTTGTTGTTGTTGTTTCTGGGTTTTTTTTTTTTGAGACGAAGTCTCACTCTGTCACCCAGGCTGGAGTACAGTGGTGTGATCTCTGCTCACTGCAACCTCCGTCTCCTGGGTTCAAGGGATTCTTCTGCCTCAGCCTCCGGAGTAGCTGGGATTTTAGGTGTGCGCCACCAGGCCCGGCTAATATTTGTGTTTCTAGTAGAGACAGGGTCTCACCATGTTGGCCAGGCTGGTCTCAAACTCTTGACTTCAAATGATCCACCTGCTTCAGCTTCCCAAAGTACTGGGATTATAGATGTGAGCCACTGCATCCAGCCGGCACCACAGTTTTGATTACTGTGGTGTGAATTTCCTTAGATGAAAAATTTCAAACACATACAAAAGTAGAATAGTCTAATGAACAAACATGTGTCCATCACCCAGGTTCAAATTCATTCATAAATCTCATTTCATATGTATTCTGCCCCCTCCTTTCTTTTCTCCATTATCTTGATACAACCTCAGACATTTGTAAATATTTCAAGAAATTATATAATGTATTATAAGAAACATTTATATCTTAAATATAAATTTTTAGAAGTGGTACATTTCATTCATTTGGAAAATTCACATACAATGGAATCGTTGTCTGTGTTGTCAGATAAATGAAATGTCATTGTACTTTTTCAGAGGCATTTAAACTAGCGTTTCAATTTATTGCTTCAGAAAATTCCATTTGGAAGTTTTATGATCAAAAGTACAGTAATTATTATAGTGTTAGACGTGTTTTTTATTAAACTGCTGTGTTGAAACTGGTTAGCCTTGCCTGTTGTATGAGAGTCGTGATTGCCACTCCAGAATAGGACTTTTTCCTTATTTATTAGTGCCTATTTGAAATGTCTAACATGCGACCGGGCATGGTGGTGGCTCGTGCCTGTAATTGCAGAACTTTGGGAGGCCATGGCGGGTGGATCAGTTGAGCGTAGGAGTTGGAGACCAGCCTGGCCAACATAGCAAAACCCCGTCTCTACTAAAAATACAAAAAATTAGCCAGGTGTGGTGGTGCATGCCTATAATCCCAGCTACTTGGGAGGCTGAGGCATAAGAATTGCTTGAACCCGGGAGGTGGAGGTTGCAGTGAGCCAGGATTGCACCACTGCGCTCCAGCCTGGGCAATGGAGTGAGACTGTCTCAAAAAAAAAAAAAAAAAAAAGGAATGTCTAACATGCCTTTCTGGTTGCCACTTGTAGAACATAGGTAGGTGGGCGGGGTGCGGTGGCTCATGTCTGTAATCCCAGCACTTTGGGAGGCTGAAGCAGAAGGATTGCTTGAGGCCAGGAGTTTAAGACCAGCCCGTGCAACGTGGGGAGACCCCATCTCTACCCCCTAAAAAAAATAGCTGAGTGTGGTGGTGTGTGCGTGTGGTCTCAGCTACTCAGGAGGCTGAGGTGGGAGGATTGCTGGAGCCTTGGGAGGTCAAGGCTGCAGTGAGCCATGTTTGTGCCACTGCACTTCAGCCTGGGTGACAGAGCTAGACCCTGTCTCAAAAAAAAAAAAAAAATGTGGTGAATTGGGAATACAAAAGGGAGTTTGCTGTTCTCAAAGGGAGTTACGTTTTAACATAGCAAATAGGCATATGCACAGATAATACAGAGTGAAGTGCTGAAGGGAGAAAATGGAGTATGAGAGTACCACCCTCGAGATTTCACATTTGCCTCTTAAAGTTATTGTTTATGCATCTTTAAAATCCTTTTCTAATTAAGTTTGCCATCAAGAGAGCGTGCAGATTGGAAGGAATGGGAGTATGCTGTGTGTTTCTGTGTCTCTAGAGTACCAAGGGTGACCATGAGGAATATTTGAGATCTTCAGTTGCTCCTGTATTGCCAATAATTTTGTACACAGGTGCAGCCAGACCATTCTAATGATGGTGTTCACCAAATTGGTTATTCAGAAATCTGGTCTTGAGAGTGGTTGTCTACATAAAACTTTTTGTTAAAATTTATTAGTAATTATTAGTTTGTTAATATTAATGATTTATTAATATTAGAGTGCCAGGCACTATACAAGTTAGGTGGGGAAAATCCTTTAACAGTGATTAAGGATCAGAGTTAACTTCTATGGAGTACAGAGACTGAGTTTGCTTTGAGCACTTACCATGTGATTAGTTATTTTAGAACATAAGTTGTATCTCTTTTTTTTTTTTTTTTTTTTTTTTTTTGAGAAGGTGTCTCAAGCAATCTCAGCTCACTGCAAGCTCCACCTCCCGGGTTGATGCCATTCTCCTGCCTCAGCCTCTCGAGTAGCTGGCACTACAGGCACCCGCCACCACGCCCAGATAATTTTTTGTATTTTTAGTAGAGACGGGGTTTCATCGCGTTAGCCAGGATGGTCTCAATCTCCTGACCTTGTGATCCACCCGCCTCGGCCTCCCAAAGTGCTGGGATTACAGGTGTGAGCCACTGCGCCTGGCCCATATAAGTTGTATCTTAAGGTGTTTATTGAGAATGTGGATCTGAATTTTTATCAATATTATATATATCTGCAGACATAATCCTAAATATAAACTTGTATCTCTGTAATTATGAAACCCAAAATATTCTTTTTTTATTATTATTTTATTTTATTGAGACAGAATCCCACCCTGTCGCCCAGGCTGGAGTGCAGTGGTCTGATCATAGCTCAGTGCAGCCTTGATCTCCTGGGCTTAAGTGACCCTCCCACCTCAGCCTCCTGAGTATCTGGGACTACAGACGCATGCCACCACACCCAGCTAATTTTTTTGATTTTTAGTAGAGATGAGGTCTTGGTTTATTGCCCAGGCTGGTTTTGAACTCCTGAACTCAAGTGATGTTCCTGCCTTGGCCTCCCAAAGTGTTGGGATTACAGGCATGAGCCACTGTGCCAGGCCCCCAAATAGTCTTATATCAAATAGTAACAAATATAAAATTTTGTAAAGTTCCAATCTGCAGTATTGATTTGAAAGATGATGCCACGTTGTTGAATCTAAATCAGGGCTTCTCAAACTTTGTTCACCTGGGGATCTTGTTAGAATGGAGATTTTGATTCAGTAGATCTGGGGTGAGGGTCTGAGATTCTGCATTTTTCAGTTTTTTTTTTTTTTAACAGGCCTGAGATTTTGCATTTTCAATAAGGTGATGATACTGATGCTGCTTGTCCTATAACTATACTTTGAGTAGTAGGATCTAAATGACCATTTTCATTGTGAATGTATTGCCTCTTACAATGGATTTCTTTTGAGTTCAGCATGCCTGAACTAGCAAGAGCTCAATTCTTCTGATACTTTTTTTTTTATTTGAACTAGTGATTTTGAGCTTTACATGACAGATTCTTCTCTTGACAAAAAGGTTTAATTTACCTAGTAAGTGTGCATCTGATCTTTTTCATCAACCGGAAACAATTTTGGGGGGTAGGGGTTGTAAACAAAACCTTGGGTTGCTGTTCTATGACAGTATACTGTGATAAAGTGGCTGTCTGTATTCATCTTAAATCTTTATTATCAAATTAAAATTTAAAACAGGTAAAACAGAAGTTGCTAGAGAATTTTGAAGCTTCTGAAATCCCTGCAACTCTGTGTTCCTCCCCACTTAATCCAGTTTGTAAAAGCTGTACTGATCTGATAGTTAGACATACTGGAATCTATAATACATATGAACTTAGGGTATGTGTATCGGGGGCGTCTACAAGATTTGTATTCTTATCAAATTAATGTATCAGATATTTAGAAAATAAAGGGTTAGGCTGAATTTTGTAGAAGGTGATAAGATACACATACCCTTTGCATTGCATTGTATAATATAGTAGCAGTATGGTTTCATATCCCTTTTAAAGGAGTCACGACTTCATAAGGACATCGTAAGCTGGGAGGGTTTTCTTTTGAGACATAGCTAGTTCTCAGCTTATTGATTGTAGTACTTGAGCCATAACTTCATTAAGAGAGTTGAGAGTGAAAACTGTTAAGATTTGTGGTTATAAGTGGTGGGGGCCACTGAGGAGCAATGACTGCTGGGCTTTCCCTTCTTTTGTCTTGTTTTTCCTCTTTTTGTATGTAACTGTTGATGATCAAAGATGTTCTGGGTAAGAAGATGAAGACTGGGGAAATGAGATGTCAGAAGGTAACCTGTAGAGAAGGTGGGACTGAATTTCCCGGTTTCTCTTATTGCAGCTGTTACTGCTGAGATAGAGTTAAGAATAAAGAGAAGGATTCCCTCTTATGCTCTTCTTGTTTACTATTATTAAGAGTTTTGGCGGAGAGGGGCAGAAGCCAAAGTAAGTGAAAAAGGGCAGCAACAGTGTTATATGTGACTTATCCTTCCTTTAATACTTTGAGGTTTTGGACAATTTGTCCATCAACTTGGGGATGGGGACGGAGGAAGGAGTGGTGTAGTTTGGATTTTACACTTCTACCAACATGCTGTCCATTACTATAGGTCCTGGTATTGATTAGGAATAGGAAGAAATATGGGGGTGCTTCGGTTATTATTGTACCATAACAAGTCATCCCAAACAGTGGCTTAAAACAAGAAAACTTGTGATTATCTTTCATGGTTCTGGAGGTTGACTGGGCTTAATCAGCTGGAGTTGTCAGCTGGAGCATCTCTATTTGATCTCTCCTCCTGACCTGGACATCCCCATTAGCTTGGCAGTGAGCATTCCAAGAGACAGGAAGCTGCCAGGTTAAGGCCTAGGCCTAGAAACTATAACAAAAGTTGCATCCTTCTATTTAGCAAGCAGTCATACAACTCCCACATTAAAGGAGATAGACCTCCACCTCTCAAAGAGTGTCAGAGATATTTTGTGCCAGGTTTTAAAACCTCTGCAGTGGGTAAAGAGGCATTGGAGAAGAGAGGTTGGTAAAAAGGAGTCTTAGACATCTTGGAGATTTTGAAGTGTGGAATAATTTGGAAAGGAGTTGAATTTCCTGTGTTTCTTGTCTAACTTTACATTCATTACACAAGTTTTCAGTGGAAAATACCTGTCATTATCAAATGAAATTTGCTAAGTTTGGAATTGAGAGGAGATTTGTACATGAGGTTAATTTTCCTTTTACTTTGCAGTGAACAATTTTTTGTAATATGTGTCTTTAAAAGGCTTTCTACTACATTGGTCTCAAGATGAAGTATTTGTCTTACTTTTTATTTTTATGTATGATTTTTATTTAATTCCAAAAGCCAAACTCCAAAGTTGAGTACATGCCTGCACACACAATAAAGAAATACTGTTTTTATACAACTGGAAAAATACAAGTTGTATTTTGTTCTTGACACATAATAATTGTACATATTTATAGGGTACAATGTGATATTTTGGTATCTGTATACATTGTGTAATGATCAGATCAGGATGATTAGCATATCTATCACGTCAAACACTTGTCATTTCTTTGTGATAAGAACATTCCAAATGCTCTTTTCTAGCTGTTTGAAGTATAATACATTATTGTTAACTATAGTCATCCTACTGTGAAGTAGAACACCAGAACTTATTCTCCTAACTGTAACTTGACCAACCTCTCCTCATTCCCTCTCCTTCCTACTCTTCCCAGCATCTGGTAACCACTATTCTACTCTTTACTTTTATGAAATCAACTTTTTTTGATTCCACATATGAATGAGATCATGCAGTATTTGTCTTTCCATATATGGCATCTTTCACTTAACATAATTACATCCAAGTTCATATGTGTTGTCACAAAATGACAGGATTTCATTCTTTTTTATGGATGAATAGTATTCACACTGTGTAGACGTACATTTTCTTTATCCATTCATCTGTTGATGGACATTTAGGTTGACTGCACATCTTGGCTATTGTAAACAGTGCTGCAGTAAATGTGGGAGTGTAAATATTCTTCAACATAGCAATTTCATTTCCTTTGGCTATATAGACCCAATGGTGGAATTGTTAGATTATATGATAGTTCTGTTTTTTTGAGGAACTTCTATACTGTTGTCTCTAATGGCTGTACTAATTTACATTTCCCCCCACAGTATATAATAGTTCTCCTTTCTCCATATTCTCACCATATTATTTTTTGTCTTTTTGTAAAAGCTAGTCTAAGGTGTGATATCTCATTGTGGTTTTGATTTGCATTTCCCTGATGTTTTTTTCATATACCTGGTGCCCATTTTTATGTCTTCCTTTGAGAAATGTGTATTCTGATCTTTTGCCCATTGTTTAGTTGGATTATTTGCTTTTTTGCTATTGTTGTTTTGAGTTCCATATGTATTCTGGATATTAACCCCTTGTTAGATATATAGTTTGTGAATATTTTCTCCCGTTCTATAGGCTGTCTCTTCACTCTGTTGGTTGTTTCCTTTATTGTATTTGTCGGTTTATGCTTTTGTTGCTTGAGCTTTTGAGGTCTTAAACAACGTTATGAAGTGTCTCTCCTGTTTTCTTCTAATAGTTTCATAGTTTTGGATTTTACATTTAAGTAGTTCATTTTGAGTTGATTTTTGTTAAGTGGTGAGATGAGAATGAAGAAATAAAGAATAAAATGTTTTTAAAAGACTCCTTCATTAAGTATCATTTTAACTCCACATTACTGTGTTTAATAGAAATTAAGATACTAGAAAAAGATTATAGATTTGTTCTTATTTTTGTAACTTATAAAAATGGATAAAAGGGCCAGGCATGGTGGCTCACCACTGTAATCCCAGCACTTTGGGAGGCCAAGGCAGGTGGATCACTTGAGCCCAGTAGTCACTGTAGTTTTCATGTTTTATTTTTGGTCACTGTAGTTTTGCCTTTTCTAGAAATTCATATAAGTAGAATGATAGACTACATAGTCCTTTTTGGCTGACTGGGTTTCACTTAGTACAGTATACTTTTGAGATTCATCTATGTTAGTGCTTGTAGCATTAGTACTTCCCTTTTGTTACCCAGTAGTATTATTCCATTGCCTGGATATATGACAATCTGTTTATATATTATCTGGTAGATGGATATTTGGGTTGTTTCCAGCTTTTCCTGATTTCGAGTAAAGCTGCAATGAACATTTGAGTATAAGTCTTTGTGTGGACATGTATTTTCATTTCTCTTAGGTAAATACCTAGGAGTGGGATTAGGAGTGGGATTGCTGGGTCGTATGGTAAGTGTATATTTAACAAGAAGCTGTCAAACTCTCTTCCAAAGTGACTGTGCCATTTTTGCATTCCCTCTAGGGATGTATGTGCTCCAGTTACTCCATATCCAGTCTCAACACTTGGTATTATTACCAATCTTCAATTTTAGGATTTCTAGTGGCTGTGTAGTGACATATCATTGTGTTTTTTTTTTGTTTGTTTGTTTGTTTTTGAGACGAAGTCTCACTCTGTTACCCAGGCTGGAGTGCAGTGGCGTGATCTTGGCTCACTGCAACCTTTGTTTCCCAGGTTCAAGCAATTCTCTTGCCTCAGCCTCCTGAGTACCTAGGATTACAGGCACGAGCCACCATGCCCAGCTACTTTTTTTGTATTTTTAGTAGGGACGGGATTTCACCTTGTTGGCCAGGCTGGTCTTGAACTCCTGACCTCATGTGATCTGCCCACCTCGGCCTCCCAAAGTGTTGGAATTACAGGTGTGAGCCACCACACCCTGCCTTTATTGTAGTTTTAATTTATGCTTCCTTATTAGTGATAACATCTTGTCATGTGTTTGTCATTCTTTCATCTCATTGGTTATGTGTCTGTTCAATCATTTTCCCATTTAAAAAATTGTGTTGTTTCTTTGTAGGCAAATCCTTTATGAGATATATGTATTGCATATATTTTCTCTCACTCTTTGTCATGGCTTTTCTTTTCTTCATTTTTTTTGAGACAGAGTTTCGCTCTTGTTGCTCAGGCTGGAGTGCAATGGTATGATCTCAGCTTACTGCAACCTCCGCCTCCTGGGTTCAAGCAATTCTCCTGCCTCAGCCTCCTCAGTAGCTGGGATTACAGGCATGCGCCACCATGCCTGGCTAATTTTGTATTTTTAGTAGAGATGGAGTTTTGCCATGTTGGTCAGGCTGGTATCCAACTCCCAACCTCAGGTGATCCACCCGCTTTGGCTTCCCAAAGTGCTGGGATTACAGGTGTGAGCCACCGTGCCCAGCCTGTCTTGCCTTTTCATTTTGCTAATTGTGTCTTTTTTTTTTTTTTTTGACAGAGTTTTGCTCTGTTGCTCAGGCTGGAGCACAGTGATGCTTGTGCCTTAGCTTCCTGAGTAGCTGGGATTACAGGCATGTGCCACCGTGCCTGGCTAATTTTTTTTCTATTTTTTAGTAGAAACAGGATTTCACCATATTGGCCAGGATGGTCTCAAACTCCTGGCCTCAAGTGATCCACCCACCTCCCAAAGCGCTAAGATTACAGGCGTGAGCTACTGTGCCTGGCCTATTTTGTTAACAGTGTCTTTTTTAAAGTTAAACTTTTATTTCAAGATTATTATAGATTCATATAGTTGAGACAGGGTCTCACTCTGTCGTTCAAGTTGGAGTGCAGTGGCACAATCATGGCTCATCATAGCCTCCCTCTCCTGGGCTGTCAATCCTCTCACCCTAGCCATTGGAGTAGCTGAAAGTACAGGCACATGCCACTATGCCTGGCTAATTTTTTCTTCTTCTTCTTTTTTTTTTTTTTTTTTTTTTTTTTTGAGACGGAGTCTCACTCTGTTGCCCAGGCTGGAGTGCAGTGGCATGATCTCAGCTCACTGCATCCTCCACCTCCTGGGTTCAAGCAATTCTTCTGCCTCAGCCTCCTGAGTAGCTGGGACTACAGGCACACACCACTACACCTGGCTAATTTTTGTATTTTTAGTAAAGACGGGGTTTCACCATATTGGCCAGGCTGGTCTCAAACTCCTGACCTTGTGATCCGCCAGCCTCGGCCTCCCAAAGTGCTGGGATTACAGGCGTGAGCCCCCGCGTCTGGCCTGCCTGGCTAATTTCTTTGTAGTTTTTGTAGAGTCAGGGTTTCGCCATGTTGCCCAGTATGATCTAGAACTCCTGGGCTCAAGCAATCCACCCACCTCGGCTTCCCAAAGTGCTGGGATTACAGGCGTGAGCCACTGTGCCCAGCCATTACACAGATAATGACATTGATACAATCCACTGATTATATTCAGGTTTGCCGAGTTTCATTTGTACTCTTTGTGTTTGTGTGTGTGTTTATATATTTAGTTCTGTACAATATTATTACATGTGTAGGTCTGTATATCCATTACACAGTCAAGATGCAGAATATCAGTGCAAAAATCTCTCATGTTGTACATTTGTAACCATCTCCTTCCTGTACTCCCTACCCACCTCCCCAACCCCTCACCTGTCTCTAACCTCAGGTGTCTTGTATGTTTCTAAACTTTTGTCTTTCAAAAATGTTGTATTAATGGAATTAAGTATATATATGACCTTTTGAGGTTGGCTTCTTTCTACTCAGCCTAATTCTCTTGGGATCTATCGAAGTTGTTGCATGTATCAATGGTTCATTCCATTTTATTGATGAATAATATTTCATGGAATGGAAATGAACCACTGTCTATTCAACCATTCACCTATTAAAGGACATGTGGGTTGTTTCCAGTTTTTGGCTATTGAAAATAAAATTGCTATGAACTTCTGTCTACAGATTTCTCCATGAACATAAATTTTTGTTATTTAGGTATAAATGTGCAAGAATGCAGTTGCTGGGTTATGTGGTAAGTACATTTTTAGTTTTGCAAGAAACTGATAGACTGTTTTCCAGAGTGGCATTGCCATTTTATATTTCTACCAGCAGTGTATGAATTTTCCAGTTCCTTTCTATCCTTACCAGTATTGGTTATTATCACTATTATGGGGGAGGAGGGCATTCTCATTGGTATGTAGTGATTCGTATGTAGTGATATCCCATTGTGGTTTTAATTTGCATTTCCCAAATAGCTAATGATGTGAACATTTATTTGCCATGTGTATATCTTCAGTGGAATGTCTTTTTATGCCTTTTGCCCATTTTTTAATTGGATTGTTTGGATTTATTTTACTGTTGAGTTTTGAGAGTTTTGGGTATATTCTAGTTGTTAATCCTTGTGATTTGGAAATATTTTTTCCCATTTTGTAGCTTGTTCTTCATTCCCTTCACATAGTCTTTCACAGCAAAAGTTTTTGATGAGTTCCACTTCTTTTGGATTGTGCTTTTAGTTTCAAGTCTTAACTCTTAACTCTTTGCTTAGTGCTAGATCTGAAAGATATTTTACTCTTTTCCTAAAAGTTTATGCTTTTATTTATTTTTTTAAGTACATCATATATCTTGGGTTCACTCTTGGATAAGGACTGAGGGTGAGGTTCATTTTTGTGTGATAGGTGTCCATTTGCTGTAGCACTGTTTGTTAAAGAGGCTACCCTCTGCTTTTGCACCTTTGTCAAAAATTAATTGGTTGTACTTTTTTTTTTTTTTTTTTTTTTTTGAGACAGTGTTTCCGTCTGTCACCCAGGCCGTAGTGCAGTGGTGCTATCTCAGCTCACTGCAACTTCTGCCTCCTGGGTTCAAGAGATTCTCCTGCTTCAGCCTCCTGAGTAGCTGGGATTACAGGCACCTGCCGCCACACCCAGCTACTTTTTGTATTTTTTAGTAGAGACGGAGTTTTACCATGTTGGCCAGGCCAGTCTTGAACTCTGACCTCAAGTGATCCACCTGCCTCGGCCTCCCAAAGTGTTGGGATTACAGGCGTGAGTCACTGCGCCTGGGCCTAAATGGTTATACTTCTGTGGGACTGTTTTTGGGTTCTCTCTCTTCTCGTCTTGATCTGTGTCTATTCCTTTGCCAGTACCAAGAGCTTTGCTTAAGTCTTGAAATCTGGTAGTATGATTCCTCACATTTTAGTCTTTTTTCAAAATTGGTTTAGCTATTCTAGTTTCTTTGCCTTTTCATATAAATATTAGAATAACCTTGTCTCTATTGGTTATGTCCTAAAAATCTTGCTGAGATTTTTATTGGAATTGCATTAAACCTGTATATCATTTTAGGGCTGATTGTCATCTTTACTGTGTTGAGTCTTATAGCCCATGAACATGGCATGTCTCTTCACGTAGTCAAGTCTTGGATTTCTTTCATAAGCATTTTGTAATTTTCCACATATAAGTACTTTACATATTTTGTTAGATTTAAGTATGTTACTTTCTTTGGAATAACTATAAGTAATATGATTGTTTTTTCCCCCTCAGTTTTTCTGTTTGTTTGTTTTTTTGTTTTTTGGGTTTTTTTTTTTTTTTTTTTTGAGACAGAGTCTCATTCTGTCGCCCAGGCTGGAGTGCAGTGGTGTGACCTCAGCTCTCTGCAACCTCCGTCTCCCAGGTTCAAGCAATTCTCCTGCCCCAGTCTCCCGAGTAGCTGGGATTACAGGCATGTGCCACCACGTCCAGCTAATTTTTGTATTTTTAGTAGAGACAGGGTTTCACCATGTTGGCCAGGCTGGTCTCGAACTTCTGACCTCAGATGATCCACTTGCCTGGGCGTTCCAAAGTGCTGGGATTACAGGCGTGAGGCACTGCACCCGGCCTCCCTGCTCAGTTTTTAAAAAATAAACTTTAATTTGTAGAAGTTTTAGATTGTGAAGATAATACAGAGTCTCCATGTGCCCCACACCTAGTTTCTTCTGTTATTACTATATTAGCATGGTACACTTGTTTCAGTCAACGAATCAATATTATTAAGCGAAGTGCATACTTTGTGTAGATTTCTTTAGTTTTTCTCTACTGTCCTGTATCTGTTCCAGGGTCCTATACAGGATACCACATTACATTTAGTCAGCATTTATCCTTAGATTTGTCTTATCTGTGATAGTTTCTCAGATTTCATTATATCACTGATGTCGATGTTGATCACTTGGCTGAGGCTGTGTTTGTCAGATTTCTACATTATAATGTTACTCTTTTCTTCCTCTTTCTATATTGTACTCTTTGGAATGAAATCACTGTACACAGCTCATAGTTTAGGAGTGGAAAATTATGTTCCACCTCCTTGAGGATGGGATTCTGCATATTTAGCTTTCTTCTGCACACGTTTGTCTCTTCCCCATTTATTTACTTAATCATTTCTCTCTAATAGTATGACTAGTGGAATTATTTCATACTTTAGCTTATAATTTAATATTGTTACTTAATTTGTTCTTCTAATTAATTAACATATTAATTTGTTGCTCCCATTGCCCATTGGGAGCTCTTTCAGTTGGCTCATGTGTCCCTTTGTCATAGACTCAACATTGTGTGTGTGTGTTTTCGTGTGTTTTGGCATTTTCTTGTTTGTGTGTTTGTTTTTTGTTTTTAAATCATTTCCTTACTTCCTACCATTACACAGTGCTCCAGGCTTGTTTTGTCTGTGTCCAGCCCCTGCCCCAGAATCAGCCATTTTGCTTTCTTACCAGGAATTGGTATTGTCAGTTTCTTGGATTTTAGCAACTCTGATAGGTATATACCACTATCTCTTTGTTTTAATTTGCATTTCCCCAGTGACAAATGATGATGAACATTTTTCATCTACTCCCCCTGCCCCTAATTTGACAAGGTGACTGCCCACATTTTAATTGGGTTGTTATTGTTGAGTTTTAAGAGTTCTCTGTGTATTTGGGATACAGGTCTTTCAGCTAGTAGTGCTTTGCAAATATCTCTTTCAGTCTGTGGTTAGTGTTTTCATTTTAATACTAGTATCCTCAGAGCTCTATTTCTGGGCTGCCTGGTCTGTTGCCTTGATCTGTGTGTCTCTTCTTTCACCAGTACTACACTGTCTTGATAGTAATTTTATAATAAATCTTAAAATTGAGTAATGAGGCTTGCAGCTTTGTTCTTCAGTATTATGTTGACTTATGCTAAGTCTTTTGCCTTTCTGTGTAAACTGTAGGAATTTCATAGCTATGTTTGAATTTTTCAAGCAAGTAAAAAACTAGATCATTTCCCATTTTCTAGGAAGGCAGTAGAACCTGGTGTTAAAATTTGGGCTTGAATTCCTGGTATGCTACTTTGTAGCTGGTGGCCTTTAAAAAATTACCATCTTTAAGAATAATTTTATGTAATTGTTATGAATATTAAGTGACAGTGTATATATTATGTCTAGGCATTGGTCAGCACAATGCCTGAATATAAGCATATTAAAAAACTGTTCATCTTATATTGTTAGTCACAAAAAGCCTTTCAGACTTAATAATGTACAAATGTAGTCCTATACTTTGTTATCCTAGAGATGTTTATTGATGAATTCTCCAGAAATATAGCTAATCACAAGAAGATTCTTGAAGCTATTTTGATGAGGTGAATATAGTTTGGGTGAGGGCCGATAAATTTTTGGAAATGAGATGCCAAACTTCAGCCTTCTCTTCTCATGCAGTTGTCAGAAGCTGCTGTAGTGTGAAATGTTGCCAGAGATGCCTTTGGGGATACTCCTGGGAGATGCTAGGGCAGACTTAGGTTCTTGTTACCTGAAGAGACCTGAGAATTGTCCTTGATTCTTCCTTACTCCTTTCTATATTCATCCTGTTGACCACTTAAGTGTTGTTGATTCTATTCCCTTAATATTTATCTAACTCATTTACATCTTGCCTGCCACTGGTGCAAGTCAGGTGCTCATTGTTTCTCATTACAGTTACTACAAAAGCTTCCTAACTGGTCTCCTTGCTTCCTGACTAGTCAGGATTCAGCCCTGCCACTCATTGTACCAGATGTAGCATTCTAAAATGCTTTTATATATATATATACAGGGTTTTACTCAGTGGCACAATTCTAGCTTACTGCAGCCTCAACCTCCTGGGCTCAGGTGATTCAGGTAATCTTCCCACCATAGCCTTCCAAGTAGCTGGGACAAGAGGCATGCGCCACCATGCCTGGCTAATTTTTTTATATTTTTTAGAGACGGGGTTTCATAGTGTTGGCCAGGCAGGTCTCGAACTCCTGGGCTCAAGTGATCTGCCTGCCTCAGCCTCCCAAAGCGCTGGGATTACAGGTGTGAGACACTGCATCCAGGCCTAAAATACAAATTGGATTATGTCAGCAGAAGTAAGACATCTGGCTATGGAATCAGACTTCCTGGATTCAAATCCCATATCTCCGACTCGTGTGATCCTGGGCAGATTCTCTGTGCCTCAGTTAGTAGTTACTTCATCTGTAAAGGAAGAAGAATGACAGTGTTCAGATCTGGTACACAATCACCTGGAAATATTGTTGCTAAAAATATACTGCCTGGCTTCCCCCTCAGTTTCTGGTTCCCTCTATCTTGGGTGGGGTCAATAAATACATAATGCTCAAACATTTCTTGGGTGGTTCAGATGCCTTTTGTGAGCCCTCTTGAGGCATAACACACCTTGTTGCCTTTAGGCTTTTGTACTTACTGTGTCTGGTATGTGTACCCCTTTTACTAAGAATAAGGTGCCTCTGACTTTCCCATTCTGGATTTGGTACTGTAGGAAGTCACCACCACTGCAGCAGATCAGTGTCAAATTATCTAAAATGTAGGAAGAAAAGGAGCACATTTCAATTCTGGCCAACTATTTATAAAAGCATTAAGTTCTTTTACTTCAAGGCATTTAACATTTTGCAATTTGGGGTTTACTGGTTTGCTGTCTTCCCTATTAAGCGCCTTAAGGCTAAATTCTATATCCTCAATGTCTTGTCATATAATCTTTTAATTATATTTATAATATGGTTGAAAGTTACTTCTCTTTAGAAATTTTCTTTACTGAGACCGGGAGCAGTGGCTCACGCCTGTAATCCCAGCACTTTGGGAGGCCGAGGGTGGCTGATCACAAGGTCAGGAGTTTGAGACCAGCCTGGCCAATATGGTGAAACCCCGTCTCTACTTAAAATACAAAAAAAAAAAAATGAACCGGGCATGGTGGCGGGCTCCTGTAGTCCCAGCTACTCGGGAGGCTGAGGCAGGAGAATCGCTTGAACCCAGGAGGTGGAGGTTGCAGTGAGCCGAGATCACGCCACTGCACTCCAGCCTAGGCGACAGAGTGAGAGTCCGTCTCAAAAAAAGGAAAAAAAAAAAGAAATTTTCTTTACTGAACTAAAGCATCTCTTACAAGGTGTCCATTATAAAGGCCACATTACATGAGTTGTTTTCTTACTGTGCCATTCATTTGGATTCATCTGCCTTTGCTACTTGGACATTTTAGACTGGACTGCCTTCATTTTCTGTAGGTTTTAGCTGGAACTTAATTTGGTTTACTCCAAGTAAGTTGGTAGGTGACGACATTGTTGGATGGATCCAGAAATGAAACCAGGAGCAAGCAGGTTTAGTTCTGGATTTTTGGTTAAGTATTTTATTTAGTGAATCATTCCTAATTCATTTAGATTTGAATGTGTGGTTATGTTTTTCTCAGGACATTCAATCCTTGTGCATTTTAGTTTTCCCATTGGTAAAATGAGATAATAGGCTAGGTGACTGATCTCTAAACTTCCTTCCAACTCTGAAATTTCTGCTATTCCAAGTAAAAATGCACAGGGATCCAAATATTTAGGTGTTGTTATTGATCGTCGAGAAATAAGACTTGTTTTATGTTTTAAGATCTCCCATTTTATAAATAACTTCATTCAGACGCACAAAAAACCTTTGGTATCTGTAAAAGTTAATTTCCTTTTCTTGATTACCCTGATTTTTTTCTGGAGCTTTTCATTATCTGTTCCTTATTTGAGTGTAATCCAGAAACTTCACTGAAGCAGATGTAGGGAGGCTGATAAGTAGATGTAACTTGTGTTGTAATGAAAGAACTTGCCAAATGATTTTTCTCATTGTGCTGCTAATGCATGAAAAAGGTTAAAATGATAAAATCTATATAAATGAATGATTATTTTGCTTTTAAGTAGCATTTAGGATGTTTTTGTTTTCATTTAAGCACCAAGGATGACATTGATCTTGATGCCTTGGCTGCAGAAATAGAAGGAGCTGGTGCTGCCAAAGAACAGGAGCCTCAAAAGTCAAAAGGGAAAAAGAAAAAAGAGAAAAAAAAGCAGGACTTTGAGTAAGTATATTTTAAATATATTTGATTTTTATTTGTTTTGGTACTGGATTCACTTAATAAAAACTATACCAGTGCTTCACAATGTATTTTAATCCTTTTCTAGTGAAGATGATATCCTGAAAGAACTGGAAGAATTGTCTTTGGAAGCTCAAGGCATCAAAGCTGACAGAGAAACTGTTGCAGTGAAGGTGAAAGACAGACCTTTGTTACCTATTCGTATTTCGTATTCTATTCTTTCTTCTTAATGTTGGTTTGGGGAGCTACATTTGGAAACTTTTGAGCAGTGTACAATATGTTATTTAAAAGCTTCTATGAAATCTGATGTCAAAGGGAAAAATAGGAATGTAAAGGTATTTTGTGGTATGTTGATTGTTCATAAAATTGGTACATTTGGAGTTGTGATGTAATCACTCGTTCCATCTTCAGTTTTCTCTGTTGTTTCTTTTTCATCCTTCGAATTTGGATAAGCCTCAGAGTAATGGGAAAATCATAGATATTTTTTCTTCTTTCAACTTGTCCCTTAGGCTTTGTAAAGTTAGTAAATGGGTGGTGACTAGTGCCTGTTTCAAGAGCCCCTGGATTCTGCAATTTACAATGATGCGAGATGTGTCTGAGGCCAAGGCCAACCTCTCTTGCTTGTTTGAATTTTATATTCCTGTGAAAAAGACTTTGAAAAAGATTTTGAAATCATTTTGAGATTTTTAAAAAATGTTTACTTAATGAAGCACATGACTCTGGTCTCAATTATAATTCTGTTAATTTTTTCTAACAATGGAAATTTTTTAGCCAACAGAAAACAATGAAGAGGAATTCACCTCAAAAGATAAAAAAAAGAAAGGACAGAAGGGCAAAAAACAGAGTTTTGATGATAATGATAGCGAAGAATTGGAAGATAAAGATTCAAAATCAAAAAAGACTGCAAAACCGAAAGTGGAAATGTACTCTGGGAGTGATGATGATGATGATTTTAACAAACTTCCTAAAAAAGCTAAAGGGAAAGCTCAAAAATCAAATAAGAAGTGGGATGGGTCAGAGGAGGATGAGGATAACAGTAAAAAAATTAAAGAGCGTTCAAGAATAAATTCTTCTGGTGAAAGTGGTGATGAATCAGATGAATTTTTGCAATCTAGAAAAGGACAGAAAAAAAATCAGAAAAACAAGCCAGGTCCTAACATAGAAAGTGGGAATGAAGATGATGACGCCTCCTTCAAAATTAAGACAGTGGCCCAAAAGAAGGCAGAAAAGAAGGAGCGCGAGAGAAAAAAGCGAGATGAAGAAAAAGCGAAACTGCGGAAGCTGAAAGAAAAAGAAGAGTTAGAAACAGGTAAAAAGGATCAGAGTAAACAAAAGGAATCTCAAAGGAAATTTGAAGAAGAAACTGTAAAATCCAAAGTGACTGTTGATACTGGAGTAATTCCTGCCTCTGAAGAGAAAGCAGAGACTCCCACAGCTGCAGAAGGTTGGTTAATACTTTAGAGGAAAGAGCAAAAGGCTTTTGATTCACAGTATAAGTTGTAATCATTGTGCCCCAAGGTCGTTTTGTTATTTGTCCATGGGTATAAAGACACTTGATTGTAAGGAGCCATCTAAAAAATTACGTCTAAGTATTTGACTTGATTTGCATTGTTAATTCTTTACATATATAGTATAAATATCTTTCAGATTATTTATGTACAGACTGGAATTTTTATAGAATTGCATTATGAAAACTATTTTTTTTGCTGTTGATAAAGGCTATAGAAGTTACTTAATGAAAAATTTATTCTTCCTTTCTGATAACTCAGTGTCAGATAATATTTGAATTCTTTCCTGTCTTTAAAAACCTAGTTCAATTTATGAAATTCACAAAGAAATGTTTTCATGAAGTTGCTAATATTTTCTGCTTCACTTAAAACTCAACATGCTAAAATTAGTGTCTTTTAAGCAATAATGAGCCATTTTTTTAACAACCAATTATAAAATAAAAGTTCTAGCTAATTTCTTCCTCTTATTTAGAATGAAAATAGCTAAAGATCAGATGGTTTGCATGGCCATACTATATTCTTAAAACAGTAGTTTTTGGGCTGGGCGCGGTGGTTCACGCCTATAATCCCAGCACTTTGGGAGGCTGAGGCAGATCACGAGGTCAGGAGATATAGACCATCCTGGCTAACATGGTGAAACCCCATCTCTACTAAAAATACAATAATTAGCCGGGCATGGTGGCGGGCGCCTGTAGTCCCAGCTACTCGGGAGGCTGAGGCAGGAGAATGGCGTGAACCCAGGAGGCGGAGCTTGCAGTGAGCGGAGATCGCACCACTGCACTCCAGCCTGGGCAACAGACTGAGACTCTGTCTCAAAAAACCAACAAAAGCAGTAGTTTTTCTTTTGACTGGAAAACTTTTAATGGGAAAATTGACACAACTTTTTTTTTTGAGACGGAATTTCACTCTTGTTGCCTAGGCTGGAGTGCAATGACACGATCTCAGCTCACTGCAACCTCCTCTTTACAGGTTCGAGTGATTCTCCTGTCTCAGCCTCCCAAGTAGCTGGGATTACAGGAGCCCGCCACCATGCCCGGCTAATTTTTGTATTTTTAGTAGAGATGGGGTTTCGTCATGTTCGCCAGGCTGGTCTCGAACTCCTGACCTCAGGTGATCCATGCACCTCAGCCTCCCAAAGTGTTGGGATTACAGGTGTGAGCCACCGTGCCCAGCAACTTTTTTAAATGCTAGCATATTTATTATCTGGATATATTCGAGGAGGAACACCATGAAAGTACCTTCATAGCTTTTAATTCTTTAGAGTTCTTGGAGTATAACTACCTATATTTTTGTATTTTATCCTACTAATACCCCCTAAAGTGGACATCATTCTCATTAACTCCATCTTGTAGAAGTGAAATTAGCTACAGAACTTACGTGGGTGTTAGTTCATTCTGATTGTTAGAACTTCATATAAGCATCTGTTGGACACCAGCCACTCAGGTACCATGGATTTAGAGATACATTAGGTACAGGATTGCCCTTTTGCTGCTGACAGTATCCTTCTGTCTTACTGTATTCCTCAGGACATCTGAGACCAACATCAGTATTGCAGACTTCTCAGGAGGCCATCTGTGAGTTATTCTGAGCTATTCTAGTTACCAAAGTGCTCAGGATGCCTTGATGCCTGTAGAACTTAGCCTGCTGCTGGCATCGGCCTTGGCCCATTATGGTCCTTGAATTGTGGTTGGGTTTTGCTCGTCATCACCACAGGGAATTGTTTTTTCATTTCAATGCTTTGCCTTTATTCTTTTTGGTAGATGACAATGAAGGAGACAAAAAGAAGAAAGATAAGAAGAAAAAGAAAGGAGAAAAGGAAGAAAAAGAGAAAGAGAAGAAAAAAGGACCTAGCAAAGCCACTGTTAAAGCTATGCAAGAAGCTCTGGCTAAGCTTAAAGAGGAAGAAGAAAGACAGAAGAGAGAAGAGGAAGAACGTATAAAACGGCTTGAAGAATTAGAAGCCAAGCGTAAAGAAGAGGTATGTTTTCATGAAGTTGGTAACATTGATATTGTGTTTAACTTAAAATCTATTCTCTGTAAAATATCTTTACTCTTCTAATTCTGAAAATTTCATAGTTGCATGGTAATTCAGTTATATTATTGTTCCGATACAAATAATAAGATGAAGAGGTACAGCACATCTTATCTTTATTTTCTCAAGAACAGATTGCTCGATACATAAGTTGCTTATGTATCATTGCCAATAATCTGATGTGATATTAATTAATAATCATGTATAACATTTAAAATACTTTGATTTGGAATCTCCTAACATAATACTTTGCATGTGTCTCAAGAGATTTATTTGAAGTTTGGATTGTTTACATTTGAATTTTATAGTTCATTAAATGAATACAGGTTTTGTCTGACATGTACTCTTTTATAGGAACGATTGGAACAAGAAAAAAGAGAAAGGAAAAAGCAAAAAGAAAAAGAAAGAAAAGAACGCTTGAAAAAAGAAGGGAAACTTTTAACTAAATCCCAGAGAGAAGCCAGAGCCAGAGCCGAAGCTACTCTTAAACTGCTACAAGCTCAGGGTGAGTGGTACTCTTCATTAACTGAATGGTCAGAGAGCTCTGCACATGCAGTTATATCCCTTAATGTTCAGAAGGAGAATGGAATTTGCATCAGGACAGTTCCTATGAAAAATCTGTGAAAAAGTTCAGTAAAACGTAAGGAATAGGTGATGTCATTTCATTGTTTAGGAAGATGACATCTACATGAGGATAAAAATTTATATGTAAATGATAGTATGTCTAAATAAGTTATCCTCCCACAAACAAGAATAGTGATAATAATAGAATGAGTCCCTGTGTACCTATCAGCCAGCTTCAACAATTAGGACCATTTGACATTCTTGTTTTGTACCTCTCCATCTACTTTTTATCCTAGCATGTTTTAAAGTGAATCCCAAAAAATAAAAAAGAAATACAGTGATTCCCAGACAGCATATTAGTTTGCCCACATGACCACGGTGAAAAAGTATTCATGACCATTTTTTTTTAACCCTTTCCTTACTTTCTGATGCAACAAGATATCCCAGGTTCATCTTGCATGGGCTGAGACCTGGAATCGGTTGTTTATCCAAAGAGCTTTTGTTCCTTTTAGAGGGTAATAGTGTTTAGAGATCACAACTGGGCATATAATTTATTACTTTTTTGAAAGGTAAGGTGATTTAAAATAGTGTCTTTGCTCCAATGAGAAGAATATATTGGGACCTCTCTTAAATTTCCTGCTCCTATATTCCCTAGATTTTTATATTACAGTCATTTTGGTGTTTATGCTATAATTACAGTAATAGCTACCATTTATTGTGTGCTTAGTGTGTAACTGATGCTACAATGTCTTTGACATTGTCTATTTTTCCCTCATAAAAAAATCTTATAGCTATTTTTACTTCCATCATATAGATGAAGAAATGGTGGTTCAGAGTGTAAACAGCTTACCCAAGGCCACAGAGCTGAAATTTAAGCTGGTCTGTGCAACTTTTTCTTACGCATATGTTCAGCTAGGAACATTAGATGTGAAGAAACCCAGTACTTAGATTTTAGAAAGTTTTATTCTTAATGGAGAATATAGCTTTTGTAAAATTTTAAATGAAATTAGGTACAAACTTGAATATAGTTAGCATTCATACATCAGATTTCATTGGTGACTATTGGAGAGGCTAAAAGCACCCATGAAGAAATTCAGATGGGACCAAGCAGGGAGTAATTTGCCAGTCTCAAAAATGCTGTTTTAAGGAGCAGTTAGACTTGTAGTTATGGAAATTACAGTGTAGAATGGTGGACTTTTAGCATCAGTCTTTAGCATTAGGCTTGTAAGAGATGCTCTCTCAAGTGGCATCCCTGACGCTGGTCTCTTACTCTTCATAGTGTTGTCCAGTGTTTACCATCTTATTAGTTCCCTATTGTCTACTAATAAGAATCCAAATTCCTTAGCTTGACATTCAAGGTTCCCCCCCACCCACAGCCCACTCATGTGAGTCATCTCATTAAAAGATCCTACAGTGTTGTTTCATCGTATGTTTGAAAGACAGCTGCTTACCACATTTATTACCTAGAATATTGTAAAACTTATTCATTGAGCTAAAAATGTACTCTCAGAGAGTGTAGGCATCTGCAGGTGTCTTCATATAATTGCTCTGAAATGTGCAGCAGGTTAACTTTTCAGTCATCCTTTAGCCTGTGACTACTAAGCATATACACACACACACATATATGAGTACTTTATCAATAATTTGTAATAAACTCATTTCAGGCAAAGAGCTTCTTCAAGAACTTGATTGTTATGTCTCAGTTTGCAAAGTGAATGGAATGTCTAAACACATACAAGTCTTGGTGTTGATTCCAAGTACAGCAGCTTATTTGAGAGTCTGAGACTAGAGCAGTAGTCAGTTGATTAAGTCTAGGGTGTTATTGGGACCACCCTTCAGGTAATCCAGCCTACAGTTTCCCCTCAGGCCCATGCTTTTCATCTTAGTAGGTGTAGGCTGCTAGGCAAGGAAAACTTAAAGTGATGATCTCTGCATTCTCAGCTGGCTTTATCCTCTTTCTTTGGTTTGTTTAATGTATTCGTCTTACCAGTCATAGCTATGGTTTTACCATTCTAGCCATTCTTCAGTACATGCACAACACACATCCATATACATTCCTACGTTAGAGATAACATTTTTAGTCATTTTCCTTTATTAGTGACTTCATTCAAAATCCCATGGTATACAATTTCTGTTGTCTTTATTCTAAGGCTTCTGCCCATAGTGAGAGACTGAGTCAGTAATCCAGTAATCTGTAGATTCAGTTCAATCCCAGTCAAAATCACAGCATGGTATTTTGTAGCTATCTGTCAACTAGTTCTAAAATGGATATGAAGAGACCAGAGAGTTAGAATGGCCAAAATATGTTTGAAAAAGGAGAACAAACTTAGAATACCTGATTTCAAGACTTAGTATAAAGCTATAGGAATTAATACAGTGTGATATTGCCAGAAAGATAGACAAACAGATAAATAGTCTATACATGGTTAGTATATAGGTGAAAGGTAATTCAGTGGATAAAATACAGTATTTGTAGCAAGTGGTACTAGAACAATTGGACATCTGTATGCAGAAAAACCCAAAACCAGTTTTAATTCCCACTGTATAAAAATTGACCCAAATGGGTATCATATGTAAATGTAAAATATACAATAATACTTTCAGAGGAAAACATAGGAGGATATCTTGTGTTAGGCAGAGTGCTTAGATAGGACTCTAAACCATAAAAGGAAAAAAGATACATTTTGAGAAAGACCAGTTCAGAACTTTTCTCTGCAAAAGACACTGTCAAGAGAATTCCAAGACAGTACCTCCAAGTCAGATATCTGAGAAAGAATTAACATCCAAAATATATAAAGACCTCTCAAAATTCAACTATAAGAAAACCAATAAGTTCATTTAAAAATGGGCAAAAGGTATCAACAGACACTTTCACCAGAAAGCTATACGCATCTGAAAAGAATGTTCTAAAAAAAGAGAAACCTTTACCACATTCAGAGCAGTTGAAACTCTTTTTTTTTTTTTCTCTCTTTTTTTGAGACAGAGTTTCGCTATTGTCCAGACTGGATTGCAGTGGCGCAATCTCAGCCCACTGCAACCTCTGCCTCCCAGGTTCAAGTGATTCTCCTGCCTCAGCCTCCTGAGTAGCTGGGATTATAGGCACCCACCACCACAATATATATATATTTTATATAATACAATTTTTTGTATTTTTAGTAGAGATGGGGTTTCACCATGTTGGCCAGGATGGTCCTGGACTCCTGACCTCAGGTGATCCACCCACCTCGGCTTCCCAAAGTGCTGGGATTACAGGCGTGAGCCATTGCGCCTGGCCAAAACTCTTCTGCATTAGTGGTGGGAATGCAAGATAGTATAGCCACTTTGGAAAACAACTGGCAGTGTCTTTATAAAAATTAAGGTCATATTTACCTTATGTTTCATCATTCACACTACAAAATATTTGCCCAAGAGAAATGTTCACACAGAAACCTGTCTGAAAATGTTCATACCTGCTTTATTCATAATTGCAAAAAACCAGAAACAACTCAAATGTCCTTCAGCTGTTGAATGGATAAGCAAACTGATATATCCATACAATGGAATGCTGCCCAACAATGAAAGTAAACGAAGTATTGACATGTGCAGCAGAGTGAGTGACTCTCAAATCCATTATGATGATAGAGGCCAGACCGTAAGATTCCATTTATGTGACATTTTAGAAAAAGCAAATCTTTTGGTTGGAGAACAGATCAGTGGTTACCAGAGGCTAAGAAGGTAAGGAGGGTTTGATTACATGGAGCAGCACAGGATGATGGAGTGATGGAGCTTTTCTGCATCTTCATTGTGATGGTGATACACGTATCAAAACTCTCACTGTATGTGAAACGAGGATTTTTACTGTATGTAAATTTTAAAATACCTTATATGTAAAAGATACAAGTTTTTCCATGAATATCCTTTCATATTTTAGGGTATGTGTCTCTGTGGTGAATGAAATGCTATCCTTTAAATAGTACTTCTCAGGTGACATGCAAGTAGTATAAGCCTGAAGTTTTTCATTTTTATCCCTCAGGTGTTGAAGTGCCATCAAAAGACTCTTTGCCAAAGAAGAGGCCAATTTATGAAGATAAAAAGAGGAAAAAAATACCACAGCAGCTAGAAAGTAAAGAAGGTTTGTATACAAAATAGCCTCTAATTTAGGAAATATGTTGTTTGCCTTTCCCCCACAATCTTCAAAACAGTGTCTGTAAAGAAGAAAGGAAAAAATCCGAAATGCATATTGAAACTTATTTTCTAAACTTATTTCTTATTAATGCCATTATTCTCACTTGATTCAAATGACAAGCTAATGGAAAAAGTATTTTACTTTGAAAAATCTGGGTTCTACCCTATGAATATTGTAACTGTTGTTAACTCTGAGAAGTAAAACTACCATTCTTATCTTTTCTTGGTTTCCTTCTTAGCCTTCTGTGATTTTTGTATTTTATTTATTGAGCAGAAAGAGTAGTTTCCTGTAAAACATATGACTATATTTAAACATTTTCTAAACTTGAAGAAATAGGTTTGCACAGGCTGGGTACAGTGGCTCACGCCTGTAATCCCAGCACGCTGGGAGGCTGAGGCGGGCGGATCACCTGAGGTCAGGAGTCCAAGACCAGCCTGGCCAACATGATGAAACCCTGCCTCTACTGAAAATAAGAAAATTAGCCTGTCATAGTGGCAGGTGCCTGTAATCCCAGCTACTTGGCAGGCTGAGGCAGGGAGAATTGCTTGAACCCGGGAGGTGGAGGTTGCAGTGAGCTGAGATTGTACCACTGCACTCCAGCCTGGGTGACAGAGCGAGACTCCATTTCAAAAAAATAAAAAATAAATAGGTTTACACTACTGTTTTTTATTCAGTACTTAATGGAGTATCTTAACAGAAATTATACACCAAAAAAAATATTATCTTGGTTTCTGCCCCTTTTTCAGTGTCTGAATCAATGGAATTATGTGCTGCTGTAGAAGTTATGGAACAAGGAGTACCAGAAAAGGAAGAGACACCACCTCCTGTTGAACCAGGCGGGTAGTGTTATCTGATTATTTAATTAGTGAATTCTTATTAAATAGTGTTGGTGTGTCATAAGTTGTCTTAGTTATTATAAATAATTGGGGAGAACCAAATAAGTATCTGGCTGGATGGCCCTCTTTCTTCATAGTTCTTTCTTTTCTATTTCTTTTCATTTCTACTTTGAATAAGTATCCAAGTGAGACTTGAATCAGTTGTGTTCTTTTCAGCAGTGTTAGAAAATGTTTTGTAGAAAGGATACACTTTGGGAGGGTGAGGCAGATGGATCACGAGATCAGAAGATCAAGACCATCCTGGCTAACACGGTGAAACTCCATCTCTACTAAAAATACAAAAAATTAGCCGGGGGTGGTGGCGGGTGCCTGTAATCCCAGCTACTTGGGAGGCTGAGGCAGGAGAATTGCTTGAACCTGGGAGGCAGAGGTTGCAGGGAGATTTCAGTGAGCCTAGGTTGCACCATTGCACTCCAGCCTGGGCAACAGAGCAACAGTCCATCTCAAAAAAAAAGGAAGAAAGGATAGTAGGTTTTGGATTTTCTCTGATGCTTTTATTTATGAGTCAGAAATCTCAAAAAAAGATCTGAAGGTCTTCATTTAATGCTTCAGAAGCAAATTGGAAGGATTTTTAACTAGAACTTTTTAAGAACCATAAAAATTGGCATTTTTAGACCTTCCTAAAGGTCGGCTTCTATTTACAATAATCAGAGAATTCAACTTACTCATTGTGGGGTATCTGTGTATATGTTGAGGAGTTGGGGAAAAATCTCTGGTTTTAAAAAAAAAACATTGTTCTAACTCTTACGACTAGATATTGATGGGAGAGCTGGGGCTGCCTAAATGTATGTTTGGTATTCAAGAGAATCCCCAGCGATTAAAGATAGGATCAGGAATGGGAAAAGCCTTTACAGAATACTAAGCCTGATTTACATTGGTGAATTATATTATTGATAGTTCCTTTCCTTCTTTTTCTCTTTTCTCTTCTGAGCGAATAGGATCATCTCACCTGGGTAGACCTCAGCCTAGCACTGATATGACGAGATTAGAGAAATTTAGATTGATATGCTTAATAGCAGTCCACTATTTTAGATCGTATTTTTAGCACCAGAAAGAATTGCTAATTTAGATGGATGTTTTGGGTACCTGAGTCTCATTTCCTCCTCAAGATAACTTATGCAGGCTTGTTAGTAAATAATGATTATTTCAGGGAAGCAGGTACCACATGTCCTACCCGTCATCTTACTTTCATTTAAGAATAGTTGTGCCTGGTTAGATTTCAGTAAAGAAAAGCATTCTTGTTAAGAAGAGTATTAGGTCTTTAATGTCTAAATAATATTCAGAATTTTAGCTTTCTGGCTGTTTTGGGGTTATGAGCACAGCATTGACCCAGAGTGATGGTGGTAGTTTTGTACCTTCAACTTCAGAATTTAAGTATATTTAAATACCTGTAAAGGTTAAAAGCAAAATAATAAATTCCTTGCATAAAGTATGAGTTGGATGATCAAAAAGAAGATATATATGAAATTTCATTTGTTTTCAAGAACTGAGTATATTCATGTAGCTTTTTCAAGATCTAAAGAAACATTTAAATTAATTAAATTAATGAAACAATTAGCTTGAATGTAAAATTGGTTAAGTTTAATATGTTGGCAGTAGTAGGAAATGGAAGCATTTAAGTAATAGTAAATTATAACATGCTAGCTATATTAAAAAGATAGTTCTGGCTGGGCGCGGTGGCTCAAGCCTGTAATCCCAGCACTTTGGGAGGCCGAGGCGGGCGGATCACAAGGTCAGCAGATCGAGACAATCCTGGCTAACACGGTGAAACCCCGTCTCTACTAAAAATACAAAAAATTAGCTGGCCACGGTGGCGGGCATCTGTAGTCCCAGCTACTTGGGAGGCTGAGGCAGGAGAATGGCGTGAACCCGGAAGGCGGAGCTTGCAGTGAGCCGAGATCACGCCACCGCACTCCAGCCTGGGCGACAGAGCAAAGACTCCGTCTCAAAAAAAAAAAAAAAAAGATAGTTCTAAAGATAATAGCTGCATACATATTTTTTACATAATTAAAACATTCTTTTTTTATGTCAGAGCATAATTTTTTACTTTTTTCTAAAAGACCTTCATATTTCTAAATAATTTTTGTGTCTTAAATGCAAATTTTTACTTACAGAAGAAGAAGAAGATACTGAGGATGCTGGATTGGATGATTGGGAAGCTATGGCCAGTGATGAGGAGACAGAAAAAGGTGAATACCTCATAAGCACACACTGATACATCCAGTGGTTATTAGAAATGAATGATATATATTTAAATGAATAGTCTTTTGATTATGAAAGCCATATGAACATTTCTGGGGATAGGGATAAGTCTCTTGTTCTCTCCTTTGCCATGGTTTCTAAGTCCTCAAGTGGATCTTCATTTTGTGAATGAGTGGTTCCTCAGAATGTTATTTGTAAGATAGCTGCCTAAGGTTTAGAATGCATTTTTTCAGAGTGATGATGTTACAAAATAGGGTTGTTACTAAAGCTGACCTACAAAAAGCACTGTTAACTTAAAAGGTAATGAGATAAATACTATAGTTCCTGATAAGTATGAATAGAAAGTAAACGTTTTTGTCATTGTTTCCCCTTCTTTATTACTGAAATCTCTACTTCGAGATTTAATTTCCTGTTAATTTTACTAACTTACTGATAATGATATCTGGCTCTTTGATTTTTTTCAGCCTCCCCCCATCTTTGTTTTTAAAGCTATACCTTTTTCTTTAAGCATGGCTTTAGTCAAATTCTGTAAGTCTGATATGTTGATATTTTCTCATTTTCATTTTGATGTATTAAGTTTTACAAGATTTATTTAGTGTATTTCTTTTTTTTGAGATGGAGTTTCACACTTGTTGCCCAGGCTGGAGTGCAGTGGCGCAATCTCGGCTCACAACAACCTCCACCTCCCGGGTTCAAGCCATTCTCTTGCCTCAGCCTCCAGAGTAGCTGGGATTACAGGCATGCGCCACCACGCCCAGCTAATTTTGTATTTTTAGTAGAGATGGGGTTTCTCCATGTTGGTCAGGCTGGTCTCGAACTCCCGACCTCAGGTGATCCGCCCGCCTTGGCCTCCCAAAGTCCTGGGATTATAGGTGTGAGCCACCACAGCCCGCCTAGTGTATTTCTTAATTTACAAAAATGGGCATTTTCTAATTGTCTTTTGTTACTTCATTGTGATCAGAGAAGATACATGATTCTATCCTTTGAAATATGTTGATTATTGCTATACAACCTAGCATGGTCAGTTATTGTAAGTGTTTCATGTTTGGAAAGAATTTATATTCTGCAGTAGTTGGATGCCTTGCTTTCTATATTTAGGTCAAGTTTGCTAATCATTTTGTTCAAGTCTTTCATAGCGTTCTGAGGGTTTTTTTGTTTTTGCTTTTGTTTTTTTTCTGATCTGTTTTTTCTCTCTGTTACTGGGACCAATGCCTTAAAATCTCCCATCATGATTGTAGATTGTCTATTTCTCCTGAGTTCTGTTAATTTTTGCTTTATGTATTTTTATGCTGTGTCATTAGGTAAACACAATCTTGTATCTTTCTAATGAATTGACTCTTTTATCATTGATATATATATTTCTAACAATGCCTTTTGATATAAAAGTCTACCTAAAACTCATATAGGTACACGAGCTTTGATTTACATGATCTTTTTCTATCTTTATGACTCTTTTTGTATCCGTAAATAGCATTATCTTAGTCCATTTGTTCTGCTGTAACAAAATACCACAGACTCAGTAGTACTAAAGAACAGAAATGTGTTTCTCACAGTTCTGGAGGCTGGGAAGTCCAAGATCAAGGCACCAGCATTGGTGCCTGGTAAAGGCTGCTGTCTGCTTCCAAGATGGCACCTTGGTGCTGCATCCTCCAGAGGGAAGGATGGCTGTGTCTTCACATGATGGAAGGGAGGGAAGGGCAAGAGGAGCAAACTCTCTTTGAAGGCACTTTTCTGCGGGCGTGAATCCATTTATGAGAGTGACTTAATCACTCCCCAAAACCTTCCCCACCACCCTCCTACCTCCTACCAGCAAAATGGGGATTATGTTTTAAACATGAATTTTAGAGGGGACACCATTTACAAATCACAGCTAGGATCTAGTTGAGATTTTTTCAATCCAGTTTGTCAATCTTTATATTTTACCTAGAGTACTTAGCCTGTTCATTAAATGTAACATTTGGTGTAATTAATGAAGTATATTGATTTTAAACATTTCATCTTACTAAGTCGTTTTTTGTTCTGCCTGGTTCTTTTTCTCTCCTTTCTAATCATCTTTTGGTTACTAGGTTTTTAAATTTTTATTTTTTTTTCCTTTCATGAGCTTAGCAGTTGTATACCTTTCAAACAACTTTTTAGTGATTAAGAAAATTTTTAGCAAGTACCTTTGAACTAACAATGTCTGATGTTATCCTCTAACAATGCAGGGACTTTAGAGTACTTGAATGACATTTACCCAATACTCTATTTAGATATCATTGCTCTCGGCCAGGCATGGCGGCTCACACCTGCAATCCCAGCACTCTGGGAGGCCGAGGTGGGCGGATCACTTGAGATCAGGAGATTGAGATTAGCCTGGCCAATGTGGCAAAACCCCACCTCTACTAAAACTAGAAAATTTAGCTGGGCGTGGTGGCGTGCGCCTGTAATCCTAGCTACTCAGGTGACTGAGGCATGAGAATCGCTTCACCCTGGGAAGCAGAGGTTGCAGTGAGCTGAGATTGCGCCACTGCATTCCAGCCTGGGCGACAGAGCGAGACTCTTACCTAAAAAAAAAAAAAAAAAAAAAAGATATAATTTTTCTCATTTCTTTTCATTATCTATTTAAAACCTCAAATTAGCTTATATTTTATATAGTCAATACTTACTATTTATAAGTTTACCCACATTCTTAACATTTTGTTGCGCTTCGTTTCCTGCATCTTGTACCTTCCATTTGAGATCATTTCTTCCTATCTGAAGAACACTTTAGAGTTTTTTTTAGTATGGATCAGTTAGTAAGACATTCTGTTTTGCTTTCTAAAAACATCTTTATTGCATCTTCATTCTTTAGTTTTATATGTTTACTGAGTGAGGAATTATTGGTTGAAGTTTAACACTTTGAAGTTATTATTCCCTTGCCCTGGCTTTCATTGTTCCTGTTGAGAAGTCAGGTATCAGCCTAAATTTTTCATATGGTCTTGCTTTTCAGCAGTTTTATCATGACGTACCCAGAATAGGCTTTTTAAAAATATATTCTACTTGTAGAGCTTTATTAATATATGGTTTTATGTTTTTATCAGTTTTATGTTAGGAGTCATTTTCTCCCTCAGAATTCCAATGATGTCTCTGATAGGCCCTCTTATTGTATCATTGTTTCCTATTTTCTTTTCTGTATTTTCCACCTAGTGAGTCTCTGTGGTTCATTCTGGATTGCTTCTCTTGACTGTCTTCTAGGTCACTGATTTTCTCCTTGGCTCTTTCTATTCTGAGGTTAGATCCATCTTTTGAGTTCTCAATTTCATTTGTTATATTTTTCAGTTTTAGTATTTCCATTTAACTTTTTTTATAGTTTTAATTCACCTTCTAAAATTTTAACTTTGTCTTTTGCTTCTGACTGAATGTTAGAAGCACAGCCATTTTAAAATTTTGATTTTATGACTTTATTAAAGTCCTTTTGGTGTTTTATATGTTGGTTCTTCTCACGTAAATTGTTTTCTCATGTGCCTTGCTATTTTTATAGCTGGATATTTTGCTTGGAGAAGTAATTTGAGGTCAAGGATGATGTTTTCTTTTCTCCAGAGCTAATTTATGTGTTACTTCCACAAGGTACCTGAGTGAACTAGCAATATGGAATAATCTTATTCTAGATTTAGAATCCAGAGGATCTGAAGGTGATCTGCCAATAATGGGGAGATCCTGTTTATTTCTTATTCATCCTTATTCCTAGGGTACAGCTCTTCATGATTGTACCCCACAGTAAGGGTGTAACCCAATGTCTGCTCACTGCACCCCACTGAATTCTTAGTATTTTGGTAGGTCTGGACTCCCAATGCAGCTTAGCCTTTCATCTGCCTCTTCCCGAATCAACAAATGACCATAAGGGGAAAGTGGTACTAAAGACTGTTCCACCTCCTTGAGTTTTGTTCTCCCATGGATTCTGTCTTACTAATACTGACTTCAGTCTGGATTACTGCCTTAAGGTTTTACTGTTAAGTGACAGATTTCGTTTTAGCATATAGACAAACACCTTGCGTTTATGATGTATGAAAACACCATGTTACTGCCTTAAATACAAGTTGAGCCTCTGAAATTCAAAAATCTGAAATCTGAAATGCTCCAAAATCAAGTTTGAGCACCACTACGTGACGCTCAAAGGATATGCTCATTGGAGCATTTCGTATTTCAGGTTTTTCCGATTTCAGATGCAAATATTCCAAATTAAAAAAAATATGAAGTAAGTATAGAATGCAAATATTCCAAATTTTAAAAAATCTGAAACAGTTCTGGTCCAGGCATTATCTCCTCCCCTTACTTTAAAGCAGGCTTGTCCAGTCTGCAGCCTGTGGGCCACATGCAGCCCAGGATGGCTTTCAATGTGGCCTAGCACAAATTTGTAAACTTTCTTAAAACGTGAGACTTTTTTTTGTGATTTTTATTTTTAAGCTGATCAGCTATTGTTAGTGTTAGTGTGTTAGTGTATTTTATGTGTGGCCCAAGACAATTCTTCTTGTAATGTGGCTCAGGGAAGCCAAAAGATTGGACACCCCTGCTTTAAAGTCTCTTATCTTGATATAAATCTATCATATTAATGTTTATTTATTTAAAAATATATTTGCTTTCGTAGTAGAAGGAAACAAAGTTCATATAGAAGTAAAAGAAAACCCTGAAGAGGAGGAGGAGGAGGAAGAAGAGGAAGAAGAAGATGAAGAAAGTGAAGAAGAGGAGGAAGAGGAGGGAGAAAGTGAAGGCAGTGAAGGTGATGAGGAAGATGAAAAGGTGTCAGATGAGAAGGATTCAGGGAAGACATTAGATAAAAAGCCAAGTAAAGAAATGAGCTCAGATTCTGAATATGACTCTGATGATGATCGGACTAAAGAAGAAAGGGCTTATGACAAAGCAAAACGGAGGATTGAGGTATTTATTTTACCGTTTCTCTCTACTTTTCTTCCCACTCCTCTGTGATGATTAAAACAGTACTCTACAACTAAAGGCTTTGAACAGCACTTTATGTATTCTCAAGAATAGAACACCGTTCAGTTTTTGTAATGTTGAAATATTACTGGCCTTTGATACTGGTCTTACCCAAGGACCCCCCGTCCCCGCTCTTACCTAAGATAGAATGGTGTGACTACTTCATTTTTTTCTTGTTTTCTCCAAATTTTAATGTACTCTTTGAGTGATAGTTTATAAGTATGCAGAGGTATTCTGAGCATATGCCCTCTGCTTATAAACATCAGTTATGTGTTTGCCTCACATATTTAGGTTAGTCACCATGAGGCATCTGATCACTATAGTTATATAAATCTGGTGGGTTGATGAGGCTTCTATTTAGTAAAGTCCGATACCTGATAGACTTTCTGTATTTTTCCTACTTAATGCAGTAGATTTCAGTATGCTTCAAGAGAAAGTTTTCTTTAGTTCTGTCAGCTTAATGTAAATAATACATTAAAATCTAGTTTGCTTGAGGATATTAAACTATTTTAAAGCTAAAAACTATTTTAGCTTTCCTTTTTGTGTATTATTAATTTTTTAATTTTTTGTTTTACTACCTATATATCAACATTTGCTTTTTCTCCTGTAAAGTCTAGGTATGGATAAATTGTCTAAATTTCTAAAGGACTAAGAGGATTTGTTATTCTAAATTAGGGTTTCTCAGCCTTGGCACTATTAAAATTTGGGGGCCAGATAATTCTTTGTTGTTGGGGACAGGGACTGTTCTCTTCCTTGTATGATACCAAACAACATCTTGGCCTTTGCCTACTAGATGCCTGTAGCATTCTTCCCCACCTGGCACCTCAGTTATGACTGTCTTTTCCCGTAGCACCTACTCCCACCAGCTCCCTTGCCATATACCCATGTTCGAGAGAGTGATGGAATATCTGTACTGTGCTTGCTGATTAACAAACAAAATAAGTATAAAGCAGAAGAGTTTCTCAATTATCCTGCTCCCTAGATTAGTTAATGGTAGTGTGTATGAGCTTCATGTTTTTAAAAATAAAGGCCCTAGCCCCCAATATAGTCATATGAGGGGTTAGGGCTTCAAGGTAGGAATTTTGGGGAAATGTTCAGTCCATAACAAACTTCATGGATCCATAAACCTTGCTACATATTATGATTTTCTGAAATTCACTCCATTCCTGGGTCAGAATCTCCATTGTGGAATGGGGTTTGTATTCTTGTCCTGTCATTGCTTCAGTATACTTAGAATTTCTGAGTCAGTTTGTAACTTATTGCCCTCCAAAAATTTTTAACACTTCACTAAGTGTGGGAGAGAGAGGCAGTTTTCAGCCATATCAAATAAAGTCATGATGTTTGAATTTGAGTTGTATGTACTGTGAGGTTGTCGGGTACTACTCTTTGCTAGTGATTAAGTCCTACTTTGTGCTCATCCCTGGCATCTCACTTTTGGTATTTTAAAAAGTTTTTCAGTTTCAGTTTCTACCAAAAAATCTAATGTCTAGTACTAGAAATGCAAGTAAAGGGTTCTTACAGAAATGGTTTTTAGATGAAAAATAGTTTTGTAAATGACATTACTTCATAGTTTTTGCTTCAAGTTTATCTAATTTGAATGCCAACTTTACTGTATTTGAGAGGTCATTTCAAAGAAAACCTATTGCTGGCATGTGTTTTTGGTCCTCAGAAAGCTGAAGCATTTAGGTAAATGCAACGGAGAAGCACGTTGTGGTTCAAGGAAAAGCTTTCTCGCTCTTACTGGTGTTCATAAAGTGGTAGAGCCTTGGAAAGTCAGGACATGTTTTACTTATTTAAGCTGAACCTTAAATAAACAGTCTCCTCCTTGAAAGGTTTTATAGCATTTGTATATTGGATAAAAGTGTGAAATAAATTGCCTTTAAAAATCTTTAAAATTCTTAGGTTCCAGTGAATTTTTTAAAATGTACAAGTTCACCTGTTTTTATATAAATCCTCACACAAATTCAGGGTTGCACTATATAGTCAGTATGATGGGAAGATTGATTCCTTTTCTAGTCATTATATTCCATTAAAGTAACTGTGTACAAAAGTATTCAAAAATTTTGAAATGACACTTTACAATATTCCTATTCGTATTCAGCAGTGCTGCTGTGAAATCTAAACAGGTTTTTCCTTATCCAGAGGTGCTGTGATGGGAATTCGATTGTAAAGTTCACATTATAAATTCCAATTATGTGTAGTCAAATCAACAAAGAACTTGGATGCAGGTTGTAGCATTCTTTTGCCAAGGCAAAACAGAAAATAAGGATAGTGAGGATTTGAAATAATATTTAATTTTTGATTTTTTTTTTTTTTTATTTCTAGAAACGGCGACTTGAACATAGTAAAAATGTAAACACCGAAAAGCTAAGAGCCCCTATTATCTGCGTACTTGGGCATGTGGACACAGGGAAGACAAAAATTCTAGATAAGGTAAGAAAGTATTAAATGTATTGATAGAACTTTGAAAATAAGTGAATGGTACCTTATAAAAAAAAACTTTAGAGACCAATAGGACATATAAGCAATTCTGCTTACAATAAATAAGTTGCTAATTTCTTATTATTTTTGCTGCTATCTTTTCCATGTTCAAATACCAATCTGTATTTGCTGTCTTCTCATAGCTCCGTCACACACATGTACAAGATGGTGAAGCAGGTGGTATCACACAACAAATTGGGGCCACCAATGTTCCTCTTGAAGCTATTAATGAACAGACTAAGATGATTAAAAATGTAAGTACATTGTATTTCATGTATTTTAATCTCTGACAAAAATTAAGATATGAACTATTTCAAACATAGAAAAAGGACAGAGACTAGGATAACAGCTCCATATACTCACCATTCAGAATTAACATGTACTATTTTGCCTATTTTGCTTTAGATCATTCTTTTTAAAGAATAAAACACTACATATTATAGGAGCTCTCACATTCCATTTCCTTCCCTCCCTCTCCCAGAGGCAGCCACTATTCCACAGTTAGTCATTTGCCTCCATGCTTTAACACTGATACCATTTATCCCCATAATTTAAAATTTTGTTTCCTTCTCTACTCTTTTCCCCTTCTAATCTAATCAATTTCTTTTCTTTTTCTCCCATATTTTTCTACTTGTTTGGAGGTATTCAGTTTATGTATGTTAAATGTAACACAGTAAGATAAATGTAAAGCTTAAAGAATCAGTATAATACACACCACCCTTTAAGTGTCACCTTTGTTGAGCAATATAACCTTGCAAGCTGCTTCAGAAGCCCTCCAGGTGTAGCTTTCCAATCAAAGATCTCTTCTCCAGCCACAACTTTTTAAGATAATCTCTACCTTTTAATGTGTTAGGAGTTGCAAAATGTTGATACTCGAACTCCATCAGCCATTATTGGATTACTTCTATAGAGAAACGTTACCTAATCTACTATTTGATTATTCAGTGATGGCTTATTTAGGAAAGGCAGAATTAATGCCTGATCCTTTACCTTCTTTTAACCAGCTTTTAAAATAAAAAGTGGCCAATATGATTTTTTTTTTCTTTTGTTTGCCCTTCATAGAGACAGGGTCTCCCTATGTTGCCCAGGCTGGTCTTGAACTCCTGTGCTCAAGTGATCCTCCCACCTCAGCCTCCCAAAGTGCTGGGATTACAGATGTGAGCCACTGTGCCCAGCCTGATTCTGTTTTGTATTATTATGAACTCATGGATTTAAACATATTTACTGTGCATTAGTCCATTTCAGTTATTATTGTGCTGAGATAGTCCCATCTTTGCCCAGTGGTTGGCTCTTGAATCTTTCTCATACAATTCTGGTTGTCCTAGTTTTGGTTGCATTCATGCTGTCTGATATAGCAGGATGTTCCCGGCTCATGTAATATAGAAACTACCCAGACTGAGAACTGGGCCTTGTTAATAATTCCTCAGTTTCATTATCACAGAGCAGGTGAAAGTGGTAGCTTTGGAACTGAGAAGCAGTAAGTTGAAAAACAAACAGAGCATATGTTATTATATGCTAATGTCCCCTTTTATTCCTTATTGAGTCTTAGTTCTGCATGTAAAAAGAGTCTATGAGTTTGTCTCTCCAGTTTTTGTTTTGTTTCTTTGTGACTGGGTTTTATGAAGCGTGTCTTCTAGTCAATTTCTAAGGAAGGAATTAGAAGAATTAACATTCCTTGAATTTTTGAATATTGAAGAGTTATTTTGTGGCCTTTATACTGGAAAGTCATTGGCCACATATAAAATCCTTGGTTGACATTTTCATTCCTTAAGTATCTTGTGTCCCATTTATTCTCGCATAAAGTATTGCTGTTAAGTTTGATCATCAGCTGAATTTCGTCTTTTTATAAGGCCTATGATCGTTTTACATCTTGATGTCGCTTCTGAGTTTTCCAGTTATGTGGTGTTCTATTATAATATGTAGTAGTGAATTTTTATTTTAGAACAGTTTTCTTGAATTATAGCTTTTCAAATTTATAATTTATTTTCATCCTATTTTAAACAGTATTTCTATGTTTTAGTCACTAGAGGAGAGGGTTCATAACACCTTATTCCACCAGTTGCCAGAACTTGAACTCTCGTTGTTATTTTAGAACGTAAGGAACAAGATTATTATTAGGCCTGTATTAAAGTTCTTGGGATAACCTTTATATGACAATTGTAATTACTTACTGTTAGTATATAAGACACTAAAGTGGAAATAATTATGGTGCTCAGTGAACCAGAATGCGGATCTGAAATGTTTTACGTTGCATTATTTTGATGTAGATCAGGATACCAAATTTTGGAAGATCATTTGAAGATTAGCAAAAAGAAAATGTAGATAAGCATAATACAAAAAGGGGGTGTGTGTGTGTGTGTGTGTGTGTGTGTGTGTGTGAAATTAGTTGGTCAGTGTTACTTTTTAGACTAAAAGGGAATGTCCAGATTAGATCTGTTGTAATGTTACTTCCATTCATTTATGTCCTTTTGTCCAGAAAGTCAAGCATTTATGACGTTATTTGAATACAACAGGGTATGCATTTACTCTTTAACACTTTTGATCAATGTGGTAAATTTACTTTAAAATGTACTTTTGGGATATATTTGAAGTCAGAATTGCTTTAAAATTGGACCACATAAATTTTCCCAATGCTGAGAACCACCTCTTGCATGTCAGATTTCTATAGAATATTTCAGATGACTGCCCTGCGATTCGTATCACCACTTACTTAATAATCTGCTCAAACTTGGACTACAGTCATAGTTGTAAGACCTTAAGAAAGGAGATATTTTCTCATTTAGTATTTTTTTGTTAAAATGCCTTTGGATTTTAATGAAAATACTGACAACTGTACTTTGCTGGTTAACTCACTGTTTCTAAAGCCATTTATATGGAAAAGGGAGTAGTGATACTTTCAGAGTTTTATGGCAAAAGGATTGTTCTGTAAAGAAGCTTTCATGTCTGACTTTCTTAAACTTTGAACTTTTCCCCATTGTTTCTAGTTTGATAGAGAGAATGTACGGATTCCAGGAATGCTAATTATTGATACTCCTGGGCATGAATCTTTCAGGTAAGAGCAATTTGAGTCTTTTCTCATCAAGCAATCTACTTGAAACCATTAAGTCTAAAAGTTCAGCAGAGTCATTAACCTTTGAGTAGTAATTTGATCTCTATAACTACCACTCCACCTTTGTACCTCATTGATTTAGTAATGTTTTCTTTGAATACTTGTTTTTTATAGAGGGAAGTCTTTACTGCTTTAAAAGAGCACCCCCTTAATGTGGAATGCAGAAAACATGCTAATACATGCCAGGCCTATCTCCTGTAAAACCCGTTACAAGTGGAATATTATGCTGTTGTCTCTTGTCCATATTCTTTAACACAGAAAACTTGGTCAGTAAAATTATTAGAAATATTAGTTGGTTCTAAAACTAGCTCATTCCACTTGAGGTCAATTCAAGTGATTGGTAGATGAGCCTTTGGCAAGTTAAGGGCTAATAGTACTTGAACAATTTAATACATATACTCTATTTTGTTTGGGTTTTACAGAGAAGTTTAAAAGTTTAAGAAAAGTATTAATTTCAAGATTTTCTACTTATAGATCTTTTCCTTCTTTTCAACAGTAATCTGAGAAATAGAGGAAGCTCTCTTTGTGACATTGCCATTTTAGTTGTTGATATTATGCATGGTTTGGAGCCCCAGACAATTGAGTCTATCAACCTTCTCAAATCTAAAAAATGTCCCTTCATTGTTGCACTCAATAAGGTATGTGCGCCTTCTGAAAAATTAACCTAGGAAAACATGTTTCTTAATTTTTTGTGATTAAAAAAAGTAGTATAATTAACTTACAAGCATAGCTCATTTTATTGTGCTTCACTATATTGTGCTTCACAGATATTGTGTGTGTGTGTGTATTTGTGTATAGTTTTTTTTTTTTAAATACAAATTGTAAGTTTGTAGCAGCCTTGCATCAAGCAAGAGTATTAAGTCTGTTGGTGCCATTTTTCCAACAGCTTGTGTTCACTTCTTGTCACATTTTGTTAATTTGCAATATTTCAAACTTTTTCATTATTACATTTGTTAGGTTATCTGGGATAAATGATCTTTGTTATTTTAATTGATTTGGGGTGCCACAAACCACACCCCTATAAGATGGCACACTTAGTCAATACATGTTGTGAGTGCTCTGACTGCTCCAGCAACCAGCTGTTCCCTTGTCTCTTTCTCTCTCCTTGGGCCTGTTTCCTGAGACAGTATTGAAGTTAGGCCAATTAATAAGATTACAATGACCTGTAAGTGTTCAAGTGAAAGGAGGAGTCACACATAGAATATCAGTCCAGCCACAACACTCCCTTAAGCCAAAGCCTAATCTAAAGCAAGGCCCTCTCTTCAATTCTGTGAAAGTTGAGGAAGGTGAGGAAGCTGTCGAAGAAAAGTTTGAAACCAGTAGAGGTTGGTTCATGAGGTTTAAGGAAAGAAGCTGTTTCTGTAACCTAAAGTTACAAGTTGAAGCAGCAAGTACTGATACAGAAGCTGCAACAAGTTATCCAGAAACTCTAGCTGAGATGATTGATGAAGATGGCTACACTAAACAACAGATTTTCAGTGTAGACAAAAAAGCCTTCTATTGGCAAAAGATGCCATCTTGGACTTTCATAGCTAGAGAGAAATCACTGCCTGGCTTCAAAGCTTCAAAGGTCAGGCTGACTCTCTAGTTAGGGTCTAATGTGGTTGGTGACTTTAAGTTGAAGCCAGTGCTCATTGACCATTCTGAAAATCCTAGGGCCCTTAAGAATTATGCCAAATCCTTTGGGAGGCCGAGGCGGGCGGATCACGAGGTCAGGAGATCGAGACCAAGGTGAAACCCCGTCTCTACTAAAAATACAAAAAGTTAGCCGGGCGTAGTGGCGGGCACCTGTAGTCCCAGCTACTCGGGAGGCTGAGGCAGGAGAATGGCGTGAACCCGGGAGGCGGAGCTTGCAGTGAGCCGAGATCGCGCCACTGCACTCCAGCCTGGGTGACAGAGCGAGACTCCGTCTCAAAAAAAAAAAGAATTATGCCAAATCCATTGTGTGCTTTATAAATGGAAATATAAAACCTGGATGATAGCACGTCTATTCATAGCATGGTTTGCTGAATATTTTAAGCCCATTGTTGAGACCAACTGCTCAGAGAAAAAGATTGCTTTCAATATATTACTGCTTGCTAACAGTGTACCTGATTACCCAAGCTCTGATGGAGACACACAAGGAGATTAATGTTGTTTTCGTGCCTGCTAATACAGCATCCATTCTGCAGCTCATGGATCAAGGAGTGTTTTCAACTTTCAAGTATTGTTACTTAAGAAATACATTTTATACGGCTATAGCTGCCATAGATCGAGATTCCTCTGATGGATTTGGGCAAAAGTTGAAAACCTTTTGGAAAGGATTCACCCTTCTGGATGTTATGAAGAACGTTCATGATCCATAAGAGGACAAAATATAAACATTGATAGGAGTTTGGAAGAAGCTGATTTCAACTCTCATGTATGACTTTGAGGAATTCAAGATTTCAGTAGAGGAAGTCACTGCGGATGTGGTAGAAAAATAGCAAGAGAACTGGAATTTGAAGTGGAACCAGAAGATGTAGCTGAATTGCTGCAATCTTAAGTAAAACTTGAACAGATGAGAAGCTGCTTCTTATGGGTGGGCAAAGAAAGTGGTTTCTTGAGGTGGAGTCTCCTTCTGGTGAGGGTATTGTGAACATTGTTGAAATGACAAAAAAGAATTTAGGATAGCAATCAACTTAATTGATAAAGCAGTGGCAGGGTTTGAGAGGATTGACTCCAATTTTGAAAGAAGCTCTATTCTGGGTAGAATGCTCTAAGCAGCATTACATGCTACAGATAAATTTCTTTTTTTTTTTGAGACAGAGTTTCGCTCTTGTTGCCCAGGCTGGAGTGCAGTGCTGCAATCTCAGCTCACCGCAACCTCTGCCTTCCGGGTTCAAGCGATTCTCCTGCCTCAGCCTCCCGAGTAGCTGGGATTACAGGCATGCGCCACCACTCCCAGCTAATTTTTTATTTTTGGTAGAGATGGGGTTTCTCCATGTTGGTCAGGCTGTCTTGAACTTCCGAGCTCAGGTGATCTGCCTGCCTCGGCCTGCCAAAGTGCTGGGATTACAGGCGTGAGCCACTGCGCCCAGCCAATGAATCTTTCATAAAAGGAAGAATCAGTTAATTGATGGGACAGACTTCTTTGCTGTCTCTTTTAAGAAATTGCTACAGCCACCCCAGCCTTTATGAGCTACCATCCTAATCAGTCAGTAGCCATCAACATCGAGGCAAGACCCTCTACCAGCAAAAAGATTATGACTTGTTGAAGAATCAGGTGCTCGTTAGCATTTTTAGCAATATTTTAAAATTAAGGTGTATACATTGCTTTTTTTAAGAAGATATAATGCTGTCACACACTTAATAGACTACAATATAGTATAAGCATCTCTTTTAGAAGCACTACTAGGAAACCCCAAAAATTGTGTGGCTTGCTTTATTGTAGTATTAGCTTTACTGCAGTTGTCTGAAACCAAACCTGCAGTATCTCTGAGTTACGCATGTATAAGAAAATGCACCCCATGCTAAGTGTTTAATTTGTTTTGACAAATTTACAACCACTGTCATTCAGAACATAGACCATCTCCATATTTCCAGAAAAGTTCTCTCATGTTACTTTGCAGTCATTCTGCTGCCCTCCCTAAACTCAAGCTAGTATTGATCTTTCTGTGTCATATGGACTAGTTTTGCCTGTTTTATGATTTCATATAAATGGAATCATATAGTATGTAATTTTTTAAGTTTGGCATTTTTTGTTACTCATGTTATTATGCTTTGTTCATGTTGTCATTACATGTATAAAGGGTTTTTCCTTTTTATTTTTGAATAGTAGTCCATTATCTGAATAATACTGCACTTTATCCATTTATCTGTTGAGAATTCTAGTTCCTGCATATCTTTGCGAATACTCGCCCTACCTCCAGCATTCTAGTAGGTGTGTAGTTGAGTGCAAAATTATTGTGGTCTAGTTTGTTTCCACAGTGACTAATGGCTTTATGCATCTTTTCATGTACTTATGCTTAGAGAGATGACCATATCTGTTTCTTTGAAAAATATGTTCAAAATCCTTTGTTCTTTATTAGATTGTTTTATTGTTGAGTTTTAAGAGTTCTTTATACTTCTGGTTCTATGTATATAATTCCTTTTTCACTTGTATGTACTGCTGATGTATTCTTATGGTCTGGGACTTGGTTTTTCATTTTCTTTGTTTTGTTTTGCGTGTGTGTGTGTGTGTGTGTGTGTGTGTGTGTGTGTTGGAGACTGTCTCTTGCTGTGTGTGTGTGTGTTTTTTTTTTTGGAGACCATCTCTTGCTGTTGCCCAGGCTGGAGTGCAGTGTGGCGCACTCTTGGTTAACTACAACGTCCGCCTCCCAGGCTCAAGCGATTCTTGTGCCTAAGCCACAGGTAGCTGGGATTACAGGCATGCACCACCACACCCGGTTAGGGTTGTTTTTTTCTGGGGGGCGGGGGGGCGGTGTGTGTGTGTGTTTTAGTAAAGATGGCCAGGCTGGTCTCAAACTCCTGGCCTCAAGTGATCCACCGCTTTGGCCACCCAAAGTGCTGGGATTACAGGCGTGAGCCACCACGCCCAGCCTCCTTTTCTTAATAGTGTGTTTTGAAGAGAAGAAATTTCTGATTTTGGTGAAATCCAACTAATTTTTATATTTTATTTATTTTTGGGACAGGGCCTTGCTCTGTCACCCAGGCTGGAGTACAGTGGCATTATCTCAGCTCACTGCAGCTCTACCTCCTGGGTTTAAGTGATTCTTGTTCCTCAGCCTCCCAAGTAGCTGGAATTACAGGTACATGCCACCACACCTGGCTGATTTGTATTTTTAGTAGAGACGGGGTTTCACCATGTTGGTCAGGCTGGTCTTGAGCTCCTGACATCAAGTGATCCGCCAGCCTTGGCCTCCCAAAGCCCTGGGATTTCAGGCATGAGCCACCGTGCCTGGCCCCAATTAATTTTTTTACGATTTGTGTTCTATGTAAGTAATCTTTTCCTATCCCAAGTTCATTAAATTTTTCTCTGGTGTTTCCAGATGTTTAATAGTTGGAGCTTTTTTTACATTGAGATCAGTGATCTTTTTTTTATATAGTGTGAGGTCAGGGTTTACTTTTTTTCCATAGAAATATTTTGTTATTTAAAGACTCTTTGCTGAAAAAATTATTTTTTTCCCCATGGAATTAGTTTGGAATCTTTGTCAATAATTAATTGACCATATATGTCTGTTCCTAGAATTTATCTTTTGTTCCATTGCTCTATATACATTCCTATGCCACTACTACCCTGTCTCATTATAGCTTCATAGTAAAGTTTTGAAAGCTGGTAGTGGTAAATCCTTCAACTTAGTTTTCTTTATATTGTTTTGGCTATTTTAGGTCCTTGGATTTCAATATAAAGTTTTCAGTCAGCTTGTTCGTTTCCACAAAAAGCCTTTTAGGATTTTGATTGGGATTGCGTTTCAATCTGTAGATAAATTTTGAGAGAATTGGCTCTTTTAGCAATATTGCATCTTTTGATCAGTGAGCATGGTATCTCTGTACATTTACTTAGTCCTCTTTACCATTTTTAAAAATTATTTTTCATTTTATTTATTTTTTTAAATAGAGACGAGGTCTGTGTTACCCAGGCTGGTCTCGAACACCTGGGCTGAAGCAATCTGCCCACGTCAGCCTCCCAAAGTGCTAAGATTTAAGACCTGAGCCACCATGCCTGGCCAGGCCTTCTTTACTTTCTCTTGGCAATATTTTGTAGTTTTATTGTCCACATGTTGGACATATTTTTCTGAATTTATCCCTAAGTATTTCATGGTTTAATGCTATTGTAAATAGCATGAAAACTTCTTAAATTTCCAGCTGTTTATCACATTTACACTCAGTTTGTATCTTGTGACCTTGTTAAATTCACTGATTAGGCCTAGTATCTTCTTTTGTAAATAATGTGAGTTTTTCTAAGTATGTTGTTATGTTATCTGCTTATAAATGCAGTTATGTTTTTTTCCCCTTACCTATATGCTTTCTACATCTTTTTCTTCTTTATTGTACTAACTAGACCTTCTAAATAATGTTGAATAGAAGGAATGACAGTAGACATCATCCTTTCCTTATTCCTGATATTAAGGGAAAGTGCTCAGTCTTTCACCCTTAAGTATGATGTCAGCTGCAGGGTTTTTGTTTTTTTGGTTTTTTTGTCAATGCCCTTTATTAAGTTTGAGGAAGTTTCCTTCTATTCTAGGTGGTTTAAAGTGCTTTATGTTTTTATTTCTTTAATCATGAATGGTTGTTGATTGTGTCAAATTCTTTTCCTGCGTATGTAGAGATGTTCATGTGGATTTTCTCCTTCATTCTGTTAACAACATAATTACTGTTGAATTTTTAGAATGTTAAACCAACTTTACATTATTAAAATAAACCCTAGTTGGTTGTCATTTGTTATCCTTTTGATATATTGCTAGATTTGATTTGTAATGTTTCATTGTTGTTTTGTGTCTATGTTCATGAGTGATATGAGTATGTAGTTTTCTTGTAATGTCTTTTATCTGGTTTTCATATCAGAGTAATGTTGGCCTCCTAAGACGAGTTGAGAAGTGTTTCCTCCTCTGTTTTCTGAAAGAATGTGCAGGAATTGGATTATTTCAAAGAATTAGCTTTTGGTTTTATTGATATTCTTTTCTAATATAAGCATTTAAAAGTGTTAATTTCTAATTACTAGTTAGACATGTTTTTATTATTTAGCTTTACAAGCTTCAGGCTTTTCCTTTAAAGGTGTTGAGCATGTTTATAAATATTCTAAGGACCTCATATGCTAATTTTAACATCTTCGTCATTTCCTACTGATTTGTCTCCTTAGTAGCATTCAGATTCGTCTGATTCTTTATTTTGTCACCCTAGACTCTGTCCCCAGACAGATTATGCTTTTGATTGTTTGTTTGGCTAGCAAGTATTTTTCATTTCTTCTATGCTCATTTATCTCTCATGTTGAAAAGTGAGGGAAAATAGATTCTGTCATTAACAAAACAGATTTAATCCTAATTTGAGCAATAAAATAATTAAAATAGGCTGTTCCCTTAGAAAATATATATTTTTTAATTTTTTGGTATATAATTTTATAGTGATGGTACTTGCTGGGATTGATTGATTTGTTACAAAAACTGTTTCGGAATTCCAACAATATACATTAATAGTCTTAGGATAATTCTAGGATGTTATCTTTTGCAAACAAATGGCAGCCACTTAGGAACTCATGGAGGCTGACAGGGGCAGCATGGCACCACAGCAGTTTCTAATTTAAGAGCAGGTGCCGATAAGCAGTCTGAAAGGAGCTTTTGGTACAATAAAGTGTATGAGTAAGTCACACTGTTCTGTATATATGAGACACACATGAGGAATTTTCTGGAGCTATTAATACAGTTCTTGAATGTTCTGAATTTTTTAGAGATCTTTCTCATGAAAAAACTTTTTCAGATTGATAGGTTATATGATTGGAAAAAGAGTCCTGACTCTGATGTGGCTGCTACTTTAAAGAAGCAGAAAAAGAATACAAAAGATGAATTTGAGGAGCGAGCAAAGGCTATTATTGTAGAATTTGCACAGCAGGTAAGAAGGCCTTCCTTCTTTCTGAAGAGCCTATCTCAGAATATGTATTATATTATCTTTATAATGAAGTCAGCATTTTCATTAATACTGGTTCTTTTCCTCTGTTGACAGCAATTACTTTTTTTAAATTCTTCTTCCCTTTTCTCCTTTTTCTTTGCAGTCTGAATACTTTAATTTAGAAAACTGAGTTGACTTAGAACTACTTTGCTATAATACAGTTAATGCTTATAGGATATACATGATCATTTTTAGTGTTTATGAGGAGTTTCAAAATGATGAGCCATTTGCTCATCCGGCTTCTAGTGAGGCACACCTATTCCAGATACGTTTTCTTTACAGCCTGGCATTTTGGATGATTTTTGCTCCTAGGGTTTGAATGCTGCTTTGTTTTATGAGAATAAAGATCCCCGCACTTTTGTGTCTTTGGTACCTACCTCTGCACATACTGGTGATGGCATGGGAAGTCTGATCTACCTTCTTGTAGAGTTAACTCAGACCATGTTGAGCAAGAGACTTGCACACTGTGAAGAGCTGAGAGCACAGGTGATGGAGGTAATGATCAACTTTTCAGTTTATTGTTTTTTTTTTTTTTAAAAATAGCAAGTTCCTTGAGTGGAGGATATTTACTACTTTTAGATTTAATGAACATGGTGCATTGTATGTATGTCTTTCTCTTTGCATTAATGCCTTTTAGGTTAAAGCTCTCCCGGGGATGGGCACCACTATAGATGTCATCTTGATCAATGGGCGTTTGAAGGAAGGAGATACAATCATTGTTCCTGGAGTAGAAGGGCCCATTGTAACTCAGATTCGAGGCCTCCTGTTACCTCCTCCTATGAAGGAATTACGAGTGAAGGTATGCTGAGGTGGGAAGCATTGACACGTGGGGACTTGTACAGTGTTTAGAAGTTCTGCTGAGATGGTTTCCTCACTTTGAAAGCTGTTTGACTTAATACAGAACACATACATCCCTCGCTCTCCCTTTTATTTTAGTTGTCATCATACAGGAAGGCCTGTCTGTCAGAGTAGAGATGTGTGAAAGTACCTGCTTACCAGACTGGGCCTTTGCCAGATTCTAAACTACACTGTTATGGTTCTACACTGCTAAATACGGTTGACTCTTGAACAACATGAGGGCTAGGGGCACTGACTCCCTGGCCAGTTGAAAATCCACATATATTTTTTGACTCCCCAAAAACTTAACTCCTAATAGCCTACCATTGACCAGAAGCCTTACCAATCACATACACAGTCGACTAACATGTTTTGTATGTTTTATATATTACATACTGCATTCTTACAGTAAAACAAGCTAGAGAAAAGAAAACGTGATTAAGAAAATCATAAGGAAAATAGATTTACTATTTGTTAAGTGGAAGTGGATCATCATAATGGTCCTCATTCTCATCTTCATGTTGAGTAAGCTGAGAGGGAAGAAGGAGAGGGGTAGGCCTTGCTGTGTTTGGTGGCAGAGGCAGAAGAAAATCTGAGTATAAGTGGACATATGCAGTTCAAGCCCATTTTGTTCAAGGGTCAGCTGTAGTTTTTTAACATTTTTAATTGTGAAATAAAACATTGCTCCTGAAAAGTACACACAACATAGAAGAAAAGTTTAACACATTTTTGGGAAGCAACCAGATGGAGAATCAGAACGCTGCTGGCACCCAGAAGCTTCCTGTGTGCTTCTTCCTGATCAACTCCCCTGCCTTCCCCTCCTACCCCCTGACCTTTCATAGAGTTAACCATGGTTGCATTTTATGACAGTAACAAATATCCTTGCTTTGCTTTGTTTTTGTGTCTAAGAGTACTTCCCTTAGAAGTGTCTGTAGACTTTATGTAGAAATGGAGTTATTCTCAGTGTGTACTTTTATAGCTGGCTCTTTTTTTTTTTTTTTTTTTGGTGATAGGCTCTCACTGTCACCCAGGCTGGAGTGCAGTGGTGCAGTCACAGTTCACTGCAGCCTCAACCTCCCCGGGGTTCAGGTGATCCTCCCACCTCAGCCTCCTGAATAGTTGGGACTATAGGTACGCACCACCACACCTGGCTAATTTGTTTACAGATGGGACTTTGTCATGTTGCCCAGGCTGGTCTTGACCTCCTGGGCTCAAGCAATCCACCCACCTTGATCTCCCCAAAGTGCTGGGATTATAGGCATGAGCCACCATGCCTGGCCTATATCTGGCTTCCTTTAGTGAAAAAAAAAAAGTATATAATTTTAAGATTTCTATTCCATTGTGTGACTATATCACAACATATCTATCTGTTCTGTTGATGGGAAATGTAGGTGATCTCCAGTTTTTTATGTTTATTTTATTTTATTTTATTTTGAGATGGAGTCTCAGTCTGTCATCCAGGCTGGGATTACAGGTGCACGCCACCACACCCGGCTAATTTTTGTATTTTTAGTAGAGGTGGGGTTTTGCCGTGTTGGCCAGGCTAGTCTCGAACTCCTGACCTCAGCCTCCCTAAGTGAGCCACCGCACCCGGCCCAGTTTTTGATTTTTGTTGTTACTAATAATGCTGCTGCTGTGAACATCTCTTGATGTGTTTGTGCCAGTTTCCCAGGGTATGTATACCTAGGAGTGAAGGCCACACTTGTCTACAGTGGGTGTAACAAATTATATTCTCAACTGCAGTATTTTAGTTTCATTGTTTTACAGCTTCATCAGTTCTTGGATGTTAGGTTTTAAATTTTTTTTGCCATTCTGCTAAGTGTGTAGCTCATTGCCGTTTCAGTGTGCATTTGCCTAATTGTTAACCTGGTTGGTCATTTAAAAATGTTTATTGGCCATTTATTTCCTCCTTCGTGAGATGTACATTTTTCTTCTGCATTATCTTTCTTACAGATTTATATGCGCTTATATATTCAGGATACCGGTTTGTTAGTTGGTGTGTTTTGCAATATCTTCTACTCTTGTGACTTTTTTTTTCCTGTGGTATTTTGAGAAATGGAAATATTTAATTTTAATGTTAAATTTATCAGTCTTGTGATTATTGCTTTTTGTGCCTCGTTTAAGAAACCTCTCTCTAATATCATGATGAGATTCTCTTATATCATCTTCTACTGCTAACCACTTTTAAAGTACATTTGGTAACAAATGTTTTTATCTCTGTAGAACCAGTATGAAAAGCATAAAGAAGTAGAAGCAGCTCAGGGGGTAAAGATTCTTGGAAAAGACCTGGAGAAAACATTGGCTGGTTTACCCCTCCTTGTGGCTTATAAAGAAGATGAAATCCCTGTTCTTAAAGTAAGTTCATTTAAAAATTTTTTTCCTTAAAAGCTATTTGAGTTCTGGCATGTGTCAGCATTGCACATGCTAGGGATGGTGACCAAAACTGGCTTTGTCTTTGTGAAGCCTGCCATTTCTTGGCCTCTTAGCAAACTTGATGCTTTTGAATTACTTCAGTTTGTACAATCATAGAAATTGGTATAATTTTTATATGTACTAGAATTATAAAAATAATGCATTTTATTCAAATAAAAAAATGAGTCAAAAGCTAGAAGTCGGCTGGGCATGGTGAATGCACACCTGTAGTCCCAGCTACTTGGGAGGCTGAGGCAGGAGAATCACTTGAACCTGGGAGGCAGAGGCTGCAGTGAGCCAAGATCGTGCCACTGCACTCCAACCTGGGTGACAGCAGGACCCTGTCTAAAAAAAAAAAAGCTAGAAATTGTATATTCTTTTTGGCCCATGTCCATTGTAGTTTCATAAAAGTGGACTTTGAGCCATAGTTTGTTCATTTGCCAAAGAGAAAATACAACTGTTCCCAGCACATGGCTCTTGTGTCCTGGGGCCGTGTTTATTATTTAGGCAGCATCAAGTCATGCTGTTGGGAATAAGCTATCTTAGGGCCAGTGAGAGAATAGGGCAGGCCTGTCTCTTCACCCAGTCCTGAGTATGGAGTGGACTTACGTCCCTTCAGTGGCATTGATAAACTTGTTTTACTTATTTCTGGTTAAAAATCTCTTCTTCCATTTCCCGACAAGCAGTGATGGAGGAAGGAGCTGCTGAGATCATGAGATTATGGTATTTCCTAGTTAACACAGACAAGCTGAACTTTTGGGCTATCATAACACATTACGTTTATGTGGTACTTTTTTAACTTTAAAAAAATTTTTCTTCTCTACTGTTTAATTCTGCCCACCCATCTACTGTATTTGCCAAGTGGAGCGGAGATTAAACATATTTCAAAGTTAGTAAACCTAAGACAAAGGTGAAGCGAAATACAGTTAGGGTATGGCCCCGAAATCTCCTCCTTCATTCCAGCACAGGTTCTGTGATGCCTTGCTCTATCTAAGCCTTAGTTTCATATTTGCAGATGAGTACTTAACCAAAGAGAGAAACACAATTTAATTCTAGACTGCTGAGGATAGAGGTGTGTTGACAACCTTATCAAATCTGATTTCTTTTCAAGGATGAATTGATCCATGAGTTAAAGCAGACACTAAATGCTATCAAATTAGAAGAAAAAGGAGTCTATGTCCAGGCATCTACACTGGGTTCTTTGGAAGCTCTACTGGAATTTCTGAAAACATCAGAAGTGCCCGTAAGTAACTACAACTCGCTCCACAAGTGAATGGTGGTTGGTCGTGGTTTTTGGTGCCATCGCCATTACCTGATACATACAGATAAACATGGAAACTCCCATTTTTTCAGTATGCAGGAATTAACATTGGCCCAGTGCATAAAAAAGATGTTATGAAGGCTTCAGTGATGTTGGAACATGACCCTCAGTAAGTAATTTCTCTTGCTATGAAGGCTTTCATGTTACGTAGCTATCTTAAAACTGTCCTATCTTAAAAAACTGTCCTCTGTGACATACTCTGTTTTTCACTGAATGGTCTTTGATGTGTTTTAACCTTTTAGGTATGCAGTAATTTTGGCCTTCGATGTGAGAATTGAACGAGATGCACAAGAAATGGCTGATAGTTTAGGAGTTAGAATTTTTAGTGCAGAAATTATTTATCATTTATTTGATGCCTTTACAAAATATAGACAAGACTACAAGAAACAGAAACAAGAAGAATTTAAGTAAGTTACTGTTTTTATTTACTTTGAGTCTTTGTTAATGAACATGATTGAGAATTACTGAATTCCAGAAAGGGCTGTAAACAGCAAAATCATGGCATTTACTCATCTACCAGAGGCTGCATCCTGAAATGGTGTGTTACAAACCAGAAACCCAACATACTGGGGACATTCCAGCAGTATGCAAACAAGTCTTGTCTGTGACTTCAGTTTAATAATCTTGGCAGACTTGGGTCTTGTTAATGGGTTCGTAGTTATTAAATGTAGGGACTTTATGTTGCTCATCTGGGATTATATAGATTGGAAGTAACAAAACTTGAGTGAGGAAAACCGGGAAATAAGAGATTCTGTGGGAGAGAAGTCCATTCCTCTACCAAACTTTCACTCAAGCACTCACAGTACCTACATTGCTGCAGTGGTAGAGGAGGCATCAGCAGAGAACCAGGCCAGCCTCCCTCCTCCTTTCCCTTTGAGACAGGGTCTCGTTCTGTCACCCATGCTGCAGTACAGTGGCATGATCATGGGTCACCCCAACCTCTGCCTACTGGGCTCAAGTGATCCTCCCACCTTGGCCTCCCGAGTAGTTGAGACTACAGGCTCACACCACTATGCCTGGCTAATTTTTTGTATTTTTGGTAGAGATAGGGTTTCGCCATGTTGGCCAGGCTGGTCTTGAACTCCTGAGCTCAAGTGATCCACCTGCCTCTGCCTCCCAAAGTGCTGGGATTATAGGTGTAAGCCACTGTGCCTGGTCTGGGACATGCTCTTATTGCAGGACAATTGACACATGTTGAGAAGTGCTGAAAAACCAAATAAAGCAGGGAAGGGCCTAGATAAGGAGAGGAGGGACTGTGATTAATGATGTGGTTTGGGAAGGCATCTCACCTCTTCAGACAGAGTAAGCCACACAGGCACATGGGGAGTGTCCAGAGAGAACAGCAGTGCGAGGCAGAGTGACCAGAAGGGACAGTGATAAATGAGGTCAGAGAGGGTGGCAGGACCTGTATCGTCAAGGATCTTACAGGCCATGGGAGGGATTGAGCTTCTCTGAGTTTTGCAAGAAGCCATTGCCAAGGCTGTGTGTTCACAATCAGACTGGTTAATTGGGTTGTTATGTGGACCTTGGGTTGTTAGGAAGTCAGTGGCAAGAGCCTGTCAGGAGGCTCCCACAGTCCAAGCAAGAGGTCTAGGTGATTCAGACCACAGTGATGATAGGAGTGATGGCGTAGTTTGGGATACATTTTTAAGTGGAGCTTACTAGTAAATATTAGGATTTAGACTGGTATATGCTCACTTTAGATCATGAAACCTGAAGTGAGAAGAATTCTACTTAACAAGACTGCTGGAAACTTTTAAAGCATTTTAAGCGTGTGCTCAATAAGCAGGGTAGTTATGTAGTGGCCTTTTGGATCAATGGTTTGGGAACGTGGTGGAGAAAAGGAGGGTGATAATACGGTCTGATGCCTATGTGATCCCCCAGTAGCCTACATATGTGCCTAACGAAGACCTGCCTGTCACCAGGTACTGCCTAGGTTCTAAGCCCCAGACTGTGGCTGACATCTTCAGCAGCCAAGCTCAGTGTTTTAGACTAGGAACAGAATGCTCCTGTGATGCAGCTTCTTTTGGAGGTAGGGCTTTAAAAGAGAAGAAAGCAAAGACTTGGGAAGCAACAGAATGGGGAGGAGGAGGTTAAGAACAAGGAAGAAGCGCTCTGGGCATGGGGTGGCCCTGGGCTGCAGCACCCTGCCTGCCCCTCTCCTGTGGCCGCTGGGGAAAGCTGCTTTCCTCTAATGGGAGAAGCCTGATGTTCAGCTGCAGTTTTTCTTTTTATGTTTAAGTGATTCTGTAAGCTTAAAATTCTTTTCTTTTTTCCTTTCAGGCACATAGCAGTATTTCCCTGCAAGATAAAAATCCTCCCTCAGTACATTTTTAATTCTCGAGATCCGATAGTGATGGGGGTGACGGTGGAAGCAGGTCAGGTGAAACAGGGGACACCCATGTGTGTCCCAAGCAAAAATGTAAGTTCTAGTTGTACATTCTGTGGGTCATTTCTTAAAGCACTAAATGAGTGTCCAAGAGTCGTACCAACACAGCTTTGTGCCTGTAGTTCACAGTACTGTGCTGTGTATTTAGTGTGGTCTCCACCTTCTTAACAAATGTTTCAGTGTTTTTACCTCAGTAGGAAGAAAATGTGGTAACTTTAAAACAAGCAGAGCCTGTCACCTTCTGTTGTGCTTCAGTATTGGTAAATATCAGTGCTCCATAGTCAGTGTTGACTCAGTGCTGATCTCAGTGCTTCAGTTAATTGGGGCTCCAAGGCACTTTACATTATTGCCTTTTATTTTATTTTGAAAGGTTTCAAGCCTGTGGAAAAGTTTAAAAACTAGTATAATGAACACTCATGTTTACCTTCCCTTTCTGTCAGCATACCTAAGAAAAATTAATAATATTTCAACAATATCCTATAATTTGCAGCCCTCAACATTATTTCACCAGTTATTCCAAAGATGTTTTGGTAACTCTCCCCACCAATCTGGCCCAGTGCCCTGCAAGCTGCATTGCACTGGGGCTTGTTTTGTGGCTGAGCCTCAGTCAAGAACAGTCCTCCATTCTTTTTGAAGTGTCCCTGTTGTTTTGCAAATCCCTCCTCCATTTGGATTTATCTGTTTCTCTCCCTCCCAACTAGACACAGGTTAGAATTATTGGAAAGACACTCATGCAGTTTCCCTGTGTGCCTGCCTCTTGCATGACCCAGCCTGTCTGACTGCTGCTGATGCTCTGATTTCCTGGGGAAAGTGCTAGACGCCAACCATCTCCATTAGAAACTTGCCCCTTTATAATTACTCTGTAATCTGTCTGGTACCTGGAGTTCCTAATGGATATCCTGTTTCTCAACAGCCTTTATCCCAGTGCCTTTAGTACCCACTGGCAAGCGTTGCCTAAGTCAACTATTACGTAGATGGTTGCAAAATTGTGGATATACCTGTCCCCCCATTTCTTACAAAGAACCTCTTCCCACTGACCTTTTTATTGAGTCATAGACTCAGTGGGTTTTTTTTTTTTTAATATAATCCATTACCTTTATTCTTTTGATACTCAGATTTTCTATTGTGGTCAGTAGGAGCTCAACTGGCTCCTGTATCCTTGACACACAGCAGTCTGAGCATCATCTTCCTTTCTGGTTGAGATGTTCCAGCCTCATCTAGTACTTTCCCTGGCCCAAACCTGGTTCTTGTAATGGGCAATGGCACTTAGAAGTTGTCATTGCTTTTCTACCATTTCAGTGGACTAAGCCTGGACATTTATTTGTGTTACTTTCTATGTGGCTTTGGCCTCCTAAACCAACCAGAGCTCTCCCTGTTTTCACTCTTACTCTCCTGAATCTTTTTCTCCACAAAGGAGTCAGGGTTTTTTGCCCCAAACTCTGAGATCACATCACTCATCTGCTCACAGGCCATCATTCTTAAAATTTCAGGATTGGTCCTCACTCTGACTTCATTCCCATCAGCCACTTCAAGCTCATTCCTGACTCAGACCCTTTGTGCCTGCTGATCCCTCCTATTACGGCACCTGTCACGTGAAATGGTAGAGCAAAAATAGGAAATGACATTGGGTCAACAGGGCACTTGGAATGTTTTGCAAAGCACATTATCTCCTGTCATTCTTACAACCATCATGAAGGGAATAGGGTGTTGGTGGTGCCAGCCTAGTTTACCAAAATGTTACACCGTGAGTGATGAAAGGATCGCACTGCCATGACTTTTAAAACAGGCTTTTGCTCTAGTTCTTACTTCAGCTATCCAGCCATGGCGCCTGTGATTGGCATGAATTCTTCTGCATGCATTTTAATTTGTTCTTATTTTATAGTTTGTTGACATCGGAATAGTAACAAGTATTGAAATAAACCATAAACAAGTGGATGTTGCAAAAAAAGGACAAGAAGTTTGTGTAAAAATAGAACCTATCCCTGGTGAGTCACCCAAAATGTTTGGAAGACATTTTGAAGCTACAGATATTCTTGTTAGTAAGGTAAGTATTTCAGCAAAAGTGGCACACTTTAAGCAACAGGGAATCACTCTTCTTGGGTCACCTGTACCTGTAGCTCCTTGGGCTTCAGTTTGATTGTAGAATCTGATGGGACTGGATCCCCCATTAGGGCTTGACCTCTAGCTGGGCCTTGTCTGTTGAGGAAGTTGCTCTATCAGGAAAGCAGCACCAACAGAGAAAGCTAGGACTTTTAGGTCCCCTCGTGCCTGACATGCAAACCAGATGTGATTTTGGAATTCTACTCCCTTAGGCAGGCAAGCCCTGTTTTTTATTTCTGCTTAAGCTTTTTAGTACAGTGAGAGCGGGCATCTGGGGCCACAGCTTTCTTTGGCACGTTTGTTATGTTCTGTTTACCCTGTTTGTGCCTCGGGCATTGCAGATCAGCCGGCAGTCCATTGATGCACTCAAAGACTGGTTCAGAGATGAAATGCAGAAGAGTGACTGGCAGCTTATTGTGGAGCTGAAGAAAGTATTTGAAATCATCTAATTTTTTCACATGGAGCAGGAACTGGAGTAAATGCAATACTGTGTTGTAATATCCCAACAAAAATCAGACAAAAAATGGAACAGACGTATTTGGACACTGATGGACTTAAGTATGGAAGGAAGAAAAATAGGTGTATAAAATGTTTTCCATGAGAAACCAAGAAACTTACACTGGTTTGACAGTGGTCAGTTACATGTCCCCACAGTTCCAATGTGCCTGTTCACTCACCTCTCCCTTCCCCAACCCTTCTCTACTTGGCTGCTGTTTTAAAGTTTGCCCTTCCCCAAATTTGGATTTTTATTACAGATCTAAAGCTCTTTCGATTTTATACTGATTAAATCAGTACTGCAGTATTTGATTAACCAAGCTTCTGCAGATTTTGTGATTCTTGGGACTTTTTTGACGTAAGAAATACTTCTTTATTTATGCATATTCTTCCCACAGTGATTTTTCCAGCATTCTTCTGCCATATGCCTTTAGGGCTTTTATAAAATAGAAAATTAGGCATTCTGATATTTCTTTAGCTGCTTTGTGTGAAACCATGGTGTAAAAGCACAGCTGGCTGCTTTTTACTGCTTGTGTAGTCACGAGTCCATTGTAATCATCACAATTCTAAACCAAACTACCAATAAAGAAAACAGACATCCACCAGTAAGCAAGCTCTGTTAGGCTTCCATGTTAGTGTAGCTTCTCTCCCACAAGTTGTCCTCCTAGGACAAGAATTATCTTACAAACTAAACTATCATCACACTACCTTGTATGCCAGCACCTGGTAACAGTAGAGATTTTTATACATTAATCTTGATCTGTTTTAATCTTGATCTGTTTTAGTAGAGATTTTTATACATTAATCTTGATCTGTTTTAATCTTGATCTGTTTTGTCCTAGAAAATTCCATCATACACACATTTCCTGATATTTGGGCTTAGTGCTTCTAAATTGTTGCAGACACAAAACTTAATGATTCATTCGTAGTAGTAATCTGTAGCTAGTTTTAGGGTTTTGCTGAAGTCAGTGTGGGGTGTTTGTTTGAGGAAAAAGTTCCAAATATCCACTAGCATAGAATTTTAAACTATTTTTATTTTAAAGTTATGGCATAACATATAACATAAAAATATTTTATATACGTTTGAAAAATCTATACCGTTCTTTTTTATCATCAAAGTTTCTCAATGGCCAGTAGAAGCAAAAAGACAACACCACCTCTGATCTACGGGACATAATGTTCCCAGGAAAAAAATCTTCAAGTGGGTGTGAGGGTGTTTCTAATTCAAAATATGTAGATTTCTCCGCATGGAAGAAGTAGTAAAGATTTTCTTAACATGCTCCTGTGTTCATGCTTGGAGACAAGAATAAGATGGTTTAGAAGCTTTACCCTTTCTTGGAACAAGTAGAATCCCGGTCTGAGACCTCTCAGGAATTTCAGAGCTTAGCAGTCTGGCCTGGAGGTTTTTCAGCCTTTTAGTATAATAAACAGTAGTTGCTTCCTAGAGTTGAGTTTTTAAGGATTCACAAAAAGGAGCCTGTACAAAATATACATACAGTTCTTTATTAAACAACTGTAAACACTTCACTGTAAAAATCCATAAAACTTTATAAACAAACATTTTGTAAATAGAATCTATGCTACAGTAAAATAATTAACACAATTATTTACATGCAATACTGACAAATTTGGCACTTTTTGAAAAGAAATGTACAAAACACTTGCTTTAAAAGAAATTTAAAATTATAAAAACTCCGAGCATTACTATCATGCACTTTGCAAATACCTCACAAGCACTTATGGCACAGCTATCAGAGAGCATCAGGCTCTCTGGTAATATTTATGTAACTTTTAATGTGCTTCCATAAGTTTGTTGTAAAACCACCTGGACATTGTCAAGAATAAAGTCAAATGCCATATTCCAAACCGATTCCACCGATTGCTGCATCAGCCTAAAGGTGGGGAGAGAAGAAATGTCATTAGGAATTAGGAAAGGTCCTTAAGACTAATTATTCCTTTTTATATATAAAAATTGACTTTGGCAAAAAAAAAAAAAAGTCCTGGCCAGGTGCGGTGTGGCTCATGCCTGTAATCCCAGCACTTTGGGAGGCCGAGGAGGGCGGATCACCTGAGGTCAGGAGTTTGAGACCAGCCTGGCCAACATGGTAAAACCCCGTCTCTACAAAAAATAGAAAAATTAGGTGGGCATGGTGGCACATGCCTATAATCCCAGCTACCCGGGAGGCTGAGGCAGGAGAGTCACTGGAACCCAGGAGGCAGAGGCTGCAGTAAGCCAAGATCCTGCCACTGCACTCCAGCCTGGGCGACAGAGTGAGACTCCATCTCAAAAAAAATAAAATCCTAGAACACTCAAATTTTTTTTTATTTTGTTTTGAGACAAGCTGTCGATCAGGCTGGAGCCATGCAGTGGTGCAATCATGGTTCACCGCAGCCTCCACCTCCCAAGTAACTGGGACCACAGGTGGGCACCACCACCCCCCCAGATTATTTATTTTTTGTATTTTTCAGTAGAGATGGGGTTATGCCATTTTGGCCAGGCTGGTCTCAAACGATCCACCCACCCCAGCCTCCCGAAGTGAAGTACAGGCGTGAGCCACTGTGCCCAGCCCACTTCCTATGGTTTTTTAATCACATGTAAGACCTTGAGGGCAACATATTTGGAACCTTATTTGCTACTTAGTCAACATGGCAAAATAAAGGATATCACTTTCTCATTAACCCTAATGAGTACAGTTTCCCAGAAAGTTTAAAACAACTCAGTACACCCTCAGCCATTGTGACATGCCATTTTTTCCCATTTGATAAAAGTGATGAATTACTACCTTTTCATGTATTTTATAACTAGATCCAGTTTTTCCAAATCTTTTTCTTCTATTAGATCAGTACAGTATTTCACAACTTGGAGAATGTCTTCTTCCATTGGATCTAGGAAGGGGGAAAAACTTCAAATGAGGACCAGTCTTTTTGAAGGAGAAAGTCAGAGATCTGCATGGATAAAGGAAAACTGCATTTCTACAACTATGTCACTAACAGCTATCAAAGGAATGGGCTTTGTTACTTTTCAAAGCAAGTCCCAGAATTTAAAAGATTTGGGGGTAGCTGCTTTAAGCTTATCAGAGTTAGAGAAATGGGTTAAATCTGCATAGTTTAGTCTGTTTATGTTCTCAAATCATGAGACGACTACATCTCAGCCTTGGGCCATCTAACACAGGCCAAGCCAACCTGAAATTGTAGTTATCCATTCTCTGAGCAAGGTCTTCACATCATTGAATTCAACAGCTCCAGCTAGATTGGGTGCTGGAGGTCTCACACAGCCAGCTGGGTCAGACTGCAAACTAGAAAGGCCTGGCACACCTGAAGTAGAAGCAGAGAGTTCTTCCTGTTAAGAAAACAAAGGATAAAATTGCTATATTCACACATTATCCAGGTATATTAAGATCTCATAAAGGTCAAAGTTAAGGAATTACCAGGGGTTTCTCTGCAGGAGGTCCTTCATGTTTTAGAAACCCATCAATTAACTTCTGGGGACTGCCACAGGCCCCTGGCAGAGTTTTTGCAGGACTGTTAAGCAGCTTGTTATTCAAAGGACTCTGAATCCTTTTTGGTGAACCAATGGTTTTTTTCTTCTTGTTTCTTTTCTTTTCTTTCACTGCTGCCTTTAGATGAAGTAAAGGATTCTTTGGCACTAAGAGCAGATGGATATAAGATCCTCAACAAAATGATAGTATGGATAGTCTGGATGACAGTATTGGGTTCTCTTTTCTCCTCCCAAATACAACAGGCTCCCTAGCCTACACCTCCCCTCCTGCCCCAAGTGAGAGGCAGTGAATGGCAATGGCCCAAAGTACAGGCTCTCCAATTCTCTCTTTGCTTTGCCACTTACTAATTTGACCTTTGGCATGTTGCTCATCTATGATGGGTAGTACTAAATGTGGGTTTGATGTTTGTGATGCATTTTGAACCAACATCCTTTAATGTATTCATCTCAAAGGACAACTAGCTGAACAAGTATTTAAGACATTTGTGGTAATGTCCTATTCCAACTTTTTAAAAAGTAAAAAGTGGTGTGTTTAAATCCTGAAAGTACAGACACAAATCCAACTAGAAATATGATGATATTTACTCATACTGTATACTTCAGATATTATCCCAATATGAAGAGCTCTTAATGCAACAGCTTAGACTTTGCCCATTATATACTGCAATAATTAGACAACAGTGACTCCATTACTCTTTGTCTTCATTTTTGTTACATGCCACTTCCAAGGCTCACCAGATGCGCTGGCTGACTGCTGGTGAGTGCTGTTCTCGCCCTGCCTTTGTCTTTGATCATACGCTGCTTTCAGCTCCCTCTGAAGTTCAGCAGGAAGGGCAGCAAATACCTCAGGGTCCACCTAGTGGAAAAGACGAGGTCAAAGTCAAACCTGAGCTAATTGTAGATGGTAGCTGGTTTCTCTTTTTCACAAAACAGACTTTGTTTTCAAATCTCACTTTTCTGATCTGTACGAATTCTTAACAGTTCCCCAATATCAAAGCTGATTAAATCTTCAAAATGGTTAGAGCAAGAATAAGGAATTAAGAGCAAGAATAAGGAATTAAGAGTACTAACTTAAAGAAACCCACTACAACAGCAGAACCTGGGCAAAATGCACTAGTAGAAAATGGGAAGCAAAACATTGAAACAGGGACTCAGGTTGTTACTGTCCCCCATGCAGGATTATACATCTCCGCTCTGTTGTATTCAAGTGTGGCCATTGATGTGTTTGCCCCAGATCAGTGTGTTTCTGTCTTAGCATGCCCTCCCCCGTCTCTTCCCTGCTGCTTCAGCGGGAGGCTGCTCTGTGTCTACATCCTGCAGATGCAGGAGATGGAGACAAGCCCACTCTCCCCTCCCCTCCCCTCCCCTCCCCAGTGGATGTGGTGTCAGATACAGAGGAGAAAGGGAAGTGAGACAGGTCCTAAGTTGGAGCAGGGGGGTGAGAATATTGAAACTACAGCAGAGGGTTCCCATATTTAACTTACCTGTGAAAATGCTGGAAGGGCTATTAAATTTATTCCTGCGTCACTGTTCGATTCTTGAGGTTCTGGTATTTGCAACAAGACTGTCCCAACTGGTTGTGGCAAAATTCCTGTATTACAGCCATTTACTGGTTCTTTCTTTTTGTCGCCATGTGACTCTGCTTGCTGGACAGCACAGACTTGCTCTACTTGTTCCCGGAGATCAGGTGGAAGTGCTTCTAAAACAGACTGATCCAGCTATAAAATGCCAAACATATGAGTAGGAAGTTAAAGCATGCTCAGAGATGAGGTGTTTGGGAGTTAACACGCCACTTTAAATTTCAATTTGAATACTGTGGATAATCAATGTAAGGTACAGACCATCAAGCTAGGAAAGCCACCTCCAAATCAGCACATTTTTGGAACGTCTTGGCCTTTTGTCATTGAAGCCTGAAGTACTATGTGTAGTCTGGAAAGAAGTGTATATATACTACCAGCCACTATCACATGACCAGGTAAGTCCAAATATACTCACAGAATGTCCTGCAATTGGGGCCAACAGATATGAATAGCCTTGGTGAAGCTCAAATTAGATCCCACCCCAGGGAGGGGTGAAGGCCTGAGGCACATGTTAAAATTCTGGACAGGTAACAGTCCTGGGTCAAAAGTTCACCTTTCAGATGAGAGACTGCCCAAAAATACAAATAATTCTACTCTGAGAGCAGCACACTGGAAGAAAGGGTTTCTAGAAGCTGAATTTTCTCTAACTTACAGGACAGAATCCACTGTTCCTTTGGCCAGGGCCTACCTGTGCATCCACATCTGGCCCTTTGGAAACATGCAATCCCATCAACTGGGTGGACCAATCTTATCTTGCCAGGAGTAACTAATTGTGGGTATCTGTCGCCATACAAGCATATCAGCATTGCCCTTTCCCCTAGTTTTGCAGCCAGTATTTAACATCTCCTTCCGCCTCCTTCCATGCAGGGGGAGCAGAGGCACAAATAAACTTGCCCAATATAGCTTAAGGTGCTACCTTACTTTCAAGGACCAGCAGTATATCACATGTACAGCCCACACACGCTGAATTAAACCATCCAAATCTCCAGAGACCTGTTTGCAAATACTGCAAAAACCCTTCGACATAAGGCCTCTACTTCACCACTAATCACCAAAGCTGCCTTGCTGAATACAGTAAGTCTGCATGATGACCACTGTCACAGACAATGGCAGTCCACAGGAGGACTGCCTTTCAGCTATGCTTTACAACTTGCAAGAGTGGCAAATCTTTGCAAAAGCACTTTCACTCAACCCAAATATTGCTTATTTAGAATCCAACATCATGATCTACCCAAACAAGTGGCCCGTTCTCCCTTTCTTGGTTAAACGGATGAAGAAATAAAAATGCCATTTTCATTTGTAAACTTGTATTTTTGTATTTATATTTAGGAGTATAAAATGTACTTATATTTAGGACTACAAAAATGTACCTGGGAAGGTGACGGGACCTCTATACTCAGGTTAAGTCTCGACTGCACACTGACAGGAGTATGTAGACCATTCCATTTCCCTGAAGACTCAGCCTTGTTAGTATCAGGACTGGTCGGCAGATGTGCAGGAAAAGGTGGCAAGAAAGTGCAAGTTCTAGAAGCAGATGATATTTCCAGATCCACAGCAGCCCGAAATACTACAAAAAGAAAATATATAAAATAGCCTCTTCAGATCATCGGGCAGGGCCTTTAATCCTCTGTCCATTACAAATAAAAAAACTTTATTACTGATTCATCATAATGAAGAATATAAATTTTTAAAATCACATAAAGCTGTGTCAATTTTAAAACCAACTGCCGTCTTTCCAAGGACATAAGCAGCACCTAAAAAAGAACCACATTGATGACCACCAACCTTCTTTGTGCTCCTCTTCGGTGGATTTCTTAGCTTTCTGAACTTGGAAGACATCACGGACAGAGTATGACCCACTAGGAAAGTGGCTTGACTGAACTGATGGGCGACTGGGACATGTGGAAGGGTTCAGATTAGTTGGAACCAACTGATTCACGTGAATCCCAACCTAGAACCCAGAATAAAGAGTATGCTTCTAGGAAAACTAAAGTGAAAATATGAATTCAGCTAAGCAAAATCCTCAGCAAATCCTTTTCACTATCTCCTGGATCCTGTTTCTAGAATAAAGGTAAATGAAAGTATTCAAACAGCATTCTATATGACTTATTACAAAAACAATTTCTAAAGTAGCTAGTGAGTGGTCATTCATCTCAAACTTCAGAGTATCCAATTCTCCCAAAATATACCAAAAGATCTTTAAAATCAGAAAATCCAAACAAGTGGAATACTGTATTCCACTGATGTTCTCGTCAACTAAGGTTTTAAATTAGGATAAAAAAAAATTAAGAGAGGACAGTCTACTTGGAAACTTCACTATTTTTATCTTTTTTAAATGAAATACTTCTCAAAAAATATTGGCGGGAGTGATGAACAGCAGGTACACTGCAGACCCCTCCATAAAGTGCCATTATAACAGTATTTCAGGGAGAAATCACAATTACGGCTGGCTTAGTGACTAATCTTTCAACAAAGCCCACATCAAGCCAGAACAACCCTTTACTTACATATGCACACATAAAACTAAACCTACAAAGGTTCTTTTTTTTTTTTTTTTTTTTTTTTTTTGAGACAGAGCCTCACTGTGTCACTCAGGCTGGAGTGCGGTGGCACGATCTTGGCTCATGCAAGCTCTGCCTCTTGGGTTCAAGTGATTCTCCTGCCTCAGCCTCCCGAGTAGCTGGGACTATGAGGCATGCACCACCACACCCGGCTAATTTTTGTATTTTTAGTAGAGATGGGGGCAAGTGCCTGTAATCCCAGCACTTTGAGAGGCTGAGGTGGGTGGATCACCTGAGGTCAGGAGTTTGAAACCAGCCTGGCCAACATGGTGAAACCTCATCTCTACCAAAAATACAAAAAATTAGCTGGGCGTGGTAGCGGGTGCCTGTACCCCCAGCTACTCGGGAGGCTGAAGAAGGAGAATTGCTTGAACCCAGGAGGCGGAAGTTGCAGTGAGCCGATACAACGCCATTGCACTCCAGCCTGGGCAACAGGGCAAAAACTGTCTCAAAAAAAAAAAACCCCACACAAAAATCTATGGTTTTGACATTTTGATGCCTCTTGCCTGTTTCAAAGGCATCTTGATGTGCCTGTGGTTTCACTCCCTTCTAGGTCATCATACAGCAGATGCAGAGTATGTTTCTGATTAAAAAGGAACTTAAAGGTACAAAATTTATGTATTCATATTCCTCACAGTCATATCTACTTCTAGGAAACAAGAACAGGGAAGACATGTATATTAGCCCCTGGTTAATCAGGGGTACCTTGGAAAAGTACAGTAAGAATCTAAGAAAATTATTCTAAAATGAAGGAGGTCAAAATGGAGGAAGTCAAGAATTTTTGTTTCTCTTTTCCTTGTATTACAAAGCAGCTAAAGACCTACATATAAAGTCCCTATACACCAGCAATAACCCTTTTGAGAGCAAGCCTCAAAAATGAGAGATACATTACACAAAGTCAGAATTTACAATGTTACTATATACTTACCCCTCTCATATCTGATATATTTAGTTTCATTGTATGAAACATGTTTAGCATCGCCTTTCCAATTATTTTTGCATTATCTGTTGCCTGGTCAAGAGTTACAGTCCTGTAAGTGATAGAATTAAAAAACAAAAGCTTCATTCCATATGTATTCACTAGTACTAAAGTAGTATGGAACTGTTTAAAAGAGTTATAGAAAAGTTGTAAACAGTTACAAAGAAGATTATAAAAGTGAATGCCATAGTCTCCCTTCAAGGAAGCCAGAAATACCAAATTAGTTACACTGGCAACCAAGGGGGAAAGAAAAATTATGGAACACTAGAACTTTAAGGTAAAAACCGTAATGGACACTTAGGTCAACTAAAAATAAGTTGAGAAATTTAGAAAAAGGTAGATTTTAGCTAACATATGCACAAATAAATACATATTTTCCAGCTAAAGCACAAGTGAATGGTAAACACAATGTTCTTGATTCCAAGAGAAGTTTTAGGTTCCAAGATTATGTATGCTGAGGTATAGCAAATATTCAGAAGAGAAAGATAAATTCTCTGTATGTTGTTTCTTGACTCTCCTTTCATTGTGTTTACAGTACAGCCAATAAACAATTCTTAGATCTTTAAGAACTCTTGAAGGAGGACCAAATGGTCCATCAGCATTATTAGGTCTCAAAGATGTGCTGACCTCACCCACCATTTCCTTCAGAGCCTTTTGAGCTTCTCTGGCATGAGCGGGCTGTCCCATTGCAAACAGAATTACTAACTCAGTAACAGATTAACAAATTACTACCAGTTCTCTTTCCAAAGGAAAGTTATTTCGTGTTTTGGATGATCCTTTCCATGTATAATGAACAAATGAAGTTCCAGGCCATTAAACAAGAAATATTCCCAGAAAAAATTATTATAAATTGAATTGGATTTTCCCATAGAAATGTTTAAGAAGATAATCACATTACTTCATCTGCTTATAGAAATAACCACTAAAAGCTGAGCACAGTGGCTCACACCTGTAATCCCAAAACGCTGGGAGGTCAAGGCAAAAGGATTGTTCAAGGCCAGCCTGGGCAACAGAGCGAGATCCTGTCTCTACATAAATAAGTTTTTAAAGTAAATAAATAAATGACCACTATTTACTATTTGAGATACATGTGTATCATAACAGGTAGGTAAATATAATTCAAGATAACCAACTGATAAAAAATGTATTTTATAAATTATGTTCTCTAATTGTAATTTATAATTCCTGCTTTCATGGTAACTTGGGAGTTTCTCTGTTTAAGAGCAGTCGTCTCACGACTTAGCAATATCATCATATACATGAATGCACCATGTATGGTTGGCATGAGCTAATCTTTAATGAAACTATACTTCATATTGTAAGTAGCTTTCAGTGTCAAAAGTCTCAAAATTTTGGTTTCACAGATGAAATACAGTGCAATATAAAATGACATGTAAAACCACACATCTTCATATTGGTCACGAATCTTACATGAAGTTTAATATTAAGTAGTTGGCCCTGACATAAAAGACGAGTGTTTCAGACCGGGCACATTGGCTCATGCCTGTAATCCCAACACTATGGGAGGCTGCGGTGGGCGGATCATTTGAAGTCAGGAGTTCAAGATCAGCCTTGCCAACATAGTGAAACCCTATCTCTACTGAAAATACAAAAATTCGCTGGGCATGGTGGCATGCCCCATAATCCCAGCTACCCAACAGGCTGAGACAGGAGGATTGCTTGAACCCAGGAGGTAGAAGTTGCAATGAGCCGAGATCGCACCACTGCCCTCAGGCCTGGGTGACAGAGCCAGACTCTGTCTCAAAACAAACAACCCCCCCCCCCCCCAAAAAAAACAGCGTTTTTAAATGCTTTTACCAGTTTTCAGACATTACAGTGATTCATTCATCTTTTTACCAATTAAATGTATACACCTATGTAAATGAAGTTGCTCTCCTTCACCATCATTTTTCTAGCTACTATAGTCTGCCTTTGTGTATCATTTTTTTGAGACAGAATGTTGCTCTGTTGCCCAGGCAGGAGTGCACTGGCGCGATCTCAGCTCACTGCAACCTCTGCCTCCTGGGTTCAAGCAATCCTCCTGCCCCAGCCTCCTGAGTAGCTGGGACTACAGGCGAATGCCACCATGTCCGGCTAATTTTTGTACTTTTAGTGGAAATGGAGTTTCACCATGTTGGCCAGGCTGGTCTCAAATTCCTGGCCTCAAGTGATCCAGCTGCCTCAGCCTCCCAAAGTGCTGGGATTACAGGTATGAGCCACCACACCTGGCCTGTATCATTGTTTTTAAGAACTACATTGAAATTTTCCTCAGGAAAAAAGTTTCACCAAGTCCCGAAACTATAGCAGTCCCTTTGGTCTGCAGCCTTGCCCTTTCTTTCTGTCCATGCAGTAAAGTTAACAGCCCAAAGATGCCAAGCAAAGGCTGCCAAGGTCAGCAATGCCGTCAAACCAACCTCCTGTGTGTGGGCCTCGCTGAAACCAAGTGCATTAACCTAAGCTGAATGCCTTGGGCTGATGCCTGCTTCTACAGAATACCAGATTAACGGGTTTACAGGTCTTTATTCAAACTCCTCCTTGGTTTTCTTCATTTTCTATTACTTACAACAACCTGTACTGAAATATAATTACCAATATCATTTCTGAGGTGAGCTTACCTGGCAATGTTATCACAAATTCCATGGCCTCCAAATTTTGCAGTTTCTACAGGAGCCCCAGGCTTTCGTACCATGATTTTGAGAGTTAGACGTTTACCCTTCATGCCAGTGGCTTCTAGTCTTCTTTGAATTTCTTCTGAAAGACTCAGAAGAAAAGCTTCTGCCTCTTTTGGCTATGGAAAGACAAACGTGGAGAAACTACCATTCCACTTTCCTATATACCTAATAATTGTTCTCAAGTATTTTAACTTTGAATATTAAACATGTTGGTTACTCACTATCACGCTCAGCATCTATTAAAAAGAAACGTGGCCAGGCGCGGTGGCTCACACCTGTAATCCCAGCACTTTGAGAGGCCGAGGCTGGTGGATTCGTCTGAGGTCAGGAGTTCGAGACCAGCCTGGCCAACGTGGTGAAACCTCATCTCTACTAAAAATGCAAAAATTAGCCTGGCGTGGTGGCGGGTGCCTGTAATCGCAGCTACTCAGGAGGCTGAGGTAGGAGAATCGCTTGAACCCAGGAGACGGAGGTTGCAGTGAGCTGAGATCATGCCACTGCATTCCAGCCTGGGCGACAGAGGGAGACTCCGTCTCAAAAAAGTAAAACTACAACAACAAAAACTGTTTGGTATACCCTCAACTATTAAATACAAATACCCACCTTCCCAACAAAGTGAAAGTAATGAGTACTTTTAAAAGATATTTTTCCTTTCTTTCCTTTTTTTTTTTTTTGAGACAGTCTCATTCTTGTCCCCCAGGCTGAAGTGCAATAGCATGATCTCGGCTCACTGCAACCTCCGCCTCCCAGGTTCAAGTGATTCTCCTTCCTCAGCCTCCCGAGTAGCTAGGATTGCAGGCGCCTGCCACAATGTCTGGCTAATTTTTTTGTATTTTTAGTAGAGACGGGGTTTCACCATGTTGGCCAGGCTGGTCTCCAACTCCTGACCTCAGGTGATCGGCCTGCCTCAGCCTCCCAAAGTGCTGGGATTACAGGTGTGAGCCACCGCATAGGGCCCCTTTCTTTCTTTTCTATGCCATCACTGACTTGTCGAAAATTCTTTTGTAACTATGTTAATAAGTTCTGCTAATAAAATGTGTGTTCCAACACTGTGCTTACAGCCCAAACATCATCTATCTCCATGCCTAAGGAAACAAAACTCCTGAGGTCCACAGTGTAGGCACAGAGGGTAATTAACTCATCACATTTCAAATCCTTATGATATGGTGTTGTTTGTACATACAAATTCAAGACATATCCAGCCGGGCGCAGTGGCTCACATCTGTAATCCCAGCACTTTAGGAGGCTGAGGCGGGCAGATCACAAGGTCAGGAGTTTGAGACCAGCCTGGCCAACACGGTGAAACCACGTCTCTACTAAAAGTACAAAAAATTAGCCGGGCGTGGTGGCGGGTGCCTGTAATCCCAGCTACTTGGGAGGCTGAGGCAGGAGAATCTCTTGAATCTGGGAAACGGAGGTTGCAGTGAGCCGAGACTGCGCCACTGCACTCCACCCTGGGCAACAAAGTGAGACTCCACCCTGGGCAACAAAGTGAGACTCCATCTCAAAAAAAAAAAAAAAAAAAAAAAAACATATCCAAATCCATAATCTGAAGGAAAATGGAAACTACTCAGCCATCTGTGCTGCAGCTTTCCAAAAGCTTGCATAAGGAGGGGTTTGCTGAAACTTAATTTTAACTACAGCTTAAAAAATATTTCAACATTAAAAATATTTTTCTCATCTTTTTTATTTTTTCACTGTTAATTAGAATAATTATAATCTCAAGTTCTCTAATAACTGGCCTCCAAAGCATAATCTTTTAGTATATTTCCCCAAGAGCTAAGTTTCCTCAGTCTCAGTCTTATCTGGGGCTACACCTTACCACACAGTGCCTTAAAAGGCCTTCTTAAGGCTCTGGGGATACAACAGTTTTAAGACTTAATTTCAAGCATTGAGGGTCTAATGGTTTAGTTGTAGAGGTAGGACTATGTAAAAATATAAAGAGCAACAGATGGCAAAATCTGTTCAATGATCAGTACCTGAGTAAACCTTATTCCATAGTTGATCTCAGCTGAAACAGATTTTCTTTCCTTTTCAGTTCGAACTGGTCTATCATCCAAGCCACGGCAGAACCTATAAAGCATCTGACCTGTTTTGGGACCAAATTCTTTTTGGAGTTTTGCCATGGTCATATACTGCAAGTCTCCACAAGTTTTAATTCCCAAAGATGCCAACTTAGATTCCATTGAATGTCCAACTCCTAGGAAAGGGAATATAGTTAAGTATGCAGAATAAGCTACTAATAACAAGTTTATTAACACAAAATACCCACCATTTATGCACAAAACAACTAGTTTAAAATAATCTTTAAAGTCTTTAGGCAACATAACTGAAGCATCCACAGGCTGAAGAATTTTTTGGTGCAAAATCATGCTAGTAGATGTATTTCTAGACTCTACTTCTCAATTTGGACTCCACATATAGATGAACCAGAAACTTTTAAAATATGTATAACTCAAGTTATCAAAAATGTCACTTTCTTTATTAGTGAATAATACCAAGATATGTATCTTAGTCACAAAATCAACTAAGGAATCAACTGTCATTTAAACAAGTCTATAGTGTGACTTACAGACATACTAACCAACTCACGAAATGTAAGGGATCTATTATGATTTCGGTCATCACCAAATCTCACAGTGGTATCAGCCACATTTTTTCAGTGAAAAACAGAACAAGAATTCACAAAATGGGCCAAAGTCCAGAAATGTTACATGCTATCACACATACCACTGACCTGAAGATGAAGGACCCTAACCAAACCAACTGGTGGTTGGGGTAGAAGACAGACTTTTTTTTTAATCAAAAGGATGATCTCTCTGAAGAGATATGAACTCTCCTACAGCTGGGCCAGCAGGCAGCAGTCCCTATGTCCTATTCTGCAAGATGTAACGTTTGAGCCCCACCTAAAGGATACTGATTAATTCTGTTGCTCTAAGTTGGAGTCTTGGTTTTCTTCAATTTGCCCTAAATGCTTTAAAAAGGTCCACAAATTTGGGAAAGAGGTTTGGAGTAACTGAGGGAAACTATAATGCTTATTAAAATGGTTCCACACCATCAAGTAAAAATTTTCCATCAATGAGGAAAAGACAGCGTTGTGTTTCTGGTCTTCTGTAGGAACTTATCAAAAGAGAACTCAGGCTGGGTGTGGTGGCTCACACCTGTAATCCCAATACTTTGGGAGGCCAACAGTCTGAGTTTGAGGACAACATGGGCAACTGAGGTAGACCGTCTCTATAAAATAGAAAAAAGAATTAGCTGGGTGTGGTGGTGCGCTCCTGTAGTCCCAGCTACTTGGGAGGCTGAGTTGGAAAGATCCCTTGAGCCCGAGAGTTTGAGGCTGTAGTAAGCTATGAACCTGCCATTCCATTCCAGCCTAGGTGACAGAACAAGACCCTGTGTTTAAAAAAGAGAGCTCAGAGTGAAGTCTGCTAACTTCTGTTCATAGCTCCCATCCTCCTGAGTGGTCTTCAGTAGCAGAAAAACTATCTAGTCCAAGTTCTGCCAGGAAAACCTCTGGAACCAGTATATAACACAAGGTTAGGAAGTCATCAATGTGGGTCAGACAAGTTTAAACCCAGACACTTTATTCCTTAATGGAAGTGAGATGAAGGCGTTAAGCGTGCTCGTTCACAATTGTGCCATTTTAAAGTCCAAGCCAGAACAAAGGGCAAGTAAATACCAAAGACCCCGAGTTAACAATTTAAAAAAAAAAAAAAATTCCTCCAGAGAAGTACCATTCACCAAAAGGTAAAATTTTAAGTGAAACCTAAGTGCTTTTCAAAATGGGGAGGAGAAACACAAGGGAATAGACAAATTACATACTTGGGTTTGTCAAAGGTAGACACTTTGCACAGCTATTTGCTTTTAAGAAAGACTTTTTTCTTCAATTTGCTCTTTTTGTTATTTCTTTTTTGTCATAAGACTTCTTAACATCAGGGAAGACTTTGTGTCTCTCTTTTGTCCCTCCCACTATTGCCTCACTTCCCACTCCCATAATCTGACCATGATCTTTCCGTTACAGTTCTGGGGAACAAATCTGTTCTCAGGGACTTCCAAGATTAGCAAGAGACAATCATCATCCTGGGTTGTGTTAGTGTGTCCATGTGTTGGGGTGGAAACCCCATAGTTTAAAATTTTAGAGTATCTTGAGTATACCACAACAAATTATGCACTACAGGTGCAAAGGAAAGGCTATATTAAACATCACCAAGTTAACCGTAATCAATCTAATCTAAGTGGACATCCCTCTATGAAAGAAGCACAGTTCTTCTCCATGCAGGCTCATCTGATGGAATGAAATGGCCTGAACCGGAGGTGGGGGAGGGAGGCAGGGCATGTGGTGTACCTCCAACTCCTATTGAGTGGGGGTGGGAAAATTAAACTTGGAGCCAGGACCAAAACCTTGAAGAGGGCTGCTAGTTTTAACTAAATACGTCAATTAAGTAGGTGTTTATAAGGGAAAGATGGCAACTCTATGGACAAAGTAAGGGGGGCTCCGGGCCCAAAGAGTGCAGCCACCTATTAAGGAAAAGGTGAAGGAAAATATGCTCTTTTAGAATCAAATCTCAACGAAGAGAGAGTCAAGGAGGCTCCTGGTCAAGCAACTGGGACAAAGACTTGGCATCTGTCCTTGAAGGGGAACTATTACCCTAGGTTAAAAGTGGCCAATAATGTCCCCTCCTTGGCATCCAGAACTTGGCTATCCAATACAGACATAGAGGAGTAAACTTCAAAGAATAAAGTTTTCACCATCTACAGGAGTGCTGTTCAACTGAACTTTCTGCAGTGATGGAAATGTTCTCGTCTGCTATCCAATACAGGAGAACCTTGCTCCATGTGACCACTGAGCACTTGCCATGTGGCCAGGGCAGTGAGGAACTGAACTGGTAGTTTTATTTAACTTTAATTTAACTCATATTGTACTAGCTTCACTTGGCTACGTAGCTACTGTATTAGTGCAGACTTTATGAATGCCTACATGATCATGGTGGTTCTCTGAAAATGGGATAGAGAGGGAATCCATATGCTAGATGCACAAACCTAGCAAAGGCTGAATGAGGTGCAGAGGGCCCTTCATTGAAGAGTGCATGCGCAGGTAAAAAGCCCTGCAAAGATCCAGAGAAAAAGTAGAAATGGTTCTTCAAACTGTAATAGTCGTTGGGGTCAATCCTTTCTTTCATTAGGTAACCGGATCATATTAAGAAACGTATTTATTAGTGTAATACACAATTATTATTCTGTGGAGTCTCCTAAAGCAAAAACTTACTATTGTGTTTTTCCTTCTTATGTAGTTATTCTAATTGTTTATTACTGTGCGCAGCACGTATGTGGTCACTAAACATTTATGGGTACAAGGGACTAAAGAGGTTGGAGATGGGGCAAGTTACCACTGAATTTCTCCTGGTTATGGTTAGAGAGCCAAGTTCCTCCAAAGCGTGTTCCACAAGATATAAATAGGTACTGTATATTTATCACCAAATATCTTTGAGAAATTACTAGTCTTTAACAAAGATAAATAGGTTTCTTTTCTAAAATAATTCCCAGGACTTTCACTGTACAAACCCCTCCACCACAGAAGGTTCCCTCTCCTATATGAAACCCCTTTTTAAAGGAACAGCTTATAATCTGTGGAACACACTTCAGGACAGGAGTAACAATGGAGAAGGGAGATATTTTATAGACCTGAAATGTTCTATAACAGTCAGGTTAAGGATTTGGGGATTTTATGAAAACCACATGAACCACTGTGAGCAATACAGAACCTGGCTCTGAAGAAGAGAAGGCCAACTCTGCTGCCCTATCTTTCAAATCTCCCTTAGGAAATTCAAGGCTGTGCCTCAGCTTGGCCAGGACATGTAACTTCACACTTGCCCTTCAAGAAATAAAGTCTCACTGGGCACGGTGGCTCATGCCTATAATCCCAGCACTTTGGGAGGCCGAGGCGGGCGGATCATGAGGTCAGGAGACCGAGACAGAGGTGAAACTCCATCTCTACTAAAAATACAAAAAATTAGCCGGCTGTGTGGTGGGTGCCTGTAGTCCCAGCTACTCGGGAGGCTGAGGCAGGAGAATGGCGTGAACCCAGAAGGCAGAGCTTGCAGTGAGCCGAGATCGCACCATTGCACTCTAGCCTGGGCAACAGAGCAAGACTCCATCTCAAAAAAAAAAAAAAAAAAAAAGAAATAAAGTCTTTCCAGCCAGGAAGCAAATGAAGGTGAATGGTAGGATTACTAGGTCAAGTAGCTAAAACGTCCCTATTTCTATTAAAACAAAGAAAACTACAAAAAGGGTTCGATTTAAAGATGGTGTTTTGGACTAAACTGTGTCTTCCCCAAATTTATATGCTGAAGTCCTGACCCCAGTACTTCACCATGTGACTGTATTTGTTTTTGTTTTGTTTTTTTCAACACAGTCTCACTCTGTCACCCATGCTGGAGTGCAGTGGTGCGATCTTGGCTCGCTGCAACCTCTGCCTCTCGGGCTCAAGCGATTCTTGTGCCTCAGCCTCCTGAGTAGCTGGGACTACAGGCATGTGCCACCTACCCCCAGCTAATTTTTTTTGTAGTTCTAGTAGAGACAGGGTTTCACCATGTTGGCCAGGCTGGTCTTGAACTCCTGGCCTCAAATGATCCATCTGCCTCGGCCTCCCACAGTGCTGGGATTACAGGTGTGAGTCACCATGCCCGGCCACAGTGTGACTGTATTTGGACACAGAATCTTTAAAGGGTAATTAAGATAAAACAAGGTCATATTGATGAGCCTAATCCAACATGACTGGTATCCTCACAAGAAGAGATCAGGACGGAGACATGCATATGGGGAAGGCCATGTGAAGACACAGGGAGAGGAGGGTCACCTACAAGCCAAGCAGAGGCTTCAGAAAGAGCCAACCCTGCTGACACCTTGATCTTGAACTTCCAGCCTCCAGAACTGTGAGACAACGCATTTCTGTTGTTTATGCACCCCAGTCTGTGGTACTTTGTTATGGCACCCCTAGAAAACTAATACAGATGGCTAGTGTAATAAACTTAAAACTCAAATTTTACATGCAACTTTAAATATACCAGTTCCTTCTTATATAAAACTTCAGTAAGATTTCTTATTAAAAATGTTTAAACTGTGTTGTCTACTACAGTAATTTGCTAGTTTGATTTTATAAAGTATTCTCAAATTAAATGTGAAACTAACCATCAAAAATGTCATATTACACATTTCTGACACTAATACATCGTTTTAAGTTATATACTACGGGGGTCAGGAAGCTTTAAAACTAACCTACCATAAAATGCCATTTCTGTCGTTTAATATTTATGGCCTGTTAACAGAAACTTCTAAGTTAGTTCGGACATACTTTTATTAGGCTTAAAAATAGGCATCTAAAAATGCCACTAAATCTACTTTTAACAAATGAATTTTAAAACTTTCACTATAAATGAAGATGGAAGACTTTACAAAGCTGACAGAGGCACTTTATAATAAATAGGTAACTACACAAAAATATGAAATAACTGAACATCCTGCCCCTTAGGTGAGAAAGGTTAAGATGGAAGGTTTTTTTCCATGAGTGGAGTTAATTGAAAACACAATCCTTCTTTACGTTTCCTTTTTCCTAATACAGCTCACACACATTCTATTTATACTTTTAAAAGTACTTGTTTAATAAACTCAGAAAACTGTCGCTAGTCCTGCAGCATGACATAGGAGAATCGAAGCTCAAAACTTTTATCTTTAGCCCAGGAGTAAACTATTTCAATAATCATTTATTTAAAGGACTGAAAGTCAATTTCATCATCCTCCCTTTTAACATTGTTTCTTAGAATCTTGCTACTTGAGAAATACCTAAAGTAAAACTGAATAGAAGCAAAACAAAAATGTAACATTAAGGTCCTGACAAATCATTTTAGGGGATATTTAATGCAGAATTCCAAATTTTGTTTTTCATGGCACTCAATAAGACTTAAAAATTTTTATATTCATGTCTGGGCAAAAAGAGGTCTCACAGTTCTATATTATAGATATGAAAAGTACTTGTAATGCCTGTAATAAAAGTATTGTTAAAATATTTCTATTTACCTGGTAGATTGGTCACTAGCTGGCCTCTGATAAAATCATCTACTTCTTCTGGTTTTAGGTGGTACTGCCCATCTGGTTTTGCTTTTCTAGTTGCCATTCTAGCCAGGAGAATATTAGAACCTATTAAAAAAAAAAGTCATCCAAGAAATAGTCACAATTATTTTTTAAATTTCTCAACAAAGATCTCTTCATACAGGTTATCCATCAAGTTTCTAAAAACAATGAAAATAAATTTTGATTATTTCAAATAAGGTGTAGAATTTTGCTAAGTATTTAGATTATAACCAACAGAGTACCTGGACAGAGGTTTCTCTTTGCTCTAACGCAAGTGCCACTTCAGCATCTAACCAGAAGCAGGAATAGAGAAAGCAGTCCTGATTTTTTTTTTTTTTTTTTTTTTGGGGGATGGAGGCTCACTCTGTTGCCCAAGCTGGAGTGTAGTGGTTGTGATCTCAGCTCACTGCAAGTTCCGCCTCCTGGGCTCCAGCCATTCTCCTGCCTCAGCCTCCCGAGTAGCTGGGACTACAGGCGCCCACCACCATGCCCGGCTAATTTTTCTGTATTTTTACAGACGGGGTTTCACCATGTTAGCCAGGATGGTCTCGATCTCCTGACCTCATGATCCACCCGCCTCAGCCTCCCAAAGTGCTGGGACTACAGGAATGAGCCACCGTGCCCAATCAGCAGTCCTGATCTTCAGAGTGGGTGTCTGTAGGAATTGAAGGCCATGATCAAAGAGTAGTTCATGTTCCCAACCACAGGAGACAGAGGAGGTAGGGAAATGACAATAAAAAGTGCGCGACTGGACTGGGGAAACCAGAAAGCCCAAAGCAGCAGTGGGAACTGAGGGTAGAAGAGTCCTCAAAACACAGAGACAGGCAGTGAGGTTCACGGTGTAGGTGTGGGCAGGGGCCACAGAAGCAGTGGAGGAAAAGGGCACCAAGCCCTGAGAAGGGGCAGGGATCTGCAGAGCTCAGCTGCTAGGTGGGCTTCTCCGTGAATAATAAAATCTCCAAAGGGAAGACTTATATTGAGGACATATCTTGGTTTTATAGAAGACTTATATAAACAGAGATTCACGAACAGGGAAAGTTCTGGGAAGTCACACCAAAATGATAAAAGTAGTGAGTTCAGGGGAGGGGAAAGGCACTGAGGAGTGGAAATATAAAGTGGGACTTTGGCATTACATATGCTTGAACTTAAAAGAATGGATTCACATGATCACTTATAAATGAAAATTAAGGACAATTAAAAACAAAAAAATAAAATTGTGCCTGACAATGGAATATAGAATTCCTAAGTGAAATGTTACCAATGTCTGTGGGCCAACATCAGGGGGTAAAAGGTAGGCTAGCCAGTAGCTGTAGGAATGCTGGGAATGTATTAATCATACTTTTTATTTTCTGTATCTCGCAGTGTTTTGAAATCTTAAAAATCCTGCTGGCTGGGGAGAGACTGCCCTCCCAGGGCTGGCTAATTCCTAAAGACAGTAAACCTCTTACCTGGAAGCACACTTGTCATATGCAACCTAACCACCTCCTGCCCTAAATTGTCCCAGGGCCAGCTACCAGGCAACTAGGGACCACCCCTATAGCCCAGAGCCCACCAGAATTACTCAAACTAGCCACTCCTAAAGTGTTTCCTCAGCCCTGCCTTGCCTTTCTGAAAAAAACCCTAACAAAGGCTCTGGAGCCTAGGCGCTCCGTCTGCCACTCCTTCAGCTTCTGTCTCCTAACCACCCTGGTGCTTCCCCAGTAGTCCTGTGTAGCACGGTGTGCCCCTCCTCTCGGGAAATGGAAGTAACAAATTCTTCTTTCAATGGCATTAGCCTCTCTGCATCATCACTCAGTCATTAGTAAATTTCATGGGTACAAAGGAGACAGGGAACTTTGGAAGAAGAAGGGTTTTTGGATGAAGATGGAGGAATAATGGTTGAAAGTGACAATGGCAAGCTAAGACAGTTAACTTTACCTTCCAAGCCTGTGGTATACTGAGTATGGCAGGGACAAACTGGCTCTAGTAACAGAATGGCAAGAAAAGGGGTATCTTGCCAGAAGGTAATGAGTGGGTTAAGAAAGGAAGAGGTGACTCAGGGAAGCTTAAGTATGAAAGAGTTCCAGAGGACACGGCTGGAAGAATCAACAAAAAAGCAGGGTAAGTGCTGGGAGCAGCTGTGGAAACAAAGTACAAGGTTTAAAGACAGCATGGATGGAGATGGAGGAGAGACTGGACAGTTACTGAGAGCACTTGGAGTCAGGGTGACTTCTAGAACTGAGTGAAGACAGGAATAGCTCCATGTGCCGGGAGGCTGAAGTGCAGAGAGTAACAAGACTCAGACTTAACACGCAACTCTAAACCCATACCACCACCTAGCTTTAAATACGGTTTCCGTTCACTTTTGGGAAAAAAAAAACTGTTTACAAATGTTGAATGAAACCTTCCCAATTTTTTAAGAATAAGTAAGAAATATTCTAACTTATTTATTGCGAAGATTATCAACCATTTACTTATATTTCCAGCACTTATCTCGTGTGTCACACAATTGTAAGCAATGCTAAAAACGGTTTTACAAGTGAGAGGAAGCTAATAAAAAGAAAAACTCCATAAAATTAACTGATATTCAAGAATCTCAAAGCAACTCTTTTGAGTACAAGATAAGCTAGATACTAACCAATTCCAACAGAGGCAGCACATTTCGTCTGGTCTTTGATTTCCATACGAACAGCATTTGCAAATTCATCAGGAGTAAGTTTGGTCTCTGCAAGGATTTCGGTAATGTCTACCAGCGCTTCATCACAACTGACAGCTTCAATGTTATGAGTGTAGCTATCAACACAGAGCAAAGGCAACGAATCACAGCCACAGCCACCATCTGGTAGACCCAATGTTGCAAAATAGTCTTCTTATCCTCTCTTTTTTCTATTTCCTCACAAAGCATTTTAAATGAATTGGCTGAAGTACCATTTTAGTCACCCAACTTTTAACTGCAAAGTTAATTAGTGTGTTCTCTTTCTCCTTATTAACTACCAAAATACAGCATATTGGATAGGAAAATGTTTGAGGAGTAAAATAACCAACAAAAAAAATTTAAACACAAAAAAACAAAAACACAGCATAAATTATTATTTCAGTTTCTCTATACTGACAATACTTCTATAAACCTTTGAAGAGTTGAAAACCGGTGGGTGAATTTGAACTGTCAAAACATTTAATCTAATGGTTTATGAGAATCCTTTAAGGAACAGAAAAATTAGACAAATCAGTAATTGCTACTCTCCTAAAACCAAAATATCACAGTTAAATTCCACTCACTGTAGCAGGCCTAGAATACAGAAGGAAAAAGTGGCCAGTCATCCCAACTGCTTGTCTGAGAATAGTTATCTACACTCTCTGCATGTGGACATACTTTTTAAAAAATCATCTCATAGGATCTATCCACAAAAAGGATTTGTTTTAATTAGAGAAAAGAAAAAGGAAGACAAGAGTTGCTATGTGGCCCCCATGCTAATACGAGGACTAAGAAATCACAAAATAGAACTGGACCAGAAATGGGAGGAAACTTTCCCAAGAGGCCTCAGGATCAAAACTATGTCTTTCATAATCCACTTGGTAATGTAGACTAGGAGGGCGGTCCTCATCTCTCACCTACACCTTACTGTAGGTAGGTTACAATCAGATTAAGATCTCTATTAAAGAAATAATCTATTAAAGAAATAAGTATGTTTTGTTTAGGCTTAAAGTATGACATTTTTAAGAACAGAAGGGTATATCTGGTATGAGGTATTTTGCTTCAGAGTGAAAGCTGCCCTGAGACAGGGAGAATATGAAGCTGAGATAGGATTTCCCAAGGGTGGTAGAAGAACACTACTGTGGATATTTTTCCCCTAAGAATAGAAACATGCCACTGAAACTGTCTCCAGCCTTCTACTGGGACCGTGTGCATGTGACTGTGTAGGAGTATAGGTCACAGCTCTCTCTCACATCCTCATAACCTCAGGCACAGGCTGATGCTTGCTCTAGGGCTTCAATACCCAGGACACAGGAGCACCACAGTACTGACCTCAGTCACCCATCCCTATCTAGCCCTCGTTTGGATGCTACCACTGACTTCCTCCTTTCAAAGAGGATTTAAAGCACGTTCCACTTGACAATACCAACATTCCTGTATTTGGGATTTATTTATTTAGTTACCCAACTTATAACTGGAAAGTTAATTAGTGTGTTCTCTTTGTGTTAATAGAATAGCTATAATAAGTGTCTTATCATTCAGCACTCACTCCTACATAATGACGCCAGGAAATAATCAGTTCCTTCACATTTTCTCTCTCTCTCCTACTAAAGCAAGCTCCCACAAGGGCAAGGATTAGATATTCCCTTCTGGACTAGCAGCATCTAGCAGTCACCTGTACTTAGCAGATACTGGTGTTCAAATTAACGCATAAAAAGGAAGAGGCAGAGGTGAAAACAGAGGCAAGAAGTCTATCTCTTGGAACATTAATACTGCCCAGGAGTTGACAAACCTTGGCCTAACATCCAGTAAATGCATTTTTACTGGAACTACACCAAGCCCATTCATATACATTCCCCGTGGCTGCTTTCCATTCACAACGCAGAACTGAGAACTTCTGTTGAGTGACAGAAACTTTATCTGGCTCCCTTCAGAAAACTATGCTGACCCCTGGTTTACAGCATAATAGGCTGGTTATACTTTTAAGAAATTTGAGTCCTGAGTTAATATGGAATATATCTACACTTTTAAATATTTTTAAATACATCTACAATTTTAAATATTTTTAAAATTAATCACCTTTTCTCAAGCCAACTCATCAACCATTTTGAAACTATTATTAAAGACCCACTTTTATGAAAACTAACTTTTGGCATATCCAATGATTTTAAGAAGATAAAGGTTTTAAAGTGTCTCCACTTGTTATCAACCCATCAGTTCTAATTTTGAACAAAACTATAATTAAAATGAAATAAAAGAGAAAAACCAGGTTAAAAAATTCCATCCTTCATCTATCTGGCTCCATGGGAAGAAAACCAGAACCACAGACTAGAAGTAATATAAGCAAATAATCAGATCTTACATCAACCAAGGAAGCACATGAACAATTTTGGCAATACAAAACTATCCTTTGAGATTGAGCTACCTGGAAATTGCCCAAAGAAAGGTCTCAAACTGGGATGCTGAGGAGTGGTTCCTGGAAGATAAAATTCTAACAAAAGTGATCCTGACAATCCTAAAGAAAACTTGAACTGTCTTTACTATTAGCTAAAAGAAGGAAAACACAGACACAAAATGACAGTTTGATACACTGTACCTTGCCAATGTTTCATACAATGTTTGTGCGACTTCCTTATATGCATGAAAATCGTATGGAACAGCTTGAAGATTAGGACATAGTTGTTTAGCATGCCCAAAAAACATTCCGTTCTTAATGCCAAGTTGCCTAGAGCGAGAACAAAACACAATGGAGGTTATTCTAGGAAGTTTTCAACTCAAATATTTATCAAATATGTTGATATCTCCCCATGCCACTAATTTATAATTTCCACTTAACTCCATTCTCATTAGGGATTAAAGATAGGCATTAAAATTTACAGCCTTGTTTTCCCCCAAAAGTCACAACTGTCTGAATAGTGTAAATGACACATGTAGATGTGCCAACTATGTCATTAAAATACCAGGTTTGGCTCTTGTATCTGAAGCTTTCTCCTAAAACTCATACCTCTGGCCCCTTTGCAGAGATGCCAGCATGCCATATGCTGGTGATATCACAACCACCACAGAGCAGGAATATGCTGTCAAAAAGAGGTTTTCTTCCCCTAATACAAGGCACAGTTTGGCCAGGGTTCATCCCCCAAAGACAAAGAATATAAACAAAAGAACTACACAAAACAGTGCTATGTGACAAACAGACAAAATGTACTCATCCTATTACCACCCAATTCCCAATTGACCAATTCCATGCTCCTGAAGTGGCTCCACAGTGGTTGAGATGCCAACAGCATTGTACATGGTAGGACATCACTCTGGGCAGGAGCCAGGGTTCCAGAACTTTGAGGGACCTAATTGAAAATGGTAAATTTTAAATCTGTGTGTCTCAGTGCCCCACATTACCTTTGACATTTGGAGCATTCACCACAAAACTATAATTATGGAATTATACATAATTAGTAAAATTCTATTTTATCACTCTGTAAAGAATCAAGAAAAAAAATTATAGTAAAAACAAGCAAAATAATAAAGCAATGTTTCACCAAATTACATATTATATAATAGGATAATGGTTATTCTATATATATGTTCAATAAATATTTACTACACAGCATGGAGACGTGCCTTGTTTTAAGAAACGTATATACAAACAGTTGCCAATTACTCATAGGCCTCTGGCACCCTCCCAACATCCAGACCATGAGAGCCAAGAAGAAAGAGTCCTCCAAGTTACTCAGCAGTAGATGCAAAATCACATGCATTTTTATGTTTATAAAAATAGTAATATTATAAATGGTCTCAGTGCTAAGTCCCTAGTAGATAAGAAATACCTAAGAGGAAGGAAAATGACAGAGTTGTAAAGAAAACAATTCTTGATGTGTCGAGGACTTAGCGAGGTGCTGGGTATAGGATGGCAAATAAAGCAAACTCCATGACCTCCATGGGGACAACCTTGCACTTGCCTAGAAAAGGATGACCTATGGTCAACAGGCTTTGTCCACTAATGAAGAAAGTAGATACCTAACAGTTTAGACATATATGTAGAAACATAAAATAGTTTAGAAACTTTATCAGAAAGCAGAAAAAAGGTCTGGTGTTGAAAAGGGTAAATTTCAGGTAATAATTATGCCAGATATATAGATTCAGCATGTAAAAGCTGAGTTTACAAATTAAAGATAACACATTTTTTAAAAATGTGTTTATAAGGCCGGGCACAGTGGCTCATGCCTGTAATCCCAGCACTTTGGGAGGCCGAGGCAGGCAGATCACCTGAGAGGGGGAGTTCGAGACCACCCTGACCAGCATGGAGAAACCCTGTCTCTACTAAAAATTAAAAATTAGCGAGAAGTGGTGGCGCATGCCTGTAATCCCAGCTACTTGGGAGGCTGAGGCAGGATAATCGCTTGAACCTGGAGGGTGGAGGTTGCAGTGAGCCGAGATCGCGCCATTACACTCCAGCCTGGGCAACAAGAGCGAAACTCCATCTCAAAAAAAGAAACCCAAATATGTTTATAGTCCAGGCGCGGTGGTACACATCTGTAATCCCAGCACTTTGGGAGGCCGAGGTGGATGGATCACCTGAGGTCAGGAGTTGAGACCAGCCTGGCCAACATGGTGAAACCCTGTCTCTACTAAAAATACAAAAAAATTAGCCGGGCATGGTGGCACACTCCTGCAATCCCAGCTACTCGGGAGGCTGAGGCAGGAGAATCGCTTGAACCTGGGAGGTGGAGGTTGCAGCGAGCCAAGATCGTGCCATTGCACCTCAGCCTGGGCAACAAGAGCGAAATTCTATCTCAAAAAAAAAAAAAAAATGTGTTTATAATCCCTATAAATATCATGTTCTTATATTTACAATATTTTCATTTTCAAAACATTAATTTACACAAAAATTTTCCGAAGCACATTACTTAGTAAAATATAGTACATCTACTTATGTACTCATGTAAAATGTACCCAGAGAAAACTGTTTAAGAGCCATTAGACACTATAAGGAAGTTACAAACAAAAAACGAAAACCTTTTTCCTTTGGTTTGCCTTAGGTTTGCCATACTAAGGGAAGCCAAATACCTTGAGTTGATGGCTGGGAAATGAGCTTTGTTCCATAGAAAATAAATGAGTAAAGACAATTACAAAAAAGTCCAAAGTGTCTCAAAGTGTCTCTTCATTACCGTGACTCATCTATTACAACTAAAATCCCATACAGGATAAATTACCAAAACTTCGTTAAGTGTATGCTGCAAAAACAGCTTATTCCTACATTTAAAGCACAGAGGACATATTCTGTCTGGCAATATGCTTTGTTCAGACAGTTGTATTTGGTGTTGGATTCAACAATATTAAAAAATTGCTGGCCGGGTGCGGTGGCTCACTCCTGTAATCCCAGCACTTTTGGGAGGCCAAGGCGAGCGGGTCACGAGGTCAGGAGTTCAAGACCAGCCTGGCCAACATGGTGAAACCCCATCTCTACTAAAAATACAAAAATTAGCCAGGCGTGGTGGCGGGAGCAGTAATCCCAGCTACTCGGGAGGCTGAGGCAGGAGAACGGCTTCAACCTGGGAGGCAGGGGTTGCAGTGAGCCGAGATAGCACCACTGCACTCCAGCCTGGGCAAAAGAGCAAGACTTCATCTCTGGGGGAAAAAAATTGCCATCAAACCACTGTCACTGTCCATTCTACATACTAAAATACATCCATAAAGTAAGAAAGGTAGTGGGTCCTTACAAAAGCACAAGAAAATGGGGTTTAGAAATTATATGACTTTAAAGATCTGTGATTCTAGGATATCTGTGTATCGTTACCTATTCATGTACAATCTACCTTCTCACTGATTCCATATAAAGTTTGCTCTCTACTGTAAGTATAGGCCAACTACTAACAGCAGTGCAAACTGTGACCCACATATACACATTCTACTTTGTATTTCTACCATTTCATATTCACATTCTATCCTTTGCTGGCCCCATTATTAAGCTATGTATAGTGAAAACTCACCAGTGCATCAAACTGAGCAGATCATCCCCACAATCTAGTCCCCACTCCAAACTCAGTAACATTTCTCTTATGCAAATTGTTAAAAAAATTTTCCTCAGATAAGGAAAATATAACCTGTTGGATGGCCACAAAACAAGTATCCAGAAACTATTTTCTAGAAACTTTCACTAGGAATAGCCTTCTAGAAAACAGAAAATCACAATTAAGGGACAAAAATCTTACGGCTGCATTTTTTTTTTCTTCAAGTTAAATTCATTTTCATCACTTTATGTATCTTCTTAAACATCTGCACTTAAGTGGCACTTGAATGGCTCACTATATAGTATTCTGTCCTCATATAGTCACCCCAATTATTTTGCAAGGCATGAAGCTTGACCAAATTTATAAAGGTAAATTTATATTTACCGTGGGTAAATATAAATGCACCATCCAAACACCCAACAGAAGCCTAGTGCCTACACACAATTGTGGCTCCTGGAGTCCAAAGCCACCAGAGCTGGTGACACTTTCACCTGGAGGCAGCCCTGCTCCCCAGCCAGCATTCATCTTGGTGGGGGACTGGGTATGAAGGTATAAAGGGAGAGACCCTGCAGAGGCAGCCTTAGCAAGGGTAAACGGAGCTCGCATTTTACCAACTAGCGAAATTCAAGGACTGGGAATATTTCTGGGCTTCATCACACCCTCCAGATACTGCACATAACTGTCTAGCCATCTGAAGTCCAGGCCACCATTCATTAACTTAGTAGAGAAAAAGAGACTAGCCTACTGAGCACAACATAAACTCAGCTCTAGAGTGCCTGTGGTAATAAAAAGCAGTATAACAATTCAAAACGTATTTGTATTTGACTTAATTATCATTTAAAGTAAGTTTCAATTCCTTGGCCACAGCATCAAGTGACAATGAAAACCATTAAAACATAATTCTGTTAATGAGAAAGGCAAAGTTAGCTGGGGAGGAAAAGTTTGGCATGTCATGAATGGAAAACAGTTTAAAATATAAGCATGCACGTTTGAACTTAATGCTTTTTAACTTAAATATACTTTAAATAAAATAATTAGCAAATTTAAAAAAAACTATTATGATTAGACGATGCTGAGCTCAAATATTTTTTCTTCAGATTAGATGCCTGAATAGCCACAACTCTGAATCAAGACTAAAAAGATGTAACTAGGCCAGGCACAGTGGCTCACGCCTGTAATCCCAGCACTTTGGGAGGCTGAGGCGGATGGATCACGAGGTCAGTTAGCCATCCTGGCTAACACGGTGAAATCCTGCCTCTACTAAAAAAATACAAAAAAATTAGCCGGGTGTGGTGGCGAGCACCTGTAGTCCCAGCTACTCGGGAGGCTGAGGCAGGAGAATGGCATGAACCTGGGAGGTGGAGCTTGCAGTGAGCCAAGATGGTGCCACTGCACTCCAGCCTGGGTGACAGAGCGAGACTCCGTCTCAAAAAAAAAAAAAAAAAAAAAGATGTAACTGATCTAAGACTCTGTTTCGATTTGAAATTATTGAATACTTTAACACTTGCCAGCAATGTGTAAGGGCTTGCTGTGTGATATAGGTAAAAATGTCTGTGTTTGGTTGACAAGGAAAAAAAAATGAAGACTTCTCTTTTTAATTATTACTCCCTCTACTTTTACAACTATTCCAATTATTTCAAAACGGTTTTTTAAATTATGAGGAAGATATATATATATGAGTGTGTGTGTGTTTCTTCCTATACTGAAACAGCCAATTATAATTATGGTTTCAGATCACTATAAGATAAAGACCTATACAAAAAGTTGGTGCTAACAAGTTGACAACACTCTTAACACTTTTAAGTGAAGAGATATTAAGAATGCCAATAATTCAATTATTTACTTATAATTGCATAGGCAAATGGGTTTTAACACTAAAAAAACTGAGTATCAGGAAGTATGGATTACAAGATTTTTTCTTAGCAATAAAAACAAAAGATTAGAGGGAATAAATATTAAAGTCCTCTTCCATTAAAAAAAAATCTAATTCTTTTATTTCACTCTTCAAAAGACAGTAAAAACGATGATCCCCAATTTCTTTTGGTTCCTACTACATGACCTATTGGTTCTCATCAGGGAACTAGTAAGCTGTTTGTTTAAAGTTATCTAGCACTGGTGGGGGGTTGTGGGGGGCATAGATGAGATGATTAAGGCTAAAACCTCATAACACGTCTGTAACATTTAAATCCACTTCAAAAGATTATAGTTCAAGAAATTATATAAAAATAATTAACCAAATTATTCATTAAGAATTGTAACACACAACTTCTACATACCTGGCCTCATAACTACAAGATGCAATTTCAGCCCTTGACAAAACAGAATCAATTCCATTTGCTTGCGCAGAATCTGGATTCTCCCACAATGATGAATCTGGTATATCTGCTTTAAAAATAAAAAAAAATTAATGGTTATATGTTATAAACTGATTTTCCCTCACTTTTTCAAGAAATTTGTTTTCCATTACTTTCATATAAAAATGTTCAGTAAATTCCAAATACAGTTATCTCTATTGGTATTATCTCCTTATCTAATAAAAGAAAACTCTAAAATGGTTCGCTTCCATTATATTCTTCATCAGCAGATAAAAACTTATAATAAATTCAAAGTGTCCTGGGAGGTTTGTTTTTTTTTTAAATACACCAGAAGATAAATATAAAATATCCTATAACACACAGTCCCTGGAGGTGGACATGGATGAGAAGTGATCAGGGAGATGAACTCCCTCTTATAACCTTAAAAGGACTGTACAGCTCTCGGTAGTGGGGAAAAGTTAACGAAAAATATAAATTTCTCTGAATATTCTTTGCTGTTTCCTAAAAGAACTATCTGTAAAACTTAAAGCTAACTAACGGGTACAACAAACATGAAATTCCTACCATCTATCTGATCAAACAATAATTTAGTAGGTCACAAAACATGAAGAGGTTTCATCCTAAATTCAAGCTTTTTCTTTTGTACACATGTCACATTATCCCCCGCTACAGGTAATTGTATTTTGGTTTAATAATGCATGTTCAATTAAAAACATTCAAGTGTGATCAGAGTATCGATGCTTTAGAGAACACAACTGGAGCCTAGTGTGGCTTACCAACATCTCTTAATATCCAAACCAAATTTACAACTTTACACAAGAAAACAAAACCACACACTCTGGAGAGCCTACTGGCTGCATGCCACTTTACTTCCTTTGCCACCTTTAGCTTCACTAGTAATTGAGAAATAAATTAAAACACAACTTCATCATAGGTCTCTTGGGATACTACTATTAGGTTCCAGGAAGAGTATGCTGTAAAAAAAAAAATCACATTCTAAAACCACAACCTCAGCCACATCTCTACTATTATAAACAAAAGTACCATGAGTAAAACAAACCCAAAATATATCACTTCAGCTATTCCAGACAAATCTATTTTGAGTGCACTGTAACAACACATAACTAAGAAACCCAGCATTTCTCTTTTGTTTATTTCAGACTCACTGTTCTGTGAAGTCAGCCACGTTAATGCACCACCAGGAAAACTGGCAAAGTCTCTGGCTTCATGGGCTTAAACAACTCTTCCTGGTTTGACCAATAATCATCAGCATCTTTCATCTAACTATGCAACCCATACAAGCATTTCTGGATTTCGGCAACCATATATACACAGCATAAATGCAAATCAAACTGACTAACATCTCGGGTCAAATCCTACTTGCTTCAAAACAGCAGAGTGTGTAATGTGAGCTAGTTTCTGACATATGAATAACGTATGCTAGCTATACTATTACAAATTAAAGACAGAATCCCAAGCAGATTACCCAGTGTTTCTGGAGGGTTTTAAAAGGGTAAATATAAATTTTAATAGTCCATTCATCTAAGCTGAAAAACTGTAAGAATTTCAGGACTGTCAGTATCACACTTCAACAGAGGGTGCTACTAGACCCCAAAAAAAGGAGTGCTGAAGCTTGAACAGCCACAACCAACTGTCTTTCCAAGGTGTAACCATGAGTTATGCCTTACAAGTTGGAGAATTACCTGACTTTGGTATCTGAAGGGCTAGTTATCTAAGATATTGTCTTGAAAATAACAGAAAACTTATGCTTGAGGAGAGAACAGTCTCTGTGGTCCATGCGCCCCCAGTGCCCTGGCCTGAGAGGCAGCACCATCGTGTTCCTCTCCATTGGGCTGGCTGACCTGTTCCACAGTGCAGCAGAGTGCGTGGGTCCCTCCACGAGCGGAGTGAGTTGCTTCATGTGAGATTCAGGGAAATGCAGGGACACACTGTCCTCACTGGAGGGCAAAGTAGAGAACTGCTCATCAAAACTTGACAAACTAGACGGGCACATGGAGAATGTGGAGGAACGGTTGGAGAAATCAGAGGCCAGGACCCAAGTCTGTGAAAAAGAAATCGCTGAGAATAAATCTATGACTAATACGATTTTTAAAACTGTTGTTCTTTAGAATGAAAACTGAAGTTGTCGATGGGATAGAAAACATCTGTATCCTGGAAATCCAGGAAGGGGTAAAAGGCCCCAACCATGAAATTTGGAGCATAAATTGTTCCAAACAATGAGATCATCAATGAGAAGTGTGACTACTGAGTACTGCTCAGGAAGCAGCCTCCAAAAGAAGTCATGGATGGATGAGATACCCTGGTTGCACGGGGCTAATTAAAGAGTTTTTGGATACGACAACTAAGAAACTAAAGTTTCAAAAAGGACTAAGGATGCTATTTGTCCTAATACTTTGTCTAGACATATAAGCCAAACATTAGAACTGATCTTTTTTTTTTCAAAGCTAGTGCACAGAAGCCAAAGATTCTAATTCCTAAACCGATCCTCAATATTTTTATATTTGGTGCCATGTCTGATAATGACCCAGAGAAAGAAAGATCAGGGAATAACAAGCAAAGAGGAACAAAAGCACTGAAAAAAGTTCTGAGCACAAGCTTAGTTGTAATCAAACTTTATAATAAAGGATAATCTATTCATTTTATATGTAGCAAATATTCTGGTGAGCTCCTAATACGTGAAAAGGCTTAGGATATAAAAGTAAATGACATCAAGTTAAAGTAAGAGTATAAAATACAAACTGTCATATAATCTTTTTCTAGTGACGGGACAATCTCCTTTTGACAATTTTCAATGGCAAGTGAAATTTAAATATTTCTCCTAATATTACCTTCTGGTTTACCACCCACATTTAGATGTGAAGGGGATGTGATTATAGAAGGTCATTAAAATGTTATAAAAATTAGGTGACTAAACTGATGAAGACAAGTAACCAATGACAGTACTGTGTTAATAAGCCATTTATAGTAAGATTGTAACAGAAGAAAAGACAAAAGAGGACTAGCTCTCTGCTACTCCTAAGGAATGTGAGCTTGTCAAGGTTAAAATTTTAAATGTAGGCTGCCGATAAAAGGACGTGTGTAACAAGACTACCTACCAGAGAGACTCTGAGCACTGAAGATGCTACTGCAAGTATATACATGGTGGTTTTTCTTCTTTCAGCATTCTTTAGTATTTCATAAATGCCTAATATATGACAAGTATTGTGTACTTCCTTAAGCTATTTCTTATTTTCTAGAACTTAAGATTTCATCTGTTTAATAGCACACAGAAAATACAAAAAGAAAAACCAACCTACCACAAAAACCATACTACCAATACCTAAGAAACTACCTATACCATAATACAAGTAAATCTCAACAAGTTCAGTAACAGCTACTCCACATCTACTCATGACACACAAAATTCTAGAATCTCAAAAATCTCTGAAAAGATTTAAAGACCAAGAAAACCTTTATAAAACTTGGAAATAAATGTACACACAAAGCATAAATATGTATCTGCAATTATGTTATTTCATACTTAAGACCACATAAACAGATGATCAAAACCAACAAAAAGACTATAATCCCAAAAAAGGTCCTCAGAGATGTTCGCTGGCTTTCCTTTTGCCTTAATTTCATTGGAGTCATTGTGACAAGCCCAACGTTTTATAACTGACAAGGGCACTGAAATAACTGCAATAAAACTAAACTGCATGCTTTCCATTTCACTGTATATCTAACTTCTGACTACTTTCTGGGTAATATATTTCTGAGAAACTAATTTTAAAAATTCTCTTTGGCTTTGCAAAACAACCATGAGAAAACTAATCAGTTACCAAAAAAAATTTAATTTCTAAGAAAACATTTCTCAGTGAATTTACTCAGGGGAAAAAAGCAATAGACACATGAAAATCTTAATAAGTATTATGACTAGTACAACTTATGATTTTGCTTATTAATATCCAAAATTAAAAAGTCAAGAGAGGCAACAAGGTTATTTCTCATAACAGGTTCACTAAAGCATATGGAGAATGATTACTGGTGTTTACTTTTAATTCCAATAAATTAAAAGTTCTACTGTTTGTTATTCTACTTCCTCATACAAATCTTGAGCAAGACAAACTTTAACATTCTTACTGTGATACAATAACCAGTAATTAACTCTCACAATAGAAAGAGGCTTCTTTAAATTCTGCCCATGATTTTTATCCCCAATCTAAATTTATACAAAGCAAATCAATCATATCTTGTAAAACATTCTTCACTCTCTACTTCAGGAAAATATCACCCTCCAATTCAACAAAACCTAACAGTGACATCCTTAAAACCCCTGAATGAAAAAGCTAATTGCTACAACTCTGCACTCATTTCTATTAACAACCATGCCAAATAGCAAAATCCAGAAGCCATCCACAGGAGCACTAAGACTTCAAAGAGAGCTCATTTGTACCTGCTTTGCCTTTCAGGATTTTATTCTGGTAATACTGCCACTCCAGCTGGGGGTTAGCGCCAGGACGTAAAGGTGCCCTTCCTGTGCCTCTGTTACTTGTAACAGCCACTGGTTTTCCTGTGAGGAAAATATTAAATTATTTCTGTATGTGGTACAGGAATGTTAACAACATGTAAGCAAAAATTTTTCAAAGGATTTTAAAAACATGCCTTTTTTTTCTTTAGCTTTACTTAGACATTAATCCTTAAAGAAGCTAATACTTTAAAGATTATCAATCACCATGTAAATGTCATTTAAGTTTCTTAGCACCTCCAGAAAAGCCAATTATTTGTGACCATTTTGATACATTTATTCAACCTGAAAGCAGCAGTCAACTCAGCCTTCCATGGTTTTTGTTTGATTTCGTACTGTAGGAAAGAGGCAACTCAAGAGTCTAGATTCAGACTTAAGTAGTGGGGAAAGAAAAACTAAATTTTTTTTTGTATTTCTAGAGTTAACATCTATACTTATCTCTCAATTTTACGCAACAGAAACTAAATACATATGCATAGGAATCACAATCTGACCTACCACATTATCAAACATGAGCATACAGCCCCTCAATTTTTGCTTTAGTATAAACTTACTTTCCTGTATCATTTCCTTTTGTATGCATGTTAAGTTACAAGATTACTATAAATTTGTAAAGCAATAGCAGGGATAAATATATATTTACTTAATGCATTATTCTGAGGACCAAGAAATAAAATCAACAATGCATTAAAAAGCTACTCTATGAAAATCAATTATTTAACATTCTAAAAACTCCTTTCAGAGCTGAGGAACTACTACCCATGACAAAAATAAAGTCCTGGTTTTAACACAGCAGCTTCTGTGCCATAGTGATTCCTTATTTAAGGGAAGAATTGATTCTCAGAAGAAAACACTAAGTTATCTCTTTCAGACAGAGGTAAACACTGAAAAACCCAGAATGTATGCTTTTTAAAATACTGACTAGTTCACAAATATCTGCAATTTCACTAAGACAAAGACTGTCCAGACGACTTAACACATTTTAGCAATATTCAATAATGCAAAACTATCCTACAATCAAAAAGTTGGGATGTTCATGGGCATCAGGACAGTTAATCAAGTTATTTGCTCAAGAGAAAGCATAGTGACCCAAGTCTCAAAGACAAGAGCCACCATAAAATTTCCATTCATTAACAAGGAATAAATACAGATAAAAATTTAGAAAATGCCCAATACAGATCCTGCCTACATTAGTCTTCGATGACATATCCTTCAGCTGAAGATGAATATTCTTCCCTGAAGATCCCTATAGGGAGAAAGAAAAACTCTAATTTCCCTATACCTTCCCTGATAATCGAATATAGAAAATTTGGAAGAACCGATTTTCCCAAGGAAAATCATAATTTTTTAAAAAAAGATTTTGTAATCTCTTTGAATATATATTTATAACAATATATCAGTTTTCTTAAAACATAAGCAAGAATACAGACCTTTGAGATCTGGTCTATTTCGTATACCCACTGATACAAAGAAGCAATCCATATCAACATGCATTATACAGCTCTGATGTCTGGGAGAATTCAATACTGACATATCTCCTAGAAGGAAAAAGACAGCATTCAAACCCCAAGCTAATTTTTACTATTTAAAACATCAGGTCTAGTTAATTTTAGAAATTATATTTAAAACATGCTTACACCCAGAATGGAGTCTTTTTAAAAAACCAGAATTGAGTACAGATTATTTCTATCACCTCAAGAGAAGCCAAATTTAATTAAGTCTCTAATTAGTCAAAAAGTGCATCTTAAAATTATTTCACTGTGCTGATTATTTTATAAAAATACAAAGGTGTTGGCATACATTTAGTTACATGAAGCTAAGTAAAACTTTTTTTGATGATCACTATTCCATGCAATCTACAAACGCGCCTGGATAAAATAACAACAATAAAAGTGACTACTATTATCCAGTGCTTGGTAGGTGTCAGGCACTGCTGTTAAGAGGTTTATGTGTATGTATTTATTTAAATTCTCACAACTATGAGGTAGGTAATCGTATCATCTCCATCTTGTAGACTAAAAGTTTAAGTCACATAGCCTATTATTAAATGGTTGAGCTGTGATTCTGTCTCAAGCAGTCTGATTTCAGAGCCTTTAAACTACCATGTTGCTGTTCTAAGTACTTAAAAACAGTCTATAAAATGTAAATCTGTACATTTTTATCCTTATGCCATTAAATACTATTAAAGATCAGAGCTGAATGACATATACCACATTTAAGGAGATAAAGGTGAGTGTCCTCACCTAAGGACAAAAGCTTCTAATCATCCTGAGCTACAAAGAGATTCATCAGGGTCATTTTAACCCTAATCCAGGCACAAGCAGAGCTTTCCTCTATTATCAGTCTCATCCTTAGCCTGTTCGTCTGGTCCTCTAAGATACACAAATCCTGGAAAAAGAACCCTGGGCTTGTAAAAAGTTCTGATCTCATAAAGGAGTTTTTCTCAGGCTTAAAAATATTAGTACTGAGGGTCAGTCTTTATAATAGGCTTCCAAAAACAGATATCCCCTAACAGTTTTGGACCACTCCATTTACCAAACTGTGACTGTGATAGCATGTACCTAATTCTCCCCCAACTTTTTTTTTGTTTTTTTTTTTTTTTTGAGATAGGGTCTCACTCTGCTGCCCAGTCTGGAGTGCAGTGGTGCGATCTGCAACCTCAACCCCTAGGGCTCAAACAATCCTCCCGCCTCAGCCTCCCAAGTAGCTGAGACCGCAGGTGCGTGCCACCACGCCCAGCTAATTTTTTTTTTCTTTTTGGTAGAGACACGGTCTCACTGTGTTGCCCAGGTTGGTCTTGCACTCCTGGGCTCAAGCAATCCTCCCGCCTCGGCCTCCGAAAGTGTGCGAATTACAGGCATGAGCCACTGTGCCCAGCCTGCTCATGTATTCTTAAGCTCACAACCCCATGAGGCAAACATCATGGACTATCTATCACTTCTATTCACAAAGAAAACTAAGACTCGGAGAGGTGAACTAACTTGCCCATAGTCCTGCAGCCTAAGAGTGGCAGAGTAAGGATTTAGATTCATGCTAAACTATCTAACTCCAAAGCCAGATACTTCCTTACTACCCTCTATATTATCTCAAGAAATGATTCATAAAATAATCTTAATCACAATTCTGCTGTATAAAAGTATTTTTCAAAATATCATATAAACATAATGCAAACAACTCAAAATAACGCTTTTAAACATTCAAGTAGTACAGAATGCATAAGCCAGTATCTACCAAATGCTTTCATACAATAACAAAATTTCTCATTTTATTCCCATTCACAGAACTAATTAATCATAGTTCTTAGAAGCATTAAGAATTAAATAACCTTCAGGTAACAAGGCCAAGACATGATGTAAGGATAATCTAGTATCTATATTATTCTGAAATATTTCATAAATACCAAAAAGCATTTTTTGACTAAAAGCACATAGGAATACATCAAACTCAGTAAAACATAACAGAAAACACCCCACATAGAGTCTCTATCACTTTCTAGGACAGAACCATGAGCTTCTCTCTATACCTCAGTTTCCACAGCTATAAATTATAGAGTATTAATCTCTGAGGTCTCTCCCCATAAAAAAATCCTATAATCTGTAAAAGGAACTAAAATTTCAAACCAGATACTAATTTATAATGACTGGCCCAGAAAAACAGTATGCTACTGTGTGTGCATTTGTTTTTGATGACAAGAAAAGTATTAAAAAACAAAATACAATGAACCAATGTACTTAAGATGTGAAATAATCTCACTGAAAGTTTACCACTGTTAATTACAACAGCTCTATGTCAAAATTAAAAAATCATTATGATGCAAGCTTCTAGAAATTAACAATTACTCTTATCAAACCAATTTCATTCTTACAGGAGTTTAAGCACTGGATAGATGTTATATTAACACAGTTCAAAACTTCACCAACTGATAAGGTCTACGTGAGGAATGAATGCTCAGAATCCCAACCATCTTACTGTTTAAATTCTCTGAAAATTTTCAGTCAGCCACAATTATATCTAATTGTTTTAAAAATATTTTAATAAATTAGCTTTCTATGTTATGCTTACTGTAACTTACATGATTTGACATACTTAGAGACTTTTATGAGAACTTCATATTGACCAGAAATACCAATAATAGCATAAGAGCAAAATGATCAAGCATGACTGTTTCTTAAGAAGACAATTTTAATAAGTATCTACCTGTGTCAGTTACAACAAGTGCAGACCTGCCTGTTTTCATTTTTTTTAACTTTTCCCTTCCTGGAAAGATACCATTACTTTGTCTTTGTAGGGTATTGACAAACTCAGTCAATTCACACTTCCACATTGATATGTGATGCAGTCTTGAATGAGAATAGAAGTTTGAAATAAAATTGCAGTCTGAAGGTTTGGATGGCACTGAAGGTGCTGCCTTGCTAAACGTAGATACTGAAGAAGTGCTTTTTGTGCTTGAAGGCCCCTGAACAGTGGAGTGGTGAGCACCATTGATTTTAGTGTTACTGTGCAAAGGTGATAATGAGAAAGAATTAGTTCTGTGTGGATTCCGCAAAGCATCTGTGTTTCTGGTGCTTTGCTGCAACTGCTGCAGAGTGCAGTCTCTGAAATCAGTGCTGCTCTTCTCAGCCTTATCCTCCTCCTGGGAAAAGGCTGGAGAAAGCCTGCTGGCAACACTGTTGACCATGGGCACCAAGCAATCCTGTGTCTTTAAGGCACCATTAGAGCTAGGAGTGTGTCCATTAAAAATGGCAGTGCTCCCTCTGGGATGCGGAATTCCATTCTGTTTCCTTCCCGGAGAGGTCTGCTCCAGATCCACAAAACTAAAATCATTATTTTCATCTTCTTCATTCCAACTGTTCATGCCATTGACTTTGACTTCATTTTCCGTTTCAATCTTCTTAACGATGTGATTTCTAAAGCAGGAAAAAATTTTTGAGTTAATAATATCTGACTTTTAGGTTAAAACAATTTTTTCATTTCATCATTTTCTTAGTGGTACACAGTTTGGTATTTCCCCCTTTAAAAACAGAAAATTCTTATATTGAATATTGACAATGAAAAAAAAAAACCCTGAAACTTAAACCACAAACTTTATATTCTGATTTGACAAAAGATCATTCTTTGCAAAAGTAGCAAGATAACTAGAAAAATTCTAGAATATTAACAGCCCTTTAGGTGTTTTTTGTTTGTTTTTTATTTTCACTTCAGATAGTCCCAAAGAAGAAATAAAATAGAACATTTCTCATGGCTGAAGAAAAACCCAAAAAACTTTTCAGTTATTTTTCCCATAAAAAATTAATTGGAATCTATAAGCTGTAAATACCCAGTTCTGAAGCACAGTGCTTGGCATTTACTACATGGTCAATAAATATCTGCTGAATTAATATACTACAAATAACTTTCATAAAAATGGATTTAAAAACCTTACTTGAATTCTTATTCCTAGTTTTAGTTTTTATGAAAGGTACTATTCAACACATTAAATCTAATACGAAACCAGATGGTTTCAGTAGGAAAAAAACTGACTATATTGATTAACCTATTAATGAGCTAACTGTTGCACAAATAGACAAAAAGTAAAGCCATGTCAATGTGTGGGGGTAATTCAGTAAAATTTACACCTAGAAAAATAAGGACGCTTGCCTTACTGAGAAGGGAAATTGCACTTCATTTCTAAGAAATGCATATTTAGATGCCAGGGTGGTACAAGGCAATCTGGACCAAGTTTCCTGATGACAGCTTTATAAATGCAGAACCCATGACAAATGTTATGCTAAAGTCACATCCTGGCTCCTCTAGACGTTTGTTTAGAAATGCATTCACGAGAATCATCTAAGTAACAAAAACAAAAACCTGAATTACAAAGCAGTAATTCATTCTACTTAGGAATGTCCAAATGTCCATAGCATTAATTCAATTACAGCGCAGGCTCCAGATGAAGGGCTGCCCTACAGAGTAGTAAGCCACAGGTGAAATTACCACAGTATTATCAGGTTCCACCTAAAGCCCCTCACCCTAATACCAACTTGGTTTATTAGTAATGAGAGCCTGACTACACAGAAAAGTCCCACAAGCTGGATGATCACCCATTTCTGGGTTAGCTCAGGCTCTGGCTAAACATCATATGGAATGTGACAGGCAACTGTGAGTAGATGCCATGCTCACAGATGATCATGCCAGTGATGGGGAAAAAGACAAAGTAGATATGATTAAAAGAAGAAAAAAAGAAAACCTAATTTGTCACATGCAGAGAAAGTTCAGCCTCTTGAGATAAACAGAATGCAAGGGAGCAAGAAGTCACAGATGAGCATTTCAAAGAAATGTACAAAATGTACTGAATATACCCCCCAAAAAAACCCCAGAAAACAACAAAAGTGATGTACGTCAGAAAGTCTTACATCTAGTTTTGTGTCAAAAACATTCAGACCCTTTACATGCATTATAGCAACACATGCAACAGAAAGCCATATATTGGCAGGAAAATACATTGTTAACATACATTCTTGCTGTACTATAGTTTCTCAGCCTAGACAAATGGACATTTGCAAAGTAGCTGTACTGGAAATATCACGGGTAGAGATACATTTTTTAGGCAATGGCATAAATGTATTAAGAAGTAAAATCTAAAAGGTAATTTCTTCCTAAAGTGTCACAAAGAAGATTTTGAAAAAACATATCTATTTTCTACTTTTATTAATGTGGGTAAGAAAAGAAAGCTAAAGCTACGTATTCTGTGAAAAGGTTTTCTGGTATTATTTGCTATATACCTTGATAGCACATTAAAAAAAATTAAAAGCTACAGGTAACATGAAAAATATTTGAATATGCTTGTGAGTACAAGTTAAATTAACAAATGACAACAAAAATTACAGAAGGCAGTGATACTGGATCCTCTCAGATTAATTAGACTCCTGGTGTTTTCGAAAAAAAATATATCCAACTCCCAAAGCAAGCAATTTAATAAATAAAGAGAAGGCTAACCATAATGAACCACCTGATATACAAGGTAAGGCAACCCACCAATTAATTGTGAAACAATTTATCCAGGGTTGCAATTAAAAGCTTAAATTAAAAAAAAAAAGCAGCCACATGGAATAGTCTAGATTCACTTTCAATTCTATAACCAAGGGTCACCAACTAAACTTCCATTTATATATTTACATATTTAGAATGTTATGAATTTTGAATTTTTCAAAAATAACCCAGAAATATTAACATTTTCATTGTCTTTCTATGCATGGAACACAACAAAAATATAGCTGGTGCAGTTAGTTCCATTTTTGAGAAAGCAATACAGCAAATTACTTGTGAGGAAATAATTACTTTCATAAAAATCCATGAAAAAACTTATTAACAATTAAGATCCACTAGTTTAAGGTGAGAAACCAGTATGACTGTAAAAACTTACTTACATTTATGAAATTATCATTATAAAAATAATTCATTTTTAGATAAGACACTCATACACACATATTTCAACATGTTTATTATAAGTGAATGGCCAGGGTTTGTATCTGCTTCTGTCTGACTGTAACAGAGCAGGGGCCATGCTCACTGCTAAAAACCAGCTTTGTGGCCAGGCGTGGTGGCTCATGCCTGTAACCCCAGCACTTTGGGAGGCCAAGGAAGGTAGATCACAAGGCCAGGAGTTCGAGACCAGCCTGGCCAAGATGGTGAAACCCCGTCTCTACTAAAAATACAAAAATTAGCCAGGCGTGGTGGCACACGCCTGTAAGCCTAGCTACTCGGGAGGCTGAGGCAGGAGAATCACTTGAACCTGGGAGGCAGAGGTTGCAATGAGCCGAGATCATACCATTGCACTCCAGCCTCGGCAACAAGAGCAAAACTCCATCTCAAAAAAAAAAAAAAAAAAAAAAAACCAACCAGCTTTGCAGTAATCCCCAACTAGACAAACTTACACCCTGTTGTTGAGCTGTTTGGCTATATTGCTTGGACCTGGCAGAGGATCCTCAGGTCTGCATACAGGATTAAAGCTGAGACCTTTCTGCACACTGGACTGCTTGGTGTACAGCTGATATGGAATGTAGGAGAGGAGTCGTCCAGCTTTGATGCTGAAACAAAAAGCAACACCAATTTAGAGTTCCATACTTGGTGACAATGAGCTTCATGAAAAATATTCAATGTCCTTAAAGATACAGTATTTCACCAACAACAGGTCATCTGTTTTCCTAGTTTATTCCTTCTTGCTCGGTTTTAGTGGTCCTAATACAATATGATCTTAGAGTGGGGAAAAACTGCAAGCACAGAGCTGAACTAGTCAATATTTTAAACCTCATGACTTTAGTATTTACCACCCTGTCAACAGTTAACAGAGAATCATCAAGACTTCATCAAAATCTCATCTATTAAGGTTTTCCAAGATAAATAAACTGAATAAGGATGCTCAATTTCCAAATTCATGTCAGAAACTGTAAAATAAAAATATAGGACAAAATAAAGAATCTCAACTTCAAGAGTAATAATTTATACTATTTTTATGTATACAAGAATGGTTAAGAGCCAAGGCCATTTGAAGATATGAACTCTACAAGGGCCAAAACTACCATGTACATCCTCACAGCATATCACACAACACCACTCAAATCCAGGGGAACACCAGTGTTCTAACGCTAGGTGGTACTAGCACTGTAACTGAAGTTCCCAAATGTCTGCTTCCTTTTGTACTTCAGAACTAAAACTAATTTGATTGCAGTATCTAAAACTGACATTTTCTTGCTAATAAACTGAGTTATATATGGCTACTCTACCTTTAAAATTATCATTTCACTTCAAATTTAAAAATAACCAATCAATATACTTATGCTATCATCCAAATTTCAAAACAAGCTACTTTAATATTAGAAAATATTTCAAAACAACCTCTGGATTTTAAACCTAAAATATATACCAAGGAATCATCCCTCAGTTATTTAGAAAAAGACTGATAAATAACATGATAAAAATATGTTTCTTATTGTCTCATAAATCCAAGACTTGACATTTTCATTTTCTTAAATGGTGTCACACAAAACTTTTTAAAAAATAATCATTTAAGAAATGACTGAATTGGCTTACAGAATACTAATTAAAAATAACTGAGTCAACAACTTGGAATACAGGAAAACATACTAACAGATTCTAAAAACGGAACTATATATGATACAGAGTATGTCCTTTATATAATTATGTCAATATATATTTAACAATTCTACCTAAAGTACCTTAACCTATATCAAATGCTATAACTATTAAATTATGATGGTAAAGAACATACTATACTAGTCGCAAGACATGTAACCAAATGGATTTATGACCAGGCTAAATGTTTTACCAAAATTCAGGTTACATTCAAAATACATTCAAAATTTCAGGTTACATTCAAATATTAGAATCGAAACCCTAAAATTCGACTATTTTTTACTTTATTCTTCCTCAAACCAACTTTTCTTCCTTTTTTTTTTTTGAGACGGAGTCTCGCTCTGTCGCCCAGGCTGGAGTGCAGTGGCGCGATCTCGGCTTCACGCCATTCTCCTGCCTCAGCTTCCCGAGTAGCTGGGACTACAGGCGCCTGCCACCACGCCCGGCTAATTTTTTGTATTTTTTTAGTAGAGACGGGGTTTCACCGTGTTAGCCAGGATGGTCTCGATCTCCTGACCTCGTGATCCACCCGCCTCTGCCTCCCAAAGTGCTGGGATTACAGGTGTGAGCCACCGCGCCCAGCCCTTTTCTTCCTTTAATAGTTGGTCTCAATTGCCTAACTATAAATCTTTGTTCTGTGGTATTATGTATATCAAACTCACTTGCTTCCCCCACCAAAAGAAGTACAGCTACTTAATACCTGAAATAAAATCCTAACCTTAGCTTTCCATCCTTTATCATAGATAGCTATAACTAAGAGACAAGTAGAGAGTGAAACTACACCCACTGTGCCAGCTGCACATCTCAGGTAAAACCAAAAGTGCAAGGAACAAAACGCCCTATGATCATTCTCGCTTTTCCTGCCCTACTGACAGCATGCTGGAGTGATGCAGACTCTACAGGTACTCTCTATGGTCAGCACTGATCATATACAAGGGTGTCAGGCCTTATCCAGCTCCTAACAAGAGCCATGTGGCCACCCACAGAATTCTTAGGCTTACATAAGTCAGTCCATGGAGACTGCTACAAAATTAGACAGCCAATTTAAATACTGCAAGTCTCAAATCAGATATCCTCAGAGATACTCAATAAAAAGAATTAAAGCCCAATGCACTACAGTAATGTTAGTGAAGTAATGTCAGTTATAATTTGAAGCCTAAACCACTATCTATCAGTTGTATACTCCTAACTACCCCTGCTTGCCCATTTATCTATCTATAGATATATAGACAGAAACATTATCTGAAAGCATATTTGTATAAGACCTTTTTAAAAATCTCTCTGGGATTAATTTCTCACATTTACTATTTCCCCTCTTGTTCTAAGCGCAAAGGAACTGTACTGACATTTTCTACTATTCTTTCAAAACCAAAAGGAGAGGATAATAAAAAAATCCATCTTTATCCAAAAGATAATACTACACGGTTTCCTTATACACTGAGTTTTTTCATGTACATTGAAACTATATTCTGATATATACATGAAAGAGTTTACATTCTATACAACGAATCAAAACATAGTCATAGCAAGTGAAATATTCATCTATTTTGGGAAGTCTTACTCTTGCTTTGTCCTACAGCCTCTGCGTTTAGGAACAAAAAAAAAAAACACAAGGAATGGCAAAAAAAACTCATGAGAGATAAAATTGCAATCAACTTTTATTTAAATGAGTTGCATAAGCACTCTAATATTTAAACACTGAATGTAATTAGAAACCAAAGTTTTGACTCATATGTAAGCACATGACAAACGTATATGGTTTGGGAGTTTAGAAAGAAAAGATAAACTGAAAGTCCTACTAGTAGATCCCATTGAGCTGGCATGAACCAGAACAATAAATTATCATTCTGTCTCAACTCCCAACAGATCTATGTGACCATCTAATCACGGGATATACAAATATAAAAAACCCACGCTACAAGGTTCTCAATCTACAAGGATCAACACAAAATCAAGAACAACAAAAACAAGAACAATCTGTAGCAACTTAGGACAATATTTTTAAATTATGCTCCATGACACTCCTCAGGTTTGGTGGGCCAGTGGGGTACGTCATAGCAGCTTCTCATCTATTCCACATTTCAAATTTCAAGGTAAAATTGTCTCAAGACAAAGACTGTGACAAAAATTTTTTAAACCATTACTTTTAATACACTATGTACAAGTGTGAGATTTACAAAACAAAGGTTTTAGTAAAATAATTTCACACTTTAATGTACACAGGCTCCTCATGAAAGGATTCCCTTGCCTCTTCAAAGTCAGGGCCCTATAACCATGCCTACATTAACTCAGATCTACTGACATACAGACATCAGGGAACTGAAATTAAAGCAACACCCCACATACTTACAAGTGGCAGTTCCTTTTCAAACTGCTCGAATAAAAACAAAAACTAATTATTCAGAAGAGTATGTAACGTTTATTAAATAGCTAATACATGTTAAAATTTTTAAGTATAATAAAATCTCATTAAAACACAGCTAAGAAGAGATCAACCAGGGATTAGAGTGTGAATAAAAACAGTGCCATGATTTAACCAAAAGGATTCCCTGTTACAATGACATAATGGACTCCTGGCATTTAAGATATATGCCAACACTGATCCATTTCCACATGGGCCATCTATAACAAGCTTAATTAAATGGTAAAAAGAGGACACAAACAGGATTCAGAACACCTGGACTCTAAAACCTACTCTGTTCTTGGGCAAGTCAGTGAGCCCCACTGGCCCTGTCTCCTCAAATACAAAATGAGGCCCATAGGATATATAATCATGCTGTCCAAAATCACTCTTAATTATTTAAAGACAAATGATTAAACCTCAGTCCAGACTAAGATAAAATCCATTAAAGTGAATTTTAACTATCTAAGTTGCTTTTTCTATCTTATGATCTCCCTAGGCGCATCTGGCAAAAAGAACACGTGCAAAACAAGCAACTGTAATGGAAAATAGCATTTTCTTTTCTTTTTCTTTTTTTTGAGACAGTCTCGCTCTACCACCCAGGCTGGAGTGTACTGGCGTGATCTCGGCTCACTGCAACCTCCACCTCCCAGGTTCAAGCAATTCTCCTGCCTCAGCCTCCTGAGTAGCTGGGATTACAGGCACCCAACACCATGCCTGGCTAATTTTTGTATTTTTAGTAGAGACAGGCTTTCACCATATTGGCCAGGCTGGTCTTGAACTCCTGACCTCGTGATCCACCCACCTTGGCCTCCCAAAGTGGGGGGATTACATGCATGAGCTATCGCACCCGGCCGGAAAACACCATTTTTCTAAGTAAATCAATTCCCCCCAGCAAGATCGCTTTCCCCTCAACTCTCCTCCTGTCCACAGAAATTCCCCATTCCCTCCAAAGCCTAACTATTGCCCCCAGATAAAAACTCTAGCTCTAGTGACAACACAGCTCAACTCTGAGTGATCCAACTTCATATACTAAGACCAAGTCCTTTGAAGAGACACATACCTAAAAGCCATTTTAATCAATACTATATCATTGATAGACAGTGGTTAGGTCATGAGACCACAGTGCAAAGGAAGGAATCAGTGGGATGTTATAGGGACGAGCCTTTGACTTTATCCCTCCAGGTTTAAAAAATCCTTAATATGTAAAATGTTATTTATTTGACTTTTTTTTTTTTTTAGACAGAGTCTCACTTTGTCGCCAGGCTGGAGTGCAGTGGCGTGATCTCAGCTCATTGTAACCTTTGTCTACTGCAACCTCTGCCTCCCAGGTTCAAGCGATTCTCCTGCCTCAGCCTCCCGGGTAGCTGGGACTACAGGCGCGCGCCACCACGCCCAGCTAATTTTGTATTTTTAGCAGAGACAGGGTTTCACCAAGTTGGCCAGGATGTTCTCGATCTCTTGACCTCGTGATCTGCCTGCCTTGGCCTCCCAAAGTGCTGGGATTACAGGCGTGAGCCACCGCGCCCAGCCAATATATTTGACTTTCTAGAGATAGTAATGTACTTTTGAATTTTTGGAATTTTCTAATAATTGCTAATGTTACAGAATAAAAATAAAATAGTAACAGTAGCTTCTTATATATTACACCTCTACAACATGCTAGGCACTGCACCAGGTTGTATGGACAAATGATTTTTATTTCTCACATAACCACAGCAGGCAGATATTAGCCTTCTTTCACAAATGAGGAAACAAGGTCCTGAGTGACTGCATAAAGTTTTTTTTTTTTTTCTTTTTCCTGAGACGGAGTCTTTCTCTGTTGCCCAGGCTGGTGCAGTGGCGCCATCTCAGCTCACTGGAGCCTCCCATCTCCTGGGTTCACGCGATTCTCCTGCCTCAGCCTCCCAAGTAACCGGGATTACAGGCACAAGCCACCACTCCCAGCTAATTGTATTTTTAGTACAGACAGGGTTTCACCATGTTGGCCAAGCTGGTCTCTGCCCACCTCGGCCTCCCAAAGTGCTGGGATTACAGGCATGAGCCACCATGCCCGGCCAAGCATAAAGTTTCTAAAATTATACCAGGTTATATGGATACTGAACTGCCGAGTTTGGAAGTTCTGAAGCCAAGTATGTCTCCAGAGCCCAGGCCCAGCCTTTTCCACCACGCTGCTTCTCCGTGAATTTATGCGGCTAAATACACTATACAAAGGAACTGAGTTAATACTTAATTTGTGGAACAGTTAATGGAGGGTGTTATAATTAGTAAAAGCAAGAACTAGAAAAAAAATTCAGCAACTGACTTAAAAAGATAAGCAATCTCTCATACACTGATTATAATCTATCCATACATAAAATTACTACTTTAATATTTTACTTCTTTTATAAATCAGTAATTGCTCATATGTATTACATACCTCATGTCATTTAAAAATATAAACCACTTAAGTTTTAGCTCATCTCCAAGGTTTCAGATGACATATTTAAACTTAGGAAGTCAATATGAATGTCACCACTGATTTACAACTTATCATTTCCAAACCAACAGCAGAGAAACCACAATATAATCATTAAAAAACAGTAAATAATACTGCGACTGTACTCCCTCCTTTCCCCCTACTCCTAGCATTCTAGGTCCACATTATCTTGATGTATTACCATGCTAAAAACCTATGTGATAGACAACATGGTATAATGTACTCATACATTACTCATTCTTTCTCTCCCAACAGAATATAAACTCCATGAGGTAGTGAAGGGATCTTTGCTTTGTTCATTGTTATTTCCCAAGAACACAGAACACTGCCTAGTCTTTAAGAGGTGCACACATATTTGTTGAATAACACGCTTGCTCCACCTTCTCCCATAACTGCTTCCTGACACTTTCCTGAGTCATCACCCCTAATTCCTGGCAAACACATTAACATGCTACTTTTATTAGGATGCCAAATCCTAGGCTATAGTATTATCAACATGAGCTTAAACGGTAGTGTTGTTTAAGACATTATTTTTCACCCTGTCAATCAGGAGGCAATATATTAGTTACAATTTTATAAAAGAAATAGAAAGGCCATGCGCAGTGGTTGTAGTCCCAGCACTTTGGGAGGCCAAGGCTGGAGGACTGTTTGAGTTTGAGACCAGTCTCGGCAACATGGTGAAACCCATCTCTACAAAAAATCAGCCAGGTGTGGTGGCGCCTGCCTGTAGTCCCAGCTACTCTGGAAGCTGAGATGGGAGGGCTGCTTGAGCCTGGGAGGTTGAGGCTGCAGTGAGCCATGATCATGCCACTGCACTCTAGCCTGGGCGACAAAGCGAGACCCTATCTCAAAAAAATAAATAAATAAAAAGTATTCTAACTTTAAAAATTTATTAATTAAATTTAATAAATTAAACTTACCTTTCCACAATCCATTCTGGTCGAATTACTTTTTCCCCCTTTAATTCTTTAATTTTGGCATTGGGAAGATTTGTGGCAATAATATGTGTTGTTTTAGATCTGGAATAATATACATGGTATTGACCTCCATGCAACATCATTAGTTTTCTCAATTCCTCAGCGGAAGGATCTGCAAAATTTATATTAAAATATATTAAGAGTCTTATGTGTAAGAAGTAGAACCCTAATGAATAACTCCTTAAATAGGTCAACTTTAAGAATGTCATTGGTTCACCTTCTCCTTGGCTGTGTTGCCAGTAAACAAAGCTGGGAGGTAAATCACAAAGTGAGAAAGCTATGTTGCTTTTAGTACATCCCCCTTCCCTGGCTGCCAGACAACCAACTAACACAAAAACATCTAAGAAGTGCCTAGCAGAGCAAATAGGGACCTCAAGTAATGAATCAAATACTAATAACAGTACAAATATTTTTACATTTTTTACTATACTTAGCATATGACCTTGATATTGTGTTTTTAAAAATTAACAACTATAAACCCATTTATGAATCATTTTACAAAGACTAATCCTTCCACTCCTCCAGAGTATACAAGAGGAGTCAGATAAATAATAGTTACTCATATTTACTAAAAAGGAGACTTACTGTAGGGCTTATTAGTAGATTTTACTTCTAGAAAGCTTTATAATTTTTATTTTTATTTAAGAAAATATCTTAAAACTTAATCAAATAGTAAATATTATCCAGTTCCCTAATATGAAATTTCATTAAGGCCAAAAAATAAAGTCCAGCAAAACAAAAAAGACTGCAAACCAAGAAACACCAATTTTTTTCAATTTTGTTTCAAATGATTTATTCTTAATAAAACTACAGAAAATATCTTATATGTCTTAAATATTGGAAATATTTTAAGAAAATATCTTAAAGACACAATGTGACTTATGCTTCCCCCTAAGAAGAAATGTCTGATTCACTAAAGTCATATTATGGCCTGCATTACTAGCATCACATTAATCATCACTGTTCTCTTTCTTTCACCTATCATCCTAATGAATGCTCTAACTCACACCTCCCCTAACAACAGCTGTACCCAGGGGGAGTTTCCACATGTGGCTTATCGCAAGCTTAATCCCAAGCAATATAGGTCCAAGTATTTAAATAAACATTTTCATTATGACAATAATTAGGTGAGCTTTAGTTTCTAGAAGATAAAAAACTAACAGCACATACAGACATACCAGGTTTGTCTAAATTTTACAGCACAAAATTTGACATTACTGATTACAAATATTAGCACTATTCAGTAGAAAATATTATGCAAGCCACATAAATAAAAATTTTCTAGTAACCTTATTAAAAACAGTAAAAAGGTGAAATTAATTTTATTTAACCCAATATATCCAAAATATTATTTCAACATGTAATCAACAGAAAAAATCTGAGATATTTACTTTCTTTTTTCTTCTTAAATCTCTGGAATCCAGTGGGTATTTTACATTTACAACGCATCTCAATTTAGAATAGCCATATTTCAAGTGCTTAACACATGTTACTAGCAGCTACCAAACTGGGCAGTGTCATACAAAGAGATTTAAAAGCATCCTTTTAAACAAAATGAATTCAAAATTAATAATGGAAGTTTTCAGGGTTAAGGTTAAGTTAAAAACTGAACTACAGCATCAGAGTGATTTAATGTGAAACAGTAGAAATTAAACAGCTAGCCAGTCAGGAATCTACAGTTCAGTTTCTTTCTCTAACACTAAAGAACCTGGCTGATCTTATAGAATAACAGTGAGAAGTATCAAATTAAAGGCTACATTACAATGCATTAATATGGGCACCAAATCCAATGAAATCACAGAAATCTAAAAAATTAATTTGCAAGTTAATCTGTAACTTTCCTAAACTAATTCTATTTAATGACTTAAATAGAAAACGGCTGTCCTTTACCGAATAAAAAGACACGTCAAGAACACATTAACTTTCCATATACATACTCATAAAGTACTCACCCGTCTACTAGCTGCTCTTTGAAAACTAATTACTCCAGAAATTTGGAACTGGAAAATACATTGCCCTTCTACTGGATGAAGTTAAGAGGGCTCTTTGAAGTTCACTTCTGAAAGCTCTTACATATTCTTCAGTGTGAAGTGAAGCATGAAAACCAATCTAGTTAAAAGGCAAGATCACATAAACTATGGAATAAGACCGATCTGAGTTTAATCTTAGCTTTCACACTCCTGAGTTGTGTGACTTTGGAGAAGTTGTTTAACTTCTTTAGGCTTTCTCCTCTTTCTCCATAAACAAAGCTGTTACAATGAAATTAGTCTGGCATGTAGAGGTCACTCAATATGAAAACTGCTATTATTATAAACTATGATCACACTAGAACTCCTTTCGAGTAATGTATATGACCTCAGGATCCTGCCCTAGACTCTACGAAAAAAAAAATGACAGAAGACAATATACATAGGCTGACACATGGTGACCCAAAGTTTCAACAAAAACAGACCTGCCAATAGTGCACTATGGACAGCAGCCAGGGACCACTTTGTCAGGTCCAACAGGCTGGCATGCTAACTGTTGGCATGCATGGTCGCTGGAAGCTACCCTATTTTGAATTTTTTTTTTTTAATTTTTACAGCAGTATTCCTCTCTGGTTCTATTTCTTCAATACTAGAACATACTCCCTTATTACAAGTCCAAAAGAACATACACGATAACTGCAGATTTGCATAATAAATTCATTTTTGTATTTAACACTCTCCTTTAATTCAGCAGATGTGGGGTTAATTAGAAAAAAAATTGGGAGCCAAGCACAGTGGCTCACACCTGTAATTCCAGCACTTTGGGAAGCCAAGGTGGGCAGATTGCTTGAGCTCAGGAATTCAAGACCAGCCTGGACAACAAAGTGAGACCCTGTCTCTACAAAATATGGAAAAAAATTAACCAGGTGTGGTGGTGTGTGCCTGCAGTCCCAGCTACTAGGGAGTCTGAAGTGGATACCTTGAGCCAGAGAGGCAGAGTTTGTAGTAAGCTGAGGTTGCACCACTGCACTCCAGCCTGGTTGACAGAGCCAGAGCCTGTCTAAAAAAAAAAAAAAAGGAAAAGAAAAAAAAAGGGGGAGATAATATCCAACATCATGAAAGCTATATGACATTAAACATTGTGTGACACACTGCCTACAGAACCCATCTCTGCAATGTACTGTAACAGTTAACTTTCTCCATAGCACTGATAATCTGAAATTACCATGTCTGTTTGTTTACTTGTTTACTGTCAGATTCCCCCCTGGAACATATGCTCTTTGAAGGCAGGAACCTTGTCTGTCAAGCACTTTCATATCCCTGACATAAAGCAGGTGCTCAGTGAGTATTTGCTAAATTCATTAACATCCTCAATGCATCCCAGACTCCTGCCTAGAATCCACCCTCCAGCAAAAGTGGAGTACAAGTGGTATAAATACTTAAAATCTCAAAACACTTATTCACTCACTCACAAATTAGAGACGCCATATAATGTATTAAGAGGACAGACTCCAAAGCAGGAATGACTAAGGTCAAATCCTGGCTCCATCATTTGCTAGTTACTTGGATTTCAGGCAAGTTATTTAACTTCTCAGAACCTCAGTTTCCTCACATGTAAACTGGGGATAATAATAGTGTCTCAAAGGACTTCTGTGGGAATTAAGAGCTAAAAATTATAAATTACTGAGAAAAGTAACTTGCATATAGTAAAAATTATGTGGCCAGGTGCAGTGGCTCACACCTGTAATCCCAGCACTCTGGGAGGCCAAGGGGGAGGGATCACGAGATCAAGAGATCGAGACCATCCTGGCCAACATGGTGAAACCCCGTCTCTACTAAAAATACAAAAATTAGCTGGGCATGGTGGCACGTGCCTGTAGTCCCAGCTACTCAGGAGGCTGAGGCAGCAGAATCGCTTGAACCCAGGAGGTAGAGGTTGCAATGAGCTGAGATTGTGCCACTGCACTCCAGCCTGGCAACAGAGCAAGACTGTCTCAAAAAAAAAAAAAAGAATTATGTGTCAGCTCTTAACAATATTATCAGTATTATTTTTACCATTTCTTACCCCAAACCGGGAAGCAAGAAGGAGCTCTAGAGCTAAAGCTGCTCTCTATTCACACAAAACATTAAATTTTGCAATTCATAATCCCTCCTACAAATCCTTCTCTTGTTGCCCACCCTTCAGTATATACTCCTTCAAGAATGTCCTTGATGTACTAGCAAAGAATAAACAGAAAATAAAAAATCAAAACAGGCCAGGTATGGCGGCTCACACCTATAATCCTAACACTGTGGGAGGCCAAGGCAGGCGGATCACAAGGTCAGGAGTTCGAGACCAGCCTGGCCAACATGATGAAACCCCGTCCCTACTAAAAATACAAAAATCAGCTGGGCATGGTAACACGCGCCTGTAGTCCCAGCTACTCAGGAGGCTGAGGCAGGAGAATCCCTTGAACCTGGGAGGCGGAGGTTACAGTGAGCCAAGATCACGCCACTGCACTCCAGCCTGGGTGACAGAGTAAGGCTCTGTCTCAAAAAAAAAAAAAAAAAAAAAAAATCAAAATAAAACAAAACTAGATTCAGGGAAATTCTATCCTCCAAATTTTTACAATCAATGTCACTGTTTTGAAATGTCAGAGTGAGTGCTTTTCTCCTCATTGTTCTTTGCCTTTTTATTTTTTATTTAGAGACAGGGTCTGGCTCTGTCACCCAGGCTAGACTGCAATGGCTCTATCATAGCTCACTGTAACCTCAACCTCCTGGTTCATGCTTGTAATTTGAAAGATTTGGGAGGCTGAGGCAGGAGGATCATTTGAGGCCATGAGTTTGAGACCAACCTAGGCAACACAGCAAGATCCGTCTTTTAAAAAAAATCCACAAAAAAACAAAAACAAAAACAAACAGAAAAGGCTGGGCACGGTGGGTCACACCTGTAATCCCAGCACTTTGGTAGGCCACAGCGGGTGGATCCTCTGAGGTCAGGAGTTCAAGACCAAGTCTGACCAACATGGAGAAACCCCGTCACTACTAAAAATACAAAATTATCTGGATGTGGTGGCATGCGCCTGTAACTCCAGCTACTTGGGAGGCTGAGGCAGGAGAACCACTGGAACCCAGGTGGCAGAGGTTGCAGTGAGCCAAGATCCCGCCATTGCACTCCAGCCTGGGCAACAAGAGTGAAACTCCAGCTCAAAAAAAAAAAAAAAAAAAAAAAAAAAAAAAAAAAAAAAAACCCAAAAATTACGTGTGGTGGCACACACCTCTAGTCCCAGCTACTCAGGAGGCTGAGGCAGGAAGATCCGTTGAGCTCAGGAGTTTGGGGCTGCAGTGAGCTATGATCAGTCTACTGCACTCTAGCCTGGGCAACAGAGCTTATCTTAAATAAACAAATAAATAAAATTCCACAATACTCCTACTATTAGTTTTATTTTGCAGAACATTCTATATGCAACTAAATTTGAGGTTTAACTAAAACCAGACATAGTGACAGACAATTGAAAGCACAGTAAAAGTAAAAGCCATATACAAGGACCACAATTTAGCCCACGTTTAGACCTAAAGCCCTACAAGTAAAATGTCACAAGAGCAAATGCCACCATATAACATCAAAACAGCCATATGAAGACCACTTTCACGTCTGTAGGCCCAGCTTATAGAAAGTTTTGCTCATCTGGTTAAAACAAATTCTATAAACAAAATTTTTAAATCTTGCACAAAAGCTTTCCTAGCTAGATCTCTATTGAGAAAACATTTACTATATGCACCATTTCCTCCTGCATATCCAAAGAACTTAATTAATTGTTGACTGTGCTATATAAATCACAGAAAGAAGTGAGGTGAATGGCTGCTTATACCTCCTTTGCTCCTACCATGGCAACATCTTCATTATTTCATTTGAGTTTCACAATCTTATGAATTAGAAAAGATAACTTATTGATGAGGCAACAGAGAAAACTTACTGTGCATACCCTTCTGTCTTTGGACTCCTGTCCCTCAGTTTCTGCAGCAGCAATACTACTCTCTTGACTCTTCTCACCCCTAACTACCTCAGACTTACCAACAGAGTCACCACAATCAACTAAAAGCCACGGATACACTCAACCAAACAAAAACTGAAGAAAAGTTTCAAATGCTTAGGGAACAAATTTTTGAGTACCAACTAGGTGCAAATTTCACATCAGGTACTAGCAAAATTACAGGAGGTGGCATAAATTAATATGGTAAGTCTTCTATGTCAGAGGTTCAATTCCTCCATCTCTTATCTACAAGATGAGAGTCTCACAGGAAATGGAAGGAGAGATATTATATATCCATACAAAATAATATCTGGGAGGCATTTATTTCCAAAAAATTAGACTTGTCAACACTAAAGAGAATCCTCTCCTAAAACACCACATTTGTATGTTTAGAAAACATCAATGTAAGCTGTCAGCTTTCAAACAAATCCTTATTTGAAATATAAGTCTGTTACACTTGCATATTCCCCCTTGTTTCATTTTGTGAATTGTGCTAAAGTACTTGTCCGGGCCCCCCTCCACCTGCTTTTTCACAAACTTCAGCAGTGCCAAAATCAAAAGACCTGGTCTTTTACCCATGTACTAAAGGAAGTAGAAAATAACCTGAACACCTCTTTCCATATGAACTGTCCCAATCTCACACCACTAAAGTGCAACCACTGTCCACTAAGTCTGAAGCACTCACTCCCCCTGGGCAGCTTTCACAAAAATAAACATGCCCAGAGCCTACCTCCCAGATTACAATGCAGGCCTCAAATGTGGCCCATTCCTTAAGACTGAGTTGATTTAGCATCTGAGTGAAAATATTTTAACATTCTGATGTACAAATACAAAACCTGTTATTTATTTATTCATTCAACTAATACTTATTGAGTATCTACAATGTGCCAGGCAAGGTTCTAGGCACTGGAGATATGGCAATGAACAAGACTCAAGTCTGTGCCCCGTGATAGCACTTGTATTCCACTGAGGAGACAAAAATAAGTCATGCAAGTAATACCATTTTAGGTGCAAATAAATGAAGAGGAAGGTGGATAAGGGGTTAGAGAGCGACTGGAGGGCAAAGTACACCTGTTTTAGATAGGTGAAGTCAGGGAAGGTCTCCGTAAAAAGGTAACATTTGAGCAGAGATCTGAATGATGAAGACCTGAGGAAGCAGAAGGAACTGCAAATTTAAGGCCCTGAGGTGTTATCTCTAATCCATGTTTGGCAAGGGATTACTATACATAAAACAGGCTTCCTAACGCCAAAGAACTTAATATAGAATTAAGACCTAACAACACAAGACAAAATCCAGGTGTCAAAATAAATGTTTCTAGCAATAATGCTATGAATTATATATCTCTCTATATAAAATACTACTACTATGGACTGGCTTAGACAGGGAAGGAGGCAAAACCTAACTATATCTGGATCTTAATGAATGAATATACTTCCAGTTCACAGAAGTGAGGAGGGAAGGAGTTTTTCCTCAGAGGCAAAAGAACAAACAGAAACACAGAACTGTAAAAGTAAAAAGACAAATCTAGAATATCAGGGTAATCTTGTTGAGCAAAATTTAAGAACATGAGGTTGAAAATGTAGGTCAGAATTAGGACTAGAATGTCTTTCTCCATTTTCATTTGGAAAATGCCTATTTATCTAAGACCAAGCTAAACATTTCGATTCCTTTATGAAGTATTCACTCCCACTCCCAAAGGCAATTGTTTCCTCTTCTGTGTTGGCACTCACCCTCCTCTGTTGATGTCTAAGGCTTAGAGATTACTTTTTCATCACAAAATCCACATTCTCCATCAACTGCTATCTCTTTTCAAACATAGTTCCTAACCCACAAGCAGCATCCAAAATATATCTGTTCAATCAACTAAAGAAAAATAAAATGGGATATAAGGTCTGTAAACTAGAAAACTCAACATAGTAAAGATGTCAATTCTCCCCGAACTGATCTACAGGTTTAATGTAATTCCTATCAAAATCCCAGCAAGGTATTTTGTGGATAAATGACTTATTTTAACATTTATATAGGTCAGGTGCACTGGCTCACACCTGTAATCCCAGCACTCTGGGAGGCCGAGGCAGGCAAATCACCTGAGGTCAGGAGTTCGAGACCAGCCTGGCCAACATGGCGAAACCCCATCTCTACTAAAAACACACAAAAAATGAGCTGGGCATCATGGCATGTGCCTGTAATCCCAGCTACTCGGGTAGCTGAGGTACAAGAATCGCTTGAGCCAGGGAGGCAGAGGGTGCGGTAAGCTGAGATCATACCACTGTACTCCAGCCTGGGTGACAAAGTGAGACCCTGTCTCAAGAAAAAAAAAAAAAAGAGAGAGAGAGGCGTAGGTCCTAGAATAGCCAGAATTATCTTGACAAAGAAGAAACAAGTGAAAGCAATCACTCTACCTGATATCAAGGCTTACCACATAGGTACAGTATTTGATATAGTGTGGTACTGGTGAAGGAACAGACACAAACATCAATGGAAGAGAACAGAGAACCCAGAAACAGATCCACCAAAATATGCCTAACTGACTGTGTTGCAACAACTGGAAATCCACAAATAAAAAAAAAAAATTGTAAAACCTCAAAATGAAACATTAACTTCAATGTAAAACATAAAACTATAAAATCTAAAAATATAGAAGAAAACATTTGGGATCTAGCACCAAAGTGACAAGTTCTTAGACTTGCAAGCACAATCCATAAAAGGAAAGATCAACATATCAGATCTCATCAAAATTAAAAACGTTCTGCAAAAGACCATTTCAAGAGGATGAAAAACTACAGACTGGGAGAAAATACCTGCAAACCACTTTTATGACAAAGCAGTAGTCTCTAGAATATATAATGAAATATCAAAACTAAACAGTAAAAAATACTAAATCCAATTAGAAAATGAGGAAAAAAATATGAACAAATGTTTCACCAATGATGATGTAAAGATAAGAAATAAACACATGAAAGAATGTTCAACATTATTAGCCACGAGGCAAATGCAAATTAAAATCACAAAGAGATACAACACCATCTATTAAAATGGATAAAATGAAAACCACTGAATGCTGGCAAGGATGCAAAGAAAGTTGATCCCTCATACAAGGCTAGTGGGAGTATAAAATACTACAACCACTTTGGGTAACAGTTTGGCAGTTTCTTACAAAAACTAAAGATGTAACTATTACGGGAACCAACAACTGTACTCTTCTTATACTCATACAAAAACTCATACACAAATGTTCATAGCCTACCAAGAAATAACTGTGATGTCCCTAACAGATGAAAGGTTAACAAACTGGTACATCCACACTATGAAATATAACTGAACAATAAAAAGGCAACAATTTTGATGACCTGACAGATAATTTATGCTCAGTGAAAAAAGCCAGCCCCAAAAGGTTATATGCTGTATGTTTTATTTATATAACATTCTTGAAATGACAAAATTATAAAAATGGAGACCAGATTAGTGGTTGCCAGGAGTTAAGGAAAGGCGGAGAACAGAAGTGGGTGTGACTATGAAAGAGTAACATGAAAGATCTTTGTAGTGTGGAGGCCGGGCGCGGTGGCTCACACCTGTAATCCCAGCACTTTGGGAGGCCAAGGTGGGCAGATCACGAGGTCAGGAGATCAAGACCATACTGGCTAACACGGTGAAACCCCGTCTCTACTAAAAATACAAAAAATTAGCCAGGCGTGGTGGTGGCCACCTGTAGTCCCAGCTACTCGGGAGGCTGAGGCAGGAGAATGGTGTGAACCCGGGAGGCAGAGCTTGCAGTGAGCCGAGATCGCGCCACTGCACTCCAGCCTGGGTGACAGAGTGAGACTCTGTCTCAAAAAAAAAAAAAGAAAGATCTTTGTAGTGTGGAAATGTTCTGTATATTAACTGTATCAGTATCAATTTCCCAGTTGTGACACTGTTTGCAAGTTTATTACATATTACCATTTGGGGAAACTGGGTAAAGGGTTCACAGTATCACTATGTGCTATGTCTTACAACTGCATGTGAATCTACAATTATCTAAAAAAAAATTAATTTAAAAAATGGATAGGCCAGCCATGGTGGCCCATACATGTAATCTCCACACTTTGGGAGGCTGAGGCAGAAGAATCGCTTGAGCCTAGGAGTTTCAGATCAGCCTGGGAAACACAGCAAGACCTTGTCTCTACAAAAAATTAAAAAATCAGCTGGACATGGTGGTACACACTTGAGGTCCTAGCTACTTGGGAGCCTGAGGAGAGAGGATGGCTTGAACCTGGGATGTTGAAGCTGCAGTGAGCCGTGATAGTGCCACTGCACTACAGCCTGGGTGACAGAGGGAGACCCTATCTCAAAACAAAGAAACAAACAAAACAAACAAAAAGGATAGAAGGCAAAGAAGTCAATCTTAACAAGCAAAAAACATTTTTGGGGCCAGGTGAAGGGAAGAATAGGTTGACAGGTGAACTATTAGAGGGTCTTCCCTCCAAGTTCAAGTTCAATGTTAACTGGGTTGGAAGGTATAGGGACTACGAAATCATGAGAGGCTCAAATGGCTGAACTGGGAGCTTTAAAGGAATCAAGAACACTTGGATTATTACAGTTTGTGGGGAGCATGGTTAAGAATCAACAAGAAGGGACACCACAGCTTCTTTTACAGTGAAAACTGCATCTCCCAGGTTTGCAAACTGTTCACTGGAATGAAGTCTCTTTCCTCCAAATTCCTTTTCAGAGAACTTTCTATTTTCTTTTTTTCACTCTATCGCCAGGCTGGAGTGCAGTGGCGCAATCTCGGCTCACTTCAACCTCCGCCTCCCGGGTTCAAGTGATTCTCCTGCCTCAGCCTCCCGAGTAGCTGGGACTACAGGCGCACGTCACCACGCCCAGCTAATTTTTGTATTTTTAGTAGAGACAGGGTTTCACCATGTTGGCCAGGATGGTCTCGATCTCTTGACCTTGTGATCTGCCCGCCTCGGCCTCCCAAAGTGCTGGGATTGCAGGCGTGAGCCACCGTGCCTGGCCTGAAAACTTTCTTTCACAATAGCAATGAGCAAAACTGACAAAGTCTGCACCTTTGGTGCTTACATGCTAATGGAGAAGAAAGATGATACCAAAATATATATATAGGCATTTTACAAAATAGCTGACCAGTACTCCTCAAGACTGTGAAATAAAGCTTATTTTTTTAAATCAAAAACAAAATAGCACCTCCTACTTGTCTTATTACATCTAAAGAGTTATTTTTACTTGCTAATTGTTAATGCTGTTTTATCTATAAAGTGGTAAAGTATTCACTAAAACTTAATTTTTCTAAAAATAAAGTTATTTTACAGCACCACAGTTTGGATATCTCGGTGAAATTCAGCATAATGGAACTTTATTTGTACAGTTATAATGAAATCTTAATAACAAGAGCAAAAATATTATCATCTCTATCCTGCAGAAAAGGATAGAGATAATAACAGATCTAAACAGAAAATGTTTTACAGTCACACAAAAATTAGTGATAAAAGCAGATTTAGAATTCCAGATTCTCAATCAAAAAGTGATTACTGCAATATTCATTTTTCTTCCCTCACACAAAGAATCTCTTTTTCTTCCTCCTATGTGAATAAGGGTGCTCTCTTGAACTGGAGACTTCCATGACTGGCTAATGTAAGAAGCAATGCCTGTTTTCATTAACGTTTTAATTTTTCATAGAGCATCTCAGGAAGTCCACAGAGCTTGAATTTGTCAGGATACCTTCCTACACAGAAAAGTTACAAGCTTTCTGCATGTGAACTTCCCAATGCTGCACCAGCATTTATTTTGAGATGACATTCTTGGACTAAATTCATCATCAATGATGCCTAATAAAACACTTAATTACAAGCAACACACTCTTCTCTTACTAAACCAGATAAATGTACCAGTTAATTAATACTTAACTCCAATTCAACAAATATGTCCTGAATGATTGTGTCCAGTCACTGTAGAGGCACTAAGGATATAGTGATGAAAATGTAGCTCCAGCTCTTGTCCAGTAAACAGACAACTATGGAAAGGTCTGAAGAATTCTAAGATGCAGATTCATTCAGGGAGCCATAGCTCCAGAAGAGCACAAGAAGTCACCTAAATCAGTATGAAGACAGTCAAACTATCAAGGGAAAGCGAGGCATGGAGACCTGAAAGATAGCAGGTATCAGCCAGCTGAGAAGGGGACAGGGGAATATGTAACAGACTGACACAAATATTTACAGCCATTCACTTCAAAAAATACAATGAAATGATAAGAAGAAGAATCCCCAAGAAAATAGAGAAAAATTTAGGCAGAAAACCTGGTAACTAACAGGCAAGTGCTAACTGACTTTACAGTTCAGCGAAAGATAAAACTGAAGCTGGCCATATGGAAGCTTGGAAAGAAGCTGCTTGTTACCAGTAAAACAAAGAGAAAGTCATGAAATAAACACACAGGCACCTTCAAAAGTGGATGTGTGGATAAATTCATCCTTGAAACTGTGCAACAGGCAAAGAAGCATTTGCACATTTCTTTCCTTTCACCAAGAATAAAGACTACACTACCCCTTCCAGATACCGGACTCAATGACAATAGGCACAGCTGGTGGGGAGGAGGTAGGAATGAGAAAATGAATAGAGAGACTAAGTGAAATTTTACTTCCTAAACTGTGAGAATTCAGGTCCTTTCCTTCCCTGCTTGGCGACCCAAATGCTGGCAGTTTACACTCTTCTACAGACAAGAGAGTAAAAGATTCTTCTCTAGGAAATCTGACACTGACACACACCCACACACCACCCCACCCTAAAGGACCTATGGACAATGACATCTAGAGATTTACCAATGAAATGGACCTACAGTGAAGCTCACAGTTTACAAGTCCTACTACCCATGTGTGGTAATTTCCCGTTTTTCATTTTAAACCTCACGTGACTTTTTGAAACTATGTACTTTGATAAAAGTTAAAGACAATGGCAGGTAAAAGCAACATGGAAAGGAAAAAGAAGTATCTAAGCAGATGATTTATTTCTTCTCATCTTACAATCATTTGTCTATAATAAATGAGTAAAAATAGAATTTTAAAACAAATCATTCTCAATCCTAATAAAAATACATGCCAAAATAGGGTTAAGTAAAAAGTACTCAACCTGTGTATCCATTAACATAGATGGCAACTCCACTAAAAATTGTAGATGAAGTCCCATCCTTCTGCATAGCAGCATCTGATCGAAACTGTTCCTCCAATTTCTGGACCTTGGCAGCCATATACCCACCCTAGAATTAAAGAAAAGGTAAACCAATCACAAAGGTTACATTTTCTCCCCCCTTTTTTGAAAAAAAAAAATTTTAAAAACTAAATAAATAAATGGACCTTATTCTGTGCTAGTGACCAGAACATAATGATGACCTCATAAACATAAACCATAAGGCAAGGCAATAAATAAAACAGGAAAGTTGGGCCGGGCGCAGTGGCTCACACCTGTAATCCCAGCACTTTGGGAAGCTGAGGCAGGCGGATCACCTGAGATCAGGAGTTTGAGACCAGCTTGGCCAACATGGTGAAACCCCGTCTCTACTAAAAATACAAAAATTAGCCGGGTGCAGTGCCAAGTGCCTGTAATCCCAGCTACTCGGGAGGCTGAGGCAGGAGAATTGCCTGAACCCAGGAGGTGGAGGTTGCAGTGAGGTGAGATGGCGCCACTGCACTCCAGCCTGGGTGACAGAGCAAGACTCCATCTCAAAAAAAAATTATAATAAATAAATATAAATACATAAAACACATAGGTCAAAGAAGAATTTTCCCTCTATCAACTCAAGTTTTAATTTTATTACATTCTTATGATTATAAAAGTTACTTTTAAAAAAAGCTAAGTCAATAATAATAATACTGGCTGGGCACAGTGGCTCACACCTGTGATCCCAGCATTTTGGGAGGCTGAGGTGGGCAGATCACCTGAGGTCAGGAGTTCGAGATCAGCCTGACCAACATGGTGAAACCTCGTCTCTACTAAAAATACAAAATCAGCTGGGTGTGGTGGTGCATGCCTGTAATCCCAGTTACTCAGGAGGCTGAGGCAGGAGAATCGCTTGAACCCAGAAGGTGGAGGTTGCAAACGAGCTGAGATCGTGCTATTGCACCCCAGCCTGGACAACAAGAGCAAAACTGCATATCAAAACATAGTAATAATATCACAAAATATTGTTCTTATGTACACAATTGAGCAAGCTACACCAAAGTTTAAACCAATTACAAATTTGACAAGTGGTCTCAGAGCATATTTTATTTTATTTTTTTGACAGGGTCTTGCTGTTGTCGCCCAGGCTGGAGTGCAGTGGCACGATCTCAGCTCACTGCAAACTCCGCCTCCCAGGTTCAAGCAATTCTCCTGCCTCAGTTCCCAAGTAGCTGGGATTATAGGTGCTCACCACTATGCCCAGCTAATTTTTGTATTTTTAATAGAGACGGGATTTCACCATGTTGGCCAGGATGGTTTCCAACTCCTGACCTCAGGTGATCCACCTGCCTGAGCCTCCCAAAGTGCTGGGATTACAGGTGTGAGCCACCACGCCCAACCTCAGAGCATATTTTAGACTGGCTTCCACTATCTCCCACATACAGAGGGCTTAAAATGAATTATTTCAGGTAAAAATGAGGCAACTGGATAAACCAGTGTAGTCCTCCCTACACATGGGAAAGAATACAATGAATGCTCCAGTGGCTAAATTCTGGATCTAATCAATCTATTTGATAGTAATATTAACTTTCATTAGATAACATTCACCTCACAATAAATATTAAAAAATAATTTTTTTTGCTAAACATCTTGACAGATCTAGGGATTCAACTATACTTTTCCTGAACTTTGATATAATTAAGCTTGATTTCAATTATTAGGTCTTTAAATTAAAGGTGTAGGTGGCTAGAAGTACATGATGTTTTTTTCCCAAAATGGAAATGACTGCATTATTTTTGCTGATTATTAAAATATTATATGCTCACTATGAAGTTTCTTTTCAGAAAATACAGGAAATATGGGGAAGAAAATTAAAACTGGTATAATCCTATTCATTAAAACTTTGGGGTGTTGTTTTCAAAGCTTATTTCCATAACTCAGAGCACAGAGGTTTTACAAACATATAATCATACAAAATATTTCTTTGTAACACATTGTTTTAGTCAAGGTTATCCTTCCAGGTTGAGATATATAAAGCTGAATAATGACTGTACAGTGCTCCACTATACACAGATAACTTATTTGACCAATCCCTTATTATTGGATATTTATGTGTTTTCCTGTTTTTCTGTATTATTAGCAATGCTGCAATAAAATCATCATATAGTAAATTATTGTGCACTAGGCATATTTATTTCCTCAGGGTAAAATTCCTGAGAGTAAAGTTTAGGGGATAAAGTTTATAAACATCATAAGGCTTTCAATACACTGTGAAAACTCAAAGATGTGGTGTCTAAAGTAATTTACAATTTAGAAAACAACTTAAACCACATTATAACAGAAGAATGAAAAATAACTAGACAGTTCGATATAATTATTTTTACTCTTTTAAAACACACCCATGTTTCCCAGCCATCATTTTCAGCTCGCTTCCTCCATCCACCTCGCCTCATGGTGGAGCTTCTGTATTGGGGAGGAAAAAAAAAATGTCAATTTTATAACATAATGTATTTCTAAATGATATTTTATTTCAATATCAAGAAAATGAGAAATTAAATTCAAATGTCCAACTGATGAAAGTATACAATATTAAGTAAACTTTTTCTGAAGTTCTCCATTCTCCAGCTTTACAAGTGAAATTTGTCTATAAAACACCCTCCTACACATGTTTAAATTGTAACTCTTATATTTAAAATTCAATAGAAAAATATCTTTATGCATTCCTGAGCACCAATCCTAACATTCACTTACATAAAACACCAAATCCAACTAACATGGCCATGCTTACTTTACTTGTTACCATTATATAAGACAATCTAACAAAACATTTCCCTTCATGAGTTGTCCTATAGTGTGGCTTTTAAACTCTGTCTTTGCTATTACATACTGGACACTTAAGAGTTCAGTCATAGCCTGATTCACATATTCTGCCAAAGCCCTAGAAGAAGTCAATTAAAAATGATGCAGAAAAGATTATCATTGATAATAAACTATAATAGTAAATCTGTCATTCTCCTTAAGGCAACACTTACTTAACTAACTATACTATAAAACCACCAGGATGACCAAATGATGGCTCACATTAAGTGGCAGCTGGCTCAGTGGCTAGCAAAATATATAATTCATAAAAAGAGGCTAAATGAAACCCCTTGTAAAGTCAAAGCCTTTTAACACAAACAGCTACATTTTGGGCTATGACTACATTTATTCTTAACAAAATTAATATGACTTCTATTAAGATAATTTTCTTCTAGTAACTATATACATGTGTATCAAATGGTTACCATATGAAGCCTTATATATTATCCACGTCAAATCAGCTCTGATATGATCTATGAGAATTTTTTACTTAACAACACCTTAAACCATGACACTTTACCCCACACACATTAGCAGATAATTTCTTTCTTTCTTTTTATTTATTTATTATTTTTTTTGAGACGGAGTCTCGCTCTGTTGCCCAGGCTGGAGTGCAGTGGCGCAATCTCGGCTCACTGCAAGCTCCGCCTCCCGGGTTCACACCATTCTCCTGCCTCAGACTCCCGAGTAGCTGGGACTACAGGTGCCCGCCACCACGCCCGATTATTATTTTTCTTTTTTTTGTATTTTTAGTAGAGACGGCGTTTCACCATGTGAGCCAGGATGGTCTCCATCTCCTGACCTCGTGATCCGCCGGCCTCTGCCTCCCAAAGTGCTGGGATTACAGGCGTAAGCCACCGTGCCCGGCCTCTTTTTTTTGAGACAAAGTCTTGCTCTGTCACCCAGGCTGAAGTGCAGTGGCACGATCTCGGCTCACAACCACCTCCGCCTCCCGGGTTCAAGTGATTCTCCTGCCTCAGCCTCCTGAGTAGCTGGGATTACAGGCACCTGCCACCATGCCTGGCTATTTTTGTATTTTTAGTAGAGATGGGGTTTCACCATGTTGGCCAGGCTGGTCTTGAACCTCTGACCTCAGGTGATCTGCCCGCCTATGCCTCCCAAAGTGCTAGGATTACAGGCATGAGCCACCATGCCTGGCCAGCAGATATTTTCTTATGAATATTTTTATTCTTAGTATACTGCAGGATTTGGTTTTTGTTTGTTGACATTTATAACAATTTGAATTTTTACTGTCACCCTTAAAAGATGCCTAAAAGACATGCAGAAGTGTTGTCAAAAGGTTAAGTCCCAACAGAGAGACAAGATAATACAAACGTTTTAGGGGCATGTGCAAGGTGCTCCGAGAAAAGGTGGTAAACTGATTAACCCTGAGGAGAGATTTCTTTTTTAAGTCTGATGAAGGCAGGAGGAGCATGAATACCCAATGTGCTCATTATCAAGTCCCAGAAGTACCACATGCTCTGTTAAATATTTCTCCTGTTTTCAAGAGGCTCATTTTGTCCAGTCCCAACAGACTTCAGCCCTTAAAGGAAATCTGGGAGATACATTAACACACAGCACTGGACTACATGTAAACTGAATCCATACACCTGCTGGAACAAGTAAAGAGTTTGGGAGTTCTGGCCATTATACACTAAAAACACATACCCCGATAATTAAAGGCAGCTATTAAACTGTTAAATAAAGGTAAATAAAGGAGTAAAGTGTATTTTAATACATTTGGTGGCCCAATCATTTAAGAGATCCAGTTGTGTAACGTCTGTTGTATACCTACTGCACAAGGCCAATAAGAAAATTCCTTAATGATGGTTTAATGAGGCTAGAAGCATGAAACACAGTTATAATACAAAAACAAAAATTAAAAAAAAAAACAGCTATTAAGGGTTCTTTCCCCCAACTCCAAAGTAACAAAACTATTCCAGACAAATGTTTAAAACTTTAAAAGGAAAAGGAAAGAATGAAGGACTGAAAATTTTAGCTTCGTCATTTCCAATAACTTGACTCATGAACAACAAACTCCTATTGATCCAGAAATCAAACAATCAAAAATTACTAGCCAACATTCCAAAGAGGACAAAAATCTTCAGAGATCTGCCACCCCACCTCTCTTCCCCAAACCAGATTATTTTTCCCTCTGAGAACATTTGGCAATCCTAGAAGAGTGGCTGGGAGACTGGGCAAAGTTTCTGACAAACAGTGCTAGGAGAGAAAAAGTAGAGTCCAAGGGTCTTCCAAGGATAAAGATTGCCGCAATTGCTATCAGAACCCTATGAGTAACAAGAAATTGGAAGTAGACAGACCAAACTTTGCAGAAACTGTATTCATTATTTCAATCTCTGAAAACAGATTAAGGTGATCGTGGGCCAGGCGTGGTGGCTCACCCCTGTAATCCCAGCACTTTGGGAGGCCGAGGTGGGTGGATCACCTGAAGTCAGGAGTTGGAGACCAGTCTGGCCAACATGGTGAAATCCCATGTCTATTAAAAATACAAAAGATTGCTGGGCACGATGGCTCACGCCTATAATCCCAGCACTTTGGGAGGCCGAGGTGGACAGATCACGTGAGGCGGGGAGTTTGAGACCAGCCTGACCAACATGGAGAAACCCTGTCTCTACTAAAAATAAAAAATTAGCCGGGCATGGTGGCGCATGCCTGTAATCCCAGCTACTCGGAAGGCTGAGGCAGGAGAATCGCTTGAACCCGGGAGGCGGAGGTTGCGGTGAGCCGAGATTGCACCATTGGACTCCAGCCTGGGCAACAAGAGCGAAACTCCATCTCAAAAAAAAAAAAAAGAAAGAAAGAAAAATTAGCCAGGCATGGGGGCTGTTTCTGCTAATCAGCAGGGATCTTCGAAAAAGAGACTCCGCCAATGCCTCTGTAATAACATCCAGGGAAAAGTTCTCCACACTAAGATGACTGATTTGCTTCTTTAAATAGGACTTTCCCTAGAACGGAGGAGGGCATTTAATCAGGATACCACTACTTGACAGAAATATCCTTCAGAAATAACACACTCCCTCTGTTTTTATCCTGTTCCAAGCAACCTCCTGAATTACAATGTGTCCTCTTGACTAAACCTACTCACTAAGAAGTGACTGCCCTGTATTGACAAACCATCCAATTATCAAGCTAGACTTGTAAACAAAAATTGCCTTCTAGTTTTCAGAGGAACTCTTGCAGACCAGGCTCCCAATTTAATTCCACATAACTTGATGACCTTGAGGAATGTGATAACAGTTTCTGAAACTGTGATTCACAACCTAAAATAACCTGCCAATCTCTCCTTATCCAGTAACTTTAACAGGGCAGCCAATTACTGTGTTTCAAAAAATTAGTTTAAAAAACGGATGAAGAGTGAATACATGAATGCAAAAGTACCCTTACCCTTAACATTTAGGGTACACCTTCAATAAACATTAACTACTGTTATAGTAATCTACTCTGCCAGTCTACAGAGTGAAAATCGAGTGAGACTACACACGTGGAAACCCTTTGAAAACTATAACACAGAGAACATCATTATTTTAAGTCAGTTATCCATGGTCTACAACATAATGATAACAGTAGACTAGATACGGACTCAAATCCCAATTCTACGACTGCCTAACAATGTGATTCAGAGTGAGTCTAACAGCACTGAGCCTAACATTTCTTCATCTATAAAACAAAGTTCGACTGCAGAATCTTTGTGGGGCCATGACTGGATGAAGGGTGGATATGGTGGGGAGAAGAAAAAAGTTGGGGGTAAAAACAGCAAGCAAGCAAGGTTCCAGTCTCTAAGCCCACCTTCAATTTTAGCAGCCATGCTTTTTTTCCCCCGTAAGTTTTAGGTTTAGGGTCTGAACAAGATTGTTCTTGAAGAAAAAGCACGACAACTTGAAAAAGACTGATAACTAAGAGTAATGAACTAAAAACTAAGTACAAAATTTCTTGGTTCTTTTCTGTTTCCATGTGACTCTGTAAGACAGTCACATGTGGAAATCTCCCAACCCTCGAAAGGTTCACAAGCTAAAACTCACCTACCAGCTAAAACTCAAGTAATCAAATTATAAAGACCAACTGAATTACAGGCTGTCAATACAGCCATGTCCAGTCCCCAGTGCTAACATGCAGTAACAACTAGCCAGGTGAGGTAAGGTTAAGGCAAATGGGAGAGCAGCTCTGTCTATGAGGAGCCCAGGGATCCTGAATGCCTACACAAGACTTCCTCTTTCCATTCTCTCAATAGGGATGTTCAAAACTCTATCAAGAGTCTCATCAAGGACATGCTTATTTAAAAATATAACAAGACTACTTATGCATGCATTTTTCCTAATGTTTTATCTTTTGCTGGAACACACTACTATCAGTTCATTCTAAACTTTATTCTGCTTTCTTTTTACTATAGTTATTGGTAGATTTTACTATCTACCCCGAGAATTATGTTTATCACCAGGAACATTCATTTTCATGTAAAAATGATATTTCCTAGCACTCTGGGGGGCCGAGGCGGGCAGATCACGAGGTCAGGAGATCGAGACCATACTGGCTAAAACGGTGAAACCCCGTCTCTACTAAAAATACAAAAAATTAGCCGGGCATGGTGGCGGTCACCTGTAGTCCCAGCTACGTGGGAGGCTGAGGCAGGAGAATGGCGTGAACCCGGGAGGTGGAGCTTGCAGTGAGCCGAGATTGCACCACTGCACTCCAGCCTGGGCAACAGAGCAAGACTCCATCTCAAAAAAAAAAAAAAGATATTTCATCTATTTACAAAATAATTACTAGCATTACAAGGTTCTAAACAGTTCATCACACACTAGAAAAACTTCCACTACATATCCACAAAATGTTCAAATGTTCAGTGTTAATCTGATGGTTACATATCTGTAACTCTAAAGTCTGTTGATTAACTAATGAAATTCATTTTGAGTGGCTTTTAATCAGTCTTTATTAATACAGTCATATATAAATGTATACATTTGTAAAAAGCAAAGTAGAGGTTCCTCTTCAGACTCTCCTCCCCGTGTAATTAGGAATAAATAGTAACTTCTCTTAGAAGCAAAATTTATTCAAAGACCTGTGCTAACATTCTTAAACATCTGCTAGCCGTAATAAAGAAATCAATGTACTTTATGTTCTTAGCTCCCACAATTTAGCCTAAATATTTGCCCCGGCAAGCTTATACTGGTCCAAGCAAGCGTTAGGTCATAGCCTGTTCCTCTTCCTTATTTGAAGGTGTTTTTACCTTTCTCTACATTCCACAAGTTACTTCCTCCTTCCTTTGTTCTCCTCTGCCTTTGCCTCTTTTAAAACAAGATTGGCTAAGTTGCTAGCCAATCAGAACAAATACAGAATGTGAGGTCCTGTTCCAGCCAATGGAAACCGGGCATAGCAGCAGGGTGGACGCATCAGGTTATAAATGACCCGGTCTCCTTTGTTCGGTGTACTCTCATGGCAAAACTGCTGGCGAGTGTACCCTTTCTGCAGAAAGTATAAAAATGGCCTTGCTGAGGAAATTAAATTTATGTTCAAGTGCTACTTCTTTACAGCACCAGGGAACAAGCATTCCAAAGAGGTTTATCCTATCTTTATGTAATAGTTATCTAAGAAATATTTACTGAATGTAGTTACAAATTGACATGCAAAGAATATGCAATGAATGAATGTGCACATTATAGTAGCATAACATAATTCATGAATATGACACAAATGCAAAGAAAGCAGCCTGTGGCCACCCCTTATCTAGGCAAGGTTGAAACACAATTTGCCTTTGGTGCCCTGCCATATCTCTACTCAACACCTCTCTGTTTTCAGTGCCTCTTTATCTTACTTAGCTGTCAATTCTCTGCTAAGGCATTTATTGACAACTAAGGAACTGGTTAATAAAGGGCTTAAGGTATGATCCAACCCAGGGTCATCTGTGTTTAAAAGAACCTCTTCATGACCATTCAATGAGGAAAGGACAATCTTTTCAACAAATGGTGATAGGAAAACTGGATATCACATGCAAAAGAAGTTGGACCTTTACACCATGTTAAAAAAAAACTTAAAGTGTACAAAAGACATAAATATAAGAGCTAAAACTATCAAACTCTTGGGAGAAAACATAAAAGCTTCATGACACTGGATTTTGCAATGACTTTTTGGGGAAAATGTAACAGAAAAAAACAGATAAACTGGACTACATAAAAATTTAAAACTTCTGTGAATCACAGGGCAAAAAAGGGTTAAAAGGCAATCCACAGAATGGGAGAAAATATCTGCAAATCATATCTGATAAGGGGTTCATACACTTACCAATATAAAGAACTCCTACCATAAACTGTAATAATAAACACACAACGCCACTAAGAAATAAAAAAAGGATCTGAACAGACACTTCTCTAAAGAAGATAGACAAATGGCCAATAAGCACACAAAAAAACGTTCAGTGTCATTAATCACTATGGAAATGCAAATAGAAACCACAATGAGATACCACCTCACACCCAGCAGGATAGCTACTATTAAAAAAAAAAAAAAAAAAAAAACAAGTGTTGATAAGGATAGGAAGAAATTGGGCCCCCGAGCCCTGTTGGTGGGAATATAAAATGGTGCAGCTGATATGAGAAACAGTATGGCAGTTACTCAAAAAATCTGAAATAGAATTATCATGTAATTCCACTTGTGAGTATATATCCAAAGGCACTGAAACCTGAGACACAAAGAGGTATTTATTTGTACATTCATATTAATAAGCATTATTCACAATAGCCAAAAGGTGGAAGCAACCCAAGTGTCCATCCACAGATGAATGGGTAAACAAAATGTGGTATATACATACAACGAAATACTATTCAGCCTTAAAAGGAAGGAAATTCCAAAGCGTGCTACAACTTGCATGAACCTTGAAGGCATTATGGTAAGTGAAATAAACCATTCACAAAAAGACAAATACTGTATGATTCTACCTATATGAAGTATTTAAAGTAGTTAAATTCAGAGACAGAAAGCAGAATGGTGGTTGCGGGTGGAGTTACTGTTTAACAGGTAGAGTCTCAGGCAAGGTGAAGAGTTCTGGAGATGGATAGTGGTGATGGTTGCACAACAATGTGAATGTACTTAATGTGACTGAACAGTTAAAATGGTAAACTTTTATATGTATCGTACCACAATTAAGAAGAAAAGAGTTTTTTAAAAAAGTAGTTCTGAAGCTGGAAACACTGTATAGGCACCTGCAAGCTGCAGTGGACAGGATCTTCAGGTGGGGTGCAAAGCTGGGAAAAAGGCTACTTCAAGAAATCTGTACAGCAGTACCTGGGTGTTTTGTTTGTTTTTTACTTTGAATTGGCAGTAGTGGGAGGCCATTTGTAGAATTTACAAGAACCAGGTATTGCCTTTATGAGTGACTAAGTACATAAAGTGCTAGCACGCATGCCCTAAAAAAAGTTTGGTAACAGTCTGCTCCAATGTGCTCTTATTCTGTCCTTTAATGGTAAAAGTTTTAACAGCACAAACAGCTTTTTATGTAACATTTAGATATAAAAATACAGCTGTTTGTGGGTTTTGTTTTGATTCAACCTTACAGACCATCATTGTCTACGGCTACAGTTTTCAAACAATTGCTGAAGTTGTACGGGCACTACAGACATGCACATCCCACAAACTAGTCAGGTTTTGATCTTGAAGGGACTCTCACCAAGGTATATAAAACAAAACAAAAGGCCGGGCCTGGTGGCTCATGCCTGTAATCCCAGTACTTTGGGAGGCTGAGGTGGGCAGATCATTTGAGGTCAGGAGTTTGAGACCAGCTTGACCAATGTGATGAAACCCTGTCTCCAAAAATCCAAAAAAAATATTAGCTGGGAGTGGTGGCGCATGCCTGTAGTCCCAGCTACTCAGGAGGCTGAGGCAGGAGAGTCACTTGAACCCAGGAGGCAGAGGTTGCAGTGAGCCAAGATCGTGCCACTGCACTCCAGCCTGGGCGACAGAGCGAGACTGTCTCAAAAAAAAAAAAAAGAAAAGAAAAGAAAAGAAAAAAGAAAAAAATTCAGACACCTAGGTGAAGGGCACAATTTCCCAGAAGTACAAGTACTGGCTCTGGAAACCTCTACTTGCTTTTAGCGACTGATTCTAAACCAAGCCAACAGTTCACATTCTAAGCATAGTGCTGCGTGTCTTTCATGTATTTAAGATATCTTTTAAAAATATACAAGTCTAAGATATTTAGATCAGGCTTTATTCCTAACCTAATAAAACCCATTTTTGCCACTTTATGTGTTTTTTTTACACCTTCAGCATACTGAAACATTTTCCTGTTGCTAATTTTTTCTGCTGCAATAAAACAATTTCTGTACCAGATGAGATACTATCTTGATAAACACAGAATTCAAAGAACTTCAATCTATCAAAGTGGCACACAGCACTCTCCACAGAAAAAATTACAGGTTTTGGTACATAAGCCTTTTCTTGAAGTAAGTATGATCTTTCCATCTTTTCTTGGGACATTCTCTATTATTCCTTCATCACTGACTTGTGTTTATACACTGCTTTGTAATGCTAAGTACAGTATGCAATCCTGCTAGGTGTTCCTTTTCAAAAATAGTTTTTCTTGCTCTATTTATAAAAGCAATTCGTGTTTATTGCAGAAAATTGGAAAATACAGAAAACAGAAAAGGAAAGAATTACCCAAATTCCTACCACCTAAAAAAATTCACCTATTAACTGACACTTTATATTTCCTTCCTTTTAGTGTTCCTTTAATTTTTAACATTCAAATTTAATTTATTTACATTTCACATTACTAGTAATACCTTTCACTTCTGAAGTATCCTTAGTTTTCCAAGACCCCTTTACATCTACCATTTATCTTTACAACTCATCCATAGAGTGAGTCAGCCAAGTCCTATTTATTTTGCACACAATAGTTGACTTCTAGGGTAGAGAAGCTAAAAAGTTCTGTAAGGCTGCACTGCTGGCTTGTGGTACAAAATCATACTCATCTTCTACAAAATTATGTTCCCAAATCTTCAATGGAAAAAATAATAATGGTATCAATATGAACTGCTAAAAAGTTAAGAATACTCCTATTGATCTGAAGTAACCTAACACAATTCAACAAAACAGATGCTTCTTCACCAGGTAATCTAGCAACAGTCTGGATCATAATAGAGCCATATATGTAACAAAACTAAGGAAGAAAACAGGTCCTACAATTAAGCTCCATCTAGACCCCAACTAGTCCATATTGATAAGCAGAAGTCGGGAGCGATGGCTCACGCCTGTAATTCCAGCACTTTGGGAGGCTGAGGCAGGCGAATCACATGAGATCAGAAGTTTGAGACCAGCCTGACCAACATGGTGAAACCCTGTCTCTATTAAAAAGAAAAAAATCAGCCGAGCATGGTAGCAGGAACCTGTAATCCCAGCTACTTGGGGGACTGAGGCACGACAATCACTTGAACGCGGTAGGCAGAGGTTGCAATGAGCCGAGATTGTGCCACTACACTCCAGCCTGGGCAACAGAGTGAGACTCCGTTTCAAAAAAGAAAAAAAAAAAAGAAGTAGAGATTCAAAGACAGCATCAACTTTGTTGCTAACCGGTTCTCTGAACTTAAGCAAGTCATAATCAGTCATATTTTAGTTCCTCCGTATGTGGAAAGAGTTGGACCTGTTTGAAATGCTTGTTCCCCGGTGCCATAAAGAAACAGCACTTGAACATAAATTTAATTTATTTAGTAAGGCCATTTTTATTTCCTGCAGAAAAGGTACACTCGCCAGCAGTTTTGCCATGAGAGTACAAGGAACAAAGGAGACAGGGTCATTTATAACCTGATGCGTCCATCATACTGCTGTGTCTGGTTTCCATTGGCTGGAACGGGACCTCACATTCTGTATTTGTTCCGATTGGCTAGCAACTTAGAACTTTTTAAAAGAGGCAAAGGTGGAGGAGAACAAAGGAAGGAGGAAGTAACTTGTGGAATGCTGAGAAGGATAAAAACACTTTTAAATAAGGAAGAGAACAGGATATGACCTAATGCTTGCTTGGACCAGTATAAGCATGCCAGGGCAAATATTTAGGAGCACAGGTCTTTGAATAAATTTTGCTTCTAAGAGAAGTTACTATTTATTTCTAATCAGATGGGGAGGAAAGTCTTTGAAGAGGTACATCTACTTTTACTTTTTACAGACCTGACAAATTCTAGAGTCTTTTGCAATTTTTTAAATGTACATGATTCTGCGCTTGAACCCAGGAGGCAGAGATTGCAGTGAGCCGAGATTGAGCCACTGTACTACAGCTTGGGTGACAAAGCAACACTCTGTCTCAAAAAAAAAATAAATAGGCCAGGCACAGTGGCTCACGCCTGTACTCCCAGCACTTTGGGAGGCCGAGGTGGGTGGATAACAAGGTCAGGAGTTCAAGACCAGCCTGGTCAACATGGTAAAACCCCATCTCTACTAAAAAATACAAAAATTAGTCAGGCGTGGTGGTGGGAGCCTATAATCCCAGCTACTCCGGAGGCTGAGGCAGAGAACTGCTTGAACCTAAGAGGCGGAGGTTGCAGCAAGCTGAGATCATGCCACTGCACTCCAGCCTGGGTGACAGAGTGAGACTTCGTCTCAAAAAAATAAATAAATGAAAATAAACAAATGTGTATGATTCTACACATCTAGTTTTAAAAACGCTTTCAACAAACACATACATATTATGCAACTTTACGTAACTTTTTCTATGCTTGCCAAAAAACAACAAGATGTACCTATCCACAGATGTGGCTGTGCAGTAAGAATCCTAACCCAAACAGATGTTTGGCCTTTGCCCTTGGTTCCTGGGAGGTAATCCTTTCTTTTCCCCCCCTTCACATGGTCCAAGATGAGACTGGGAGGTAACCTCTAAGCCCTTAGAACGTCCACCTTATGGGAGCAGTGACTCACGCCTGTAATCCCAACACTTTAGGAGGCTGAGGCGGGCAGATCACAAGGTTAGGAGTTCGAGACCAGCCTGGCCAACATGGTGAAACCCCATCTCTATTAAAAATACAAAAATTAGCCGGGCATGGTGGCACACGCCGGTAATCCCAGCTACTCAGGAAGCTGAGGCAGGAGAATTGCTTGAACCCGGGAGGCGGAGGTTGCAGTGAGCCCAGATTGCGCCATTGCACTCCAGGCTGGGTGACAGAGCAAGAATCTGTCAATAATAATAATAATAATAATAATAATGTCCACCCTGTTAAGTGCTTTTGTTTACCTGGGGGCTTTGAGCCACTCCAGATAGTTTTGCACTGTGATTTAAGGTGAAGGGCTTTGAGCCATGTATTATCAACCTCCTGAAGGGCTGAAAACTAAAGGTCAACCATGCCAACAGTCAATCATATCTAAGTGACCAAGTCCCAGTACAAATGCTGGACACCAAGGCTTGGGTGAGCTTCCCTGATAGGCAATCTCCATGAGTAGTGTCACACATCAGTGCCAGAAGTTGGCACCGTCCATAACTTCGCTGGCAGAGGATAACTGGAAGTTTCGTAAGTGGACTCTTCTGTGTGCCCCATGCACCTCTTCCCTTGGCTGATTTTATTCTGTATCTTTTCACTGTAATAAATCCAACCATAAGTAAAAGCCCTTTCAGGAGTTCTTTGAACCCTTCTAGCCAATTATTTAACCTAAGGATGGTGTGGATCCCCAAACTTGCAGTTGATCTCATAAGTGAGGGTGGTCTTGGGACCCCAACTCCACGATGGCAAAACGGCACTGTCCTCCAGTATTCATTCTTCTTTCTTACTTTTAGTAATGGAACACCTCTCCCGCCCCTCTTAGCAGGAGGCAGAGTGGGCAACCAGAGACTACATTTCCCACGCTCCTCTCAAAATCGGGGGTGGCCATGTGACTAAGTTCTGGCCAAGGAGGTATGAGCAGAGTGATGTGTACAAAAATATGAACCATATTCCTAAAGAAAGCTGTTTACTTCTTTTTCTGGGATGCAGTTGTGAGGTAACCCAGCTTCAACCATGGGAATAAGGACAATACCCTATGGAAGGGCTAAGCACACAGAGAACTGTGGAACCCCTAAAACACTGAGGTGCTCACCTACTACGGACTGCCTATCTACCTCTGGACTATTACAGGAGAAAGAAAAACTTAAAAATTGTTTGTTCCATTGTATTCTGAAGTCCCTGTTACAGCAGCTTAGCCTGTACCCTAATGCATAAGTACATCTGAGCATTTTAATATGATTTTGATTCAATATCTATATAAATTAAAAATAGACAAACAATAAGATGTACTGTATAAAAAATATTTGGATATATTAAACCTGAAAATGTATAACAAACATTTGTATGTCCCAGTTTGAGGCTGATCTGATTAAAAGGAAAGCGTCTATCCCAAACAATTCAATACAACAAAGAGTTTTCTCTTATTCTTCTTGTTATTCATAACTACCAAAAAAAGATGCTTGATTTAACAAAATCAATAGTTAATACAAACTGAAGGGGGCTTCCTGAAACAACGACTAATGCTTTTCTTCCCTTCAATTACAGATTTCCATAGAAAGGGAAAGAAGTAGAGACACTGTTTTAATAAAGTACCTAGGAGGCTAGGCACAGTGGCTCACACCTGTAATCCCAAGACTTTGGGAGGCCAAGGCAGGTGGATCACCTAAGGTCAGGAGTTCGAGACCAGCCTGGCCAAAATGGCAAAATCCCATCTTTATAAAAATACAAAAATTAGCCGAGCGTGGTGGTGCACACCTGTAGGTAGTCCCAGCTACTCGGGAGGCTGAGGCAGGAGGATCACTTAAACCCGGGAGGCAGAGGTTGTAGTGAAACTGAGATCACACCACTGCACTGGCCAACACTGAGACTCTGTCTCAAAAAAATAAAAAATAGAAAGTACCAAAGAGAACTGCCTTCTCTAGTTTTCCAGAGTGCGGCCAAATCACCCACTTTCCAAACACCTTCCCCTCAATTTTCCTGCTTTCCTGTGTTCCAAACCACATGGCCCAATTGCATTTATTAAGCATCTCCACTAGGATGTTCTACACATCTCAAAGTCAGCATGTCCATAAGCAGGATCAAGCTACGAAGGAACACAAAAGAATGTTCTAGAGATGACATGATAAAAATTAAGAGTCTAGAGGAAGGAGGAAGAAGCCACTGATCTTCACTAAGGAGAAGTGGTATAATCTCACAGGAAAGCCAAATGATTATCTGTAGAAAAGTTCAAGGTTGCAATAAATCAGGGATTCCAAAGGCCACAGCAGAAGAGCTAGTAACAGGAAGAACAGAACTTAGCTGAAGAATAAAGGAAATAATATCAAAGAAGAGGGAAATATATCTAAAGCAGTAATTCTCACACGTGAGCATGCATCAGAATCACTAGCACAGGGCCTGTTAAAACACAAGATGCTGGGCCCCAACTCCAACGTTTCTGATTCAGTGAGTCTAGGGCAGGGCTGGAAATTTGCATTTCCAGCTGGACTGCGGCACACACTTTGAGAACCACTGGTTTTGCCTGTACCTAAAAATGTATCTATAGTGGTGATAATAGAGAAAAGGACAGTTCAGTGGTAACGAGAAAGGTTATATACAGTAGAGAGAATGATGCTACAACGTGTCCTAAGTAGAATGAATTTCACATCAGGAGTAATGCAATTCACCAGGTGAAGGTTTTAATTAGATTGCAGGCGACAGGCTGGGCACAGTTGCTCATACCTGTAATCCCAGCACTTTAGGAGACCGAGGTGGGCGGATCACGAGGTCAGGAGATCGAGACCACACTGGCCAACATGGTGAAATCCCGTCTCTACTAAAAATAAAAAAATTAGCCAGGTGTGGTGGCACTCCCCTGTAGTCCCAGCTACTTGGGGGCTGAGGCAGAAGAACTGCTTGAACCAGGGAGTCAGAGGCTGCAGTCAGCCGAGATTAGGCTACTGCACTCCAGCCTGGGTGACAGAGCGAGACTCTGTCTCAAAAAAAAAAAAAAAAAACAAAAAGATTACAGGCAACAAAATCTCGCCTGTCCTGCCCCCCACTTCCCCTTACCCCAAATTCCAGGTCTGAGCTAATGGTTTTTCTCCATTCACTTAGAATTTACTATAATCTATAGTTTTCAAGGTGAGTAAAATGAGAATAAACCACAATCCAAGGTTATCAGAGATTTGCATATAACTATAATATGAGATCTGTAATCCCAGCATTTTTGGAGGCCAAGGTGGGAAGATCTCTTGCGTGAGACCAGCCTGAGCAACACAGCAAGACCTCATCTCTACAAAAAAAATAAAAATAATAAAAAGAGCCAGGCATGGTGGCACACACCTGTAGTCAGGAGGCTGAGGTGGGAGGATCGCTTGAGCCTGGAAGGTCAAGGCTGCAGTGAACCACTGCACTTGGCCTGGGAGACAGAACAAGACCAAAAAAGTAAAAATAATAATAATAATAATAATAATACAAGATCCTGCATTATAGGCACTAATGGAATGCAATAAATGCACAGAGAAAACAGCCATAAATCTCATGTTCGAGAAGACACCCAAGAAAGCATCACTGAGAGGTAGATCTGAACTAAGAACAATCAGTAGGATTTTACAGGATAGAAGGTAGGATAGAAGGTAGGTGGGAAGGGGTGACATGAAGGCAAAGATTTCAGGAAGAAGAAAAATTCATAATTAAAAACATAAAAGGGCCGAGTGCAGTGGCTCACACCTGTATCTCAGCACTTTGCGGGGTTACGGCAGGAGGACTGCTCAAGCCCAGGAATTCGAGATCAGCCTGGGCAATGAAGTGAGACCCTTGTCTCCACAAAAAATTTGTTTTTAATTAGCCAGTCATGGTGGTGCACGCCCATGGCCACAGCTACTTGGGAGAGTGGGATGGGAGAACTGCTTGAGCCTGGGAGGTTAAGACTGTAGTGAGCCATCATCACGTCACTGCACTCAGGCCTAGACTATAGAGCAAGACTCTGCCTCATAAAAAATACAAAAAGATGTTTAGGACAACATTCTAGAACTTACCAGTATGTAGGAACATGGCCAGATGTAGAGGTAGACAAACTAAGGTAGGTGGAGAAATATAACAGAAGGCCTTGAATATATCATACTAAGAAGTTTAAACCTTACTTTGTAAGTTTTAAGCAAGTGTAAATTGGGTGGGAGAGTTTCTGGCTCCTGAGCCTAGCCTACACCATAACGTATAAATCTTAGCAGAAGTCCTCACCTTGTGCATTCCACCCACACAAGTCATTAGATCTCTGAACTCACAAGGTAACTGGCATAAACAATGACACATAACTAAAAACAAATCCCTCAGAGCAACTGCAATTCAAAAATATAGTCAAACTCTTTTTTTCTGGACCTGCTATCAGTTCCAGCATTCACAAATCCCTTTTCTCACAAATGCTTCTATTAAATGTAATTCCAAATAAACATAAAGGAAGCAGAAGTTGTCACTGCTTCTGGAATTTTCCCTTGCTTACACCAAGAATATATTTAAAATTATATACTTTTAAAAAAACAAAAACATTACAACATGCTACATTCTTCAAGACACCAGAAGTCTTATTCAATGTAACAATTTAGCACACTATAATCTCTGAGGAACAGTGAGTTCCAAGATAATTCAATATAATCTTCAAGTGACAATCTGAAATAAGATTAGGCATAAATAATATGCAAAAGAATATTAACCTCCAACACAGTAAACTTGAAGTGTTAGTAACTTTGACTCAAGTGCTAAAATTCAAAACAGCAATTAAGTTACTGAAACATTTTACAACCCTAACACAAATAGATTATCAATGCCTCCACCCTACCCATAAATATCTCACTTCATAATTTCTTCTTCCAAATAACTAATGAATAATTACGTACATCTAAAAGTACAAATTCAAGACCAATACCAAAATTCAGATTTTTTACAGCCAATTATTAAGCTTTAAAGTATCAAGTATACAGTTTATAACCCAAGCTACAAAATTTATGTAATTAAAACATTTAACTCAAGTGAATAACCCAAGTTTTAAATTATATTGTATCAATAAAAAAAATGTTATGTAGTAATTCTCAACAGAAGGCAATCCTTCTATCCATATTCAAATGCAACCTGTTCCAATTTTTAATACAACAGAGGTAACTGGGTTACTATCACTACTACTAGTTTTAGCTGTCATAAATTGAGCAAGTGTCTGTTCTCACTTCTTTAGCCAGCATTGTGTAATAAAGAATTTGGGGCCCAGGCACAGTGGCACATGCCTGTATACCAGCACTCTGGGAGGCCAAGGCAGGAGGATCACTTGAGGCCAGGAGTCTGAAACCAGCCTGGGCAACATGGGGAGATCCCTACACACACACACACACAAAAATTTAAATTAGCCAGGTGCGGTGGTGTGTGCCTGTAGTCCTAGCTACTGGGGAGGCTGAGGCAGGAGGATCACTTTGGCCTGAAAGCTGGAGGCTACAGTGAGCTATGATAGCACCACTGTGACACAGTGAGACCCCGTCCCTAAAAAAACAAAAACAAAAAAATTTGACTGGCCATTGTCTGATTCCTGGAAAACTCTACTCTTGGAGTCTCCCAACTGATAGGAGTGTCTTTGTTATCCATGAATCCATAATGGGTCCTCCTTGGCCCACAGCTGAGTTTCTATTAACAGGGTGACTCCCAGTAGGCCCCTAGTTTCAGGATGGGGCCTGGCCATGCTGGAAATGCCAACCATGTGAATAGTGGGTTGGGCTTTGAGCAACCTGACATCAGCCTAACAACTTGACCTCCAGGGAGAAGGGGACTGGGGACTGAGTTCAATCATACCTATGTAATAAAAGTCCCATAAAAACTCCAGATGCTGTAGAGTAAGTGAGGTTTCCTGGCTGGCAATCATTCACTGCTGTACTGGAAGGATGACACGTCCTGAGGACATGGAAGCTTCATGTTTGGGACCCTCCCAGATCTTGTTCTATGTGTCTCTTTAATTGGCTGGTCCTGATTTGTATCATAACTGTAATTCCAAGAACAGCACTTTCCTGAGGTCTGCGAGTCATTCTACCAAATTATCAAACGTGAGGTGTAGTGGGAACTCCGAAAGTTGTAGCCAGTTGGTCAGAGTGTGGATAACCTGCAAGTCCTGGAGTTTGTAGCTAATATAAGAAGTGAGGAGAGTCTTGCAGACTGTACCCTTAACTTACGATGCCTTACCTAACTCTGGGTAGCAGGTGCCCAAATTACACTACAGCTATAAAATAGGATATGCTGCCTTACTTCTCTTCCCAGGACTCTTAAGAGAATTAAATGAGAAAAAAGTTAGGTAAAAGCACTCTTTAAGATATAAAACGTTGTGTTTGCTTCGGCTGCACATACACTAAAATTGGAATGACACAGAGAAGATTATCATGAGAAAAAATTCTGTATTAAAAAATTTACACTTTGGGAGGCCGAGGCAGGCGGGATCACCTGAGGTCAGGAGTTCGAGACCAGCCTGGCCAACATGGTGAAACCCCGTCTCTACTAAAAATACAAAACCCAGCTGGGCGTGGTGGCAGGTGCCTGTAATCTCAACCACTTGGGAGGCTGAGGCAGGACAATCGCTTGAACCTGGGAGGAGGAGGTTGCAGTGAACCAAGATCATGCCATAGCACTCCAGCCTGGGCGACAAGGGCAAAACTCCGTTTCAAAAAAAAAAAAAAAAATTTTTTTTTTGTTACGGTCTTTAAGATATTGAAGAAGAAATTGTTAAAACATTTGTAAAGTTCAGAACTGTCCAGGTTAAATGCTTTAAAAAAAAAGGCTTAAAATAAAAAGCTAAGGAGTCATCAAGAAATTGAATTTATTATGAGTAAAATACAGAACTTAATGAAAACCATTTAAAAGAGCAAAAAATCTAAGTAGTTTCAACTACATAACTCAGACCAGTGCCTAAAAGATAAAAATGCATTAAGTCCATTCCTAGAAATAGCAAATGTAGAAATGATGGAGCTTAGAGAATGTAAGATGCAGCCATTATTTTGTGACTAAACCTCCAAAAAGTTCATTTTAGCCTTGGGTATGATCAGGAATGACTGAGGTCAGTAAGCAACACTTTGCTTAATAGGCTATGAGTTTGAATACGAACTACTCACATCACAACCAACTTTTTTTGCCCATCACTACCTAATATTTTAATTCAAGCACAAAGCCATGGGACCCGACTAGTCTTTAAAAGGTTTCTCAAAGCATCCTATGTGGATAAGGCAGTCTCCTGCCTATATGAGAAAGTATCATTTTCAACTGCATTATAATAGAGGACAAAATTTTTTTCTATTATGTTCCAATGATAAAATCAAGACTTTAAATCGTAATTTTACAAGAACATATCGTTTTATTTTCCACCCTCTTGAATATGAGATACTAAGTGTTGCTGGTCTTTCCCTCAGTAATGCAGGGAACAGTTTGGTGTAGCAGGGGGAAAAAATGGCCTTGGGGGGAAAACCTAGGGTCTCATCTTATTTCTCCTCTTTAGCAGGCAAATGACTCTTGGGGTCTCACTTTCCTCCAGTAAGATATAATGGCATTGCCTCTGGAGTCTGTAAGATTCTTCCTACCCCTGACATTCTGAGGTGTTGAGAAGCCAATAACTCATAATTTAGATATTCTTACAAATTAAAAAAGCCTTGCAAGGAAATGTCAGAAACCATTAAAATTTATGTAAAAACATCCCACCTATGTGTTCCTCCTTATTGAAGGAGATCCAGGTAAAGATCTCCTATGTAGGCTATTATCCTTAGCAAACTAACACACGAACAGAACACCAAACACCACATGTTCTCACTTGCAAGTGGCAGCCAAATGATGAGAACTCATGAACGCAAAGAAGGGAGCAATAGACACTGAGTCTACTTAAGCGTGGAGGGTGGGAGGAGGGAAACGAGCAGAAAAAGTAACTATTGTGTATCAGGCTTAATACCTGAGTGATGAAACAATCTGTACAACAAACCCCCATGACACTAGTTTATCTATATAACAAACATTCATATGTACCCCAGAACCTAAGATAGAAGTTTAAAAAAAAAATTGCCCCATAGTCAGCAGGAAACACATCACTAGTAACTTTTACTAAATATTTACTTGCTACCTCCAATTTAGCCCTGAGCAAACTTAAGACATTTATGTTTTCTTAAATCTAATGTATTATATGCAAAACCTTTTCAAACTATTTACAAAGCTGAAGCACCAAGACACATGATTCTTTGACTTATTTTTAATGACTTTTAAATATGAGAAAAACATTAATTACGATGCAAGTCATCATCCTATTAAAACATTTCACTTATAATACAAGCATTTAAGTATAGTAGTAGTAGTTAAATCTAAAAAAAAAACAAAAAATTAGCCATAAATAATGATGAAGCTGCCAGTAGTTAACAACACACACTCACAAATAATGAGATAAATTTAACGGCAAGCTTCCAAACAAAAACCTTGTCATTTTAAGGTGTCCCACAGCAGACCGGTTATGACCTCGGGAACTGGCCTGAAATCTTGCCTCCTTTCTTGTGTAACCAGCCAAATAACAACACCTCTCTAAATCTGTTTCTTTATAATGGTGCCAACCTTATACGGTAGCTGTAGATATTAATTAAGACACTGCACCTAGGAAAGAGCCTAGCACACAGTAAATAATAACTCACAATTATTAAATTTTGGAAGAAATGTTACACAAAGCAGCAGCCCTTTGACTTTTAAAAAAAAATTTACACCTAGGGTTTAGGATCCTATTACTTGTTAAAGTTCAGACTGAGAAATGAAATAACAATCCTACAAAGAAGCATTTTACTAAGGACAAGTGAATTTAAAATAACTGGTATTATGCAAGTTCAATTACCACAGGCAGAATCTTAGTTTATGAGAATAATTCAAGTTGTATTAGCTGAAAATATCTATTATTACAAAGTCACTGTCTCCATCAATTCTTTCTTCTCTTATTTCTGTATCTGCTAAAGAAAAATAAATCATTATGAAAAGAACAGAAAGATACAGAGCACAGCTGGGTTACTTTAAGTTCCAATTAATAACCAAATATAATCTGAGGGGAAAAACCCAGTGAAAGAAGGGAGAAACTGAACACAACTAAAGATGATAAAAATTTCCTTCCCAAATACTACAAGACTCATATTTCAACTGGATCTTCAAGGACTTTCCTGTCTGAAGACACGAAGCCTCCAGCAAGTCCTTTCATCACCACAATCAGATCTCCAGCTGAACTTCAAAGGGAACTCTATAAAAGCCACTCTGGTGGGCGGTTGTTGAGATAATCACTCTTAGCATCTTCTACAGATTGAAAAATAAAAAACCTGACTTACACATTAAGACCAAACACCAGTCACCATTCTCAACAGTTTATTTTTTAATTTGCTCTAGACATCCACAAAATGTATTTTTTAAAGGCGTTCCATAAATACAATTTTGGTGGCTAACAAAAATTCAGCACCAAAGTAATAAATATAAAATTTAGCCAGACACAGTGGCTCACACTTGTAATCCCACCATTTTGGGAGGATGAGGCAGGAGGATGAGGCAGGAGACTGTAGCCCAAGAGTTTGAGACCAGCCTGGGCAAAACAGTAGGACCCCATCTTTACAAAACATTAAAAGACTAGCCAGGCATGGTGGCACATGCCTGTAGTGCAGGCTACTCGAGCGCCTGAGGCGGGAGGCTGGCTTGAGCCCAGGAGGTTGAGGCTGCAGTGAGCCGTGATCACACCACTGCATTCCAGCTTGGGCAACAGAGCAAGACCCTGTCTCAAAAAATGTTAAAAAAGAAAAAAATTCAATTAACCCACCTTTATCTCATGCCAAAATACAAAATCCTAAGTGAACAAGCTAATTTCAAATAGTTCCTAGAAGGTTTAAAATTTCCCTGTTCTGGGCTGGGACCAGTGGCTCACGCCTGTAATCCCAGCACTTTGGGAGGCTGAGGCGGGCGGATCACGAGGTCAGGAGACCGACACCATCCTGGATAACACGGTGAAACCCCGTCTCTACTAAAAATACAAAAAATTAGCCGGGCGTGGTGGCAGGTGCCTGCAGTCCCAGCTACTCGGGAGGCTGAGGCAGGAGAATGGCGTGAACCCAGGAGGTGGAGCTTGCAGTGAGCCAAGATGGTGCCACTGCACTCCAGTGTGGGCGACAGAGCGAGACTCCATCTCAAAAAAAAAAAAAATTACCCTGTTCTAAGCACTTTACATACATTAACTCAATTATTACTCACCATAATCCTGTGAGGTAGGTATTATTACAGTCATCCTACAGATGAGCAGAACTGAGGCACCACCAAGTTATTAACTTGCCCACAGTCTCAATCAGTAAATGGTGGGAGCCAGAGAATTCTGACCCTAGCTGTCTGATTCCAGAGCCAATATTTAAATCAACTATACTATTCATTTACTCAACAAGTTTTACTGACAGCCTACTATGTACCAGGCACAGTTCTAAGCACTGGGGATAAAGCTGTGTACAAGTCAGACAAGACCTCTGCTCGCTTGTTGAGAACAGGGCTGGCAGCAAACAAGTCTAAGGGGGGAAATAAATAAGTGGGAAAAAAAAAACAGTGTATCTTCACCTAGTAATAAATGCTATGGAGAAAAAGAGAATAAAGAATAAAAGATTATAAAGGAAGGGGCTGGTTCCTATTTTAGAATTAGAAAAGGCCTGAGGCGATGACATTTGAGCAGAAACACAAGACAAGACATGAAGAGCCTTGACCACTTAGAGGAAGGGGTGGTCCAGCTAAAAGAATAGTAAGTATAACATCCTAAGGAAGAAACACTTTGTTCAAGAACCGGCAAAATGACTATGGGACTGGGGTAGGTTGCTGAAAGTCAGTCACCTAGTAAGAGGTAACGTTAGAAGCTGGCAGCTGCCAAATCATGCTATGCCCTGATGGCGACTAAGATTCAAATGTAAGTGGTTCACAGGATGCTTTTAGAGGACACTAAGCAAGAAAGTGACAATCTGATTTACATTTTTAAAAAGATCCCTCTGGTTGTCAAGGTGAATCCCTAGGGAACAGTCAGGGAGCAAGAGAAATAAACCAGTAAAGGCACTATGGAAACACTCCAACCAAGAGATAATGGAACTTAGACTAGGATTCATGTACTGTTTATAAGTAGATGCTAACAGAAGAGCCTGCAACCTAATTGCCTCTAAAGAGCCTTTTTAATATCCCTTTTCCCGTCTCGTCTCCTGACTTGCCTTTGGAAAAAAATAAGATTATTTTTTAATGTCCATGTTAACGCTTCAGTTGGTGCTATTATAGTAAAAAAAAACTTTTCATTTTTAAATGTTCTGTTTAATATACTCTATGATTAGTAATACGCCACATATACACACCCATACATTCTTGAAAAGCAGAAAGACCCACAATGCTCTTTAGTGTAGGACTTGTTCATTTATTTGGAGACGAGAGGTACCTGTCACCTCTTCTGATTACCTTTCCTCTCACGCTTTGTCTCTAGCACATCCTGGCTCATTCTAGATTGTGAACTGCAATAAACAGGTATACCAAAGGGAATATGTATTTACTGAGCACCTCCTGAGTACCATGGTGTCACTAGATGTCTCACGTTTAAGAACTGATTTAATCCTCAGCTACCCAAGGTGGGAAATGGTATCTTCATTCTACAAACGAGAAAAAATCAGAGATACTAGTAACTTAACTTGTCCAGTCACCAGCTAACAATTTGTAGGGCCAGAAATCTAACCTCCATGTAACTGTGAACTTCCTGTCTTTCCACTACAGCAGCTATCAAAGAAAGTGCTTTCAAATATATATTATATGTAGTCACTGCAACTTCTTATGAATAATGACCAGTTTGTTGCTGGTGAGGACAACGTTTCCTTAATGCTCTTATGTAGAATCAGAGTTTTGAAGTTGCGAGTGGGAAGTTGGAAATGTAGTGATCTTATATATTCAAGCACATTATTTTTTAAAAATTATGTTCTACTTGAGACCTCATAGAAATTAATTTTAAAAGAGCAATTCCCATCTTTACAAAAAAAATTAAATATGTACGGTTTACCGTAAAATAGCGGTTAAGGTTCTACAACAAAAGATAGGAGTTTGGTACAGACTCTACCCTCAAAAGGTCCTACACAGTAAGAGAAGACAGGGCTAAAAAGATAAACGCAACACAGGAAAAGGCGCAAATAGCCTAAGAATTGAATGGAAGAGAGCCTTGTATACTGGAGAATGATTCCTGGAAGAGGAACTTTAGGTGAGCTCTTAAGTGTCCAGTACAGGAAGGCAGGGAACAATACGCAGCACTGGTCCCTGCACGGGCAAACCCAAGAATATGTGTGAAAGGTTGGTGGACAGATAGATGGTTCCCACAGGCTGATTTGCTACATACAGAACTCCATAGAAAGAACCAAGGTTATGGTTGGTCCTACCCTACCTAAACAGGAAATGGCTTATTCTCGGAGACTAAAGTGCCAAGTCCGGAAAGACCAGACAGATACACAGAATTACAGACTGTTACATAAAGTCCTTAATAGTTACAAGCCCTTGTTGTGCTATGTGCTAGTCTGCATTATTTTCACCTAAATGAAACCATTTCTACTTAGTACATGGCGTGAGAAGACGTGGAGATAAAGAGAATTAGCAGACGTATATTATCTGCAATTTATCTTACGGAGGAGTACATTAAGGAGTGTTATGTGAGATTATTTCTTTACAAACTGAGAATAGGTAGGAAGAGCAGCGAAACACAGCGCGGCTCGGTGCGCCCAGAGCGGCGTCACTGTAACAGTACAGAAGTGGGCAAGGGGCTCTCGGAAGGACAGTTGGGGAACGGCGCCCAGCGTATTTAGCGAACGGACAAGCAGCAAGGAAAAACAAGGGAGCAACAACCGCCTTCGGACATTCCGACCGGTTCTGGGATGCACCGGGGACGTCGAAGGCGGGGTGCGGAAAAACGCTGTGGCTGGAGTGCGGGTGGGAGCGGCGGCTCGACCGGGTCGACATTCTACAAACGCTTGTGGAACGAACGCCCGAACGCGCGCGTGAATGAATGGCGCGGAACTGAATGGCCGGCCGAGGCGCCGGCGCAGGAGGAAGGAGTTTGCGGCGCGGTCTGACCGGGCCGGCGGGATGCGGCCGGGCGCGGAGGGAAGGGCCGCTGCGCCAGGGGTCGGCGCGGGGCGGCCCATGGGGCTGGCGGCGGCGCGGGGCCGGCCGCGCCATGACGGAAGGGAAGGGGAGGGGAGGTCACACATTACATAACCCGGCGGCTGCGAGCGTCAGGGGAAGGCGCCGTGGACAGCCCAGGCCGCGACAGGACGGCCGCGGGCCGGGGCCGGGGCGACGCACCCCTCCCCCGCGCCACCTCAGGCCGACCGCGCTCTGGCCGCTGCCGGGCGGGTCTGCGGCGCCTCCGGGCGACGCGTGTCCGATCCCGCCCCTCCCCCACCCCGCCGCCGGCCCGGGGGTCGCTCACCTTCCGCGTTGCCCCAGACCACCATGCCCGGGCCCGGCGGCCTTCTCCGGCCTTGCGGACCCCGGCCCCGCCGCCGCCAGTGCCCTCGCCAGGGACCAGGGAGGAGGGCCGGGGGAAGGCAGCCCCACCGCTGAGCAGCGCCGCGGTCCACGCTCCCCCACGCTCGCGGCAACCAACCCCGCGCGCGCTCCGCGGTGGCTCTCCGCCCCTCCCCCTCCGGTTAGCGCGCGCGCCGCAGCCACGCCCCCTAGCGTTCCGCGCGCGCTCCCCGGCCCCGCTCGCGCTCACAGCCGCGCGGCGCACGCGCTCTGCTCCCCCCGGCCCGGGGCGACCCCAGCCTCGGGCGTAGCACCGCGGCGCCCGGCGTCGGCCTCCGTGTTCCTCCCCTCCCCGGCCCCGCCCTGTTGTTCTGCAGCCGCCCGCAAGGGGCAGCGCCTGGGCGGCACGTGACCGTCTCGCTAGCTGGGCGGAGGGGAGCGCAGCGCGGGCCCGCCCACGCACTGCGCCGCCTGCCCGCCCGTCCTGCTCCGGTCACCCCCGCGCTTCGTTGACCGGGTCGCGGCTCTTCGGTTGCCATTCGGACAGCGCGCCGCTCCGTGCACAGCGAGTCCCCGCGCCTGCCCCGCCTTGGGGCTCCCCAGTGGGGAAGGACACAAGTGCAGACACTGACCGGGCTTCAAACCCCGGTACTGTGTGAAGATGCGCCAGACGCCCGGGTTCCCTCCTTAAGCAATTGATTTACAGTGACATCTAGTGGAGAAAGGGACACACATGAACTGACATTTTCCTATGTCCAGAGCAACCGAGAACCACGGCCCACTCAGGTTCGCGGGAAGGAGCACTGCGCCACGGCGTTTTCGGGATTCGTGGCCTGCTCCCGCAGGGCACAGACACTATCTTCTGTCCTTTGAGTGCCCGGGCAGCATTGCGCCTGAGTATTTGTAAACGGAGGGCCGGTATCCCATCCCATGTACAGCGCTGGAGTTACCCGAGAAAGCAGTTTTCTATGAATATAAAAATAATATCCTATATTATGTATGCGTAAGTACAATTCTAATTGAGGGCCTTCTAGCAGAAAACAATCCGTCCATAAGGACCACTTTCTCCCTCTTGGCAGGGTCGCTTTGAAGACTCCACATTGTTACATAATAGTCTTTATTGTTGTAATGCACAAACATGAAGATACTTTTTTCCCACTCATTCCCTTGCCTAAAATGCTTCAGAGTTTGCAGGTACTTAGGAAACAATCAGTATTCTTTTGAAAACTGATTTGCAGAGTTGGAACTTGTTTACTAGCAACACAGAGAATACTCAAATAGCTCATTTCTTTCCCTTTCAGTTTTTTGCCATTTTATAGACTTCTATAAATGCACTTCAACTTCAGTATTCTCGTCGCTAATCCAACGAATTTAGATTGCATACTTTTCAAAGACGTCATAATTTAAAACAAATTGCGTAATTGCTTTCTTTTCTTTTCTTTTCTTTTGAGACGAAGTTTTGCTCTTTTGCCCAGGCTGGAGTGCAATGGCGCGATCTCGGCTCACTGCAACCTCCGCCTCCCAGGTTCAAGTGATTCTCCCACCTCAGCCTCCCGAGTAGCTGGGATTACAGGCATGCGCCACCATGCCCGGCTAATTTTTGTATTTTTAGTAGAGAGGGGGTTTCACCATGTTGGCCAGGCTGGTCTGGAAGTCCTGACCTCAGGTAATCCACCAGCCTTGGCATCCTAAAGTGCTAGGATTATAGGCGTGAGCCACCGTGCCTGCCCATAATTTTAACAGACTCACGACCAGTTGCCGACTGCAACACCAGGAGGTCATCTGCTGAGATGCTACAGAAAAACAGTGGTAACCCCTTGTTATGGGTGAGTTTTGTTTTGGTTGTTGTTCTTTTGCTTGTTTTAAATGTCTAAATGGCAGCATTCCTGCACGATTGTATTTCAATTTTCTTTTCCACTCTCGTATTCAAACCGAAGATCTTTTTTTTTCTTCTTTTTGTATTTTTCTCAAGGAAGAAACACAAACCTTGAGCCAACTGACCTTGGCAATACCTTTATAGAATACAGTAAAATGGTATTAACTGCAAACTAGTAGGCAGCCTCTGTAAAGGACGAAAAAAAATCACGTTGCTGTCTACATAAAATAGGATAAAAAGAGAGATGGGGAATACATAAATAAAAATGTATTTATGGACAAATTCTAGCATCCTTGTGACAGGGTCTTGCTCTGTTGTCCAGGCTGGAGTGCAGTGGCAAGATCATAGCTCAGTGTAACCTCAAACTCCTGGTCCCAAGCGAACCTCCCACCTAGGTGTTCCAAAGCACTAAGATTACAGGCATGAGCCACCTCACCCAGTCCAAAGTTTTATTTTTGTCCATTCCAGAATATTATGTTTTATGCCATCACATAATGAAGTCCTCTTGTTTCAATTTCATGCACCTACATTTATTCACCCACTTATCTATTTATATTTATTCTCATAGGATTATCTTTCTCATGTAAGGGGAGTCAGGCTGACCTTTGGGCCACTCTGGGGGTCTAGAGATGGCCGCGCTGGACCCCTACACTTGGGGGAGTGCTTTGGGGCACTGTACCTTATTTCCGTTTTCTGAACCTCATTAAAATTCATTTCATTACTGCTATCTCAAAAGGCCTATGAAAGTGCCAACCACTGACCTTTGGAGGGACAGCCATGGATAAGGACATGACTTCTGTCCTTTCACCTCTGTATCTGGCAGTAAACTTTCCTTGGAAACATTTACATCTAGTCTCTCAAATACCAAAAACAAACAGCATGAAACTACTAAAAACAGAGGTTTGTACTCAAGTCCCTTGGCTGATGTAGACACAATAACATGTGATTTACTCCATAGGAAAGAGTGTGCTGATTGTAATAAGGATTCAGTGCATTATGCTGAAAGATGAAATAATAAGGCAGAATGATCTCACACCCACAGAAACTTAGGAAATTGGCAGTGGAATTGGTTCACCAAGACTGAACTCTTTCAAACATACCATCATGTTTGACAATATGACTGAACTCTTTCAAACATACATGGACAGGTGTATATATCTGTATTTAAGCAACACTGTTCACAGATTTTAGGATGATGCAACAATCAGTTATCATGTACATTCTATATGCCTGTCCCTGTGCCAGACCCTGTAGGGTCAACAGTGGACAAAATACATTGCCTGCCCCCAAAAAGCTCCCAGTGTAGTGAAGGAGGCAAACAAACAGGTACCTGCAGTACAGGCTCAGGGCTGTTACTTGAGGGCAATCTATGAAGCACACAGGACAGGTGTCAGGGAGGCTTCCTAAAAATGTGACATCTCAGTAAGTTCTGAGAGACTAGTCCAGTTGGTTAGGAAATGCCATTTCCAGAGGGAGCGAGATGTGCAAAGGCAGAGAAAGGAGAGAGAACAGGGAACATTTTAGAAACTGCAGAGTGCAAAGTGCAGAGTGGTGTGGGCTGTGGGGAAGGGTCCATGTTGAAAAGGGAGGTTGGGGAGGCAAGTAGGGTCCAGCGCATGAAGGGCCTGGTGTTAGTCTGTTCTCACGCTGCTGTAAAGAACTTCCCTGAGTCTCAGTAATTTATAAAGGACTGAGGTTTAATTGACTCACAGTTCCACATAGCTGGGGGGGGCCTCAAGATACTTACAATCATGGCAGAAGGGGAAGCAGGCACCTTCTTCACAAGGTGGTGGGAGAGAGAAGAGAAAGCAAAGGAGGAAGACCCCCTTATAAAACCATCAGATCTAGTGAGAACTCACTCATTATCACAAGAACAGCATGGGGGAAACCGCCTCCATGTTCCAATCACCTCCGTCCTTTGACATGGTGGCGAGGGGATTACAGGTCCCTCCCTCGACATGAGGATTAAAATTTGAGATGAGATTTGGGTGGGGACACAGAGTCAAACCATATCAGGCCCCATAAAGTATCTTACTGCATTTTGACTGTATTCTGAGGGTGCAATGAACCCTTGAAAGGTTTTAGGCAATAAAGTGAGTTTTGAAAGTCTCTCTGGCTGATGCATGGAGAATGGGTTTGAGAGGTGGTCACGGGGTCTTGCAATAGTCCATGTGTACAGGTGCAGCCTAGAGAAATTAGGGGGCTAGATTTCACCAGGGTAGGGGGTCTGTAAAGCAATATAATGAAACAAGAAGAAGGCAAGGAAGTTGAGGGTGTAGGCAAGTGGGAAATCATAATGATTGATTGTGGAACTTAAGCTGAAGGGGAGAGAGCACATGCCAAGGGTAGGTGGAGGTTGCTGAAAGATGATATCAATGGGCGGGGGCTGAAGGGCAGGCATGGAGGTTGTTTGAAAGGCTCTTTGGAGTCAGGTATTAACATTACATTACATGTGGCAATGACAAGATTGCAGAGGGAGTTAGTGGCTGAGATACAAGGGAGGACAAAGTCATGGAAGAGAGAAGTTCAAGGATATGAGGGGCCAGAGTGAGAGAAAGATCATCTCTGTGTATATCGAAATCATCAAGAATAAAGACTGGAGTCGTGTTGGAGCAAGGGGCAGTGAGCCAGAATACGATCTTGATGGCTCCAGGTCAGAAGGATGAACATCATTCAGTATATTCCATTCTAATATAGTAGTGGTCTTAGGACAGAGGTTCCCAAACATTCTCTGTTCATGGCATCCTTAGTACCTCAGTAATTTTTTCCCAGCATCCCTAAGAGTTTTGCCAAAAGCTATATCTAACAGTTTTGCTTATTAAATAGGTAGGGCCAGGCCAGGTGCGGTGGCTCTAGAGTGGTAATTTTTTTTACCAAGTGGATATCCTCTTCAGCAATCTTTCACCATATGGTTTCAGCATCTATTAATGATTCTGGCCTGAATAAACCATTTTATTGATGTCTCAGTCTATTTTGATTGCTGTAAAGGAATACCTGAGTCTGGTTAATTTATAAAGAAAAGAGGAAGGCTGGGCACGGTGGCTCACGCCTGTAATCCCAGCATTTTGGGAGGCCGAGGCGTGTGGATCACTTGGGGTCAGGAGTTTGAGACCAGCCTGGCCAATATGGTGAAACCCCATCTCTACTATAAATACAAAAATTAGCTGGGCATGGTGGCAGGCGCCTGTAATCCCAGCTACTAGGGAGGCTGAGGCAGGAGAATCGCTTGAATCTGGGAGGCGGAGGTTGTAGTGAGCCAAGATCCTGCCATTGCACTCCAGCCTGGGCAATAAAAGCGAAACTCTGTCTCAAAAAGAAAAGAAAAGAAGTTTATTTGGCTTACAGGTCTGCAGGCTGTACAAGAAGCATGGCTCTGGTATCTGCTTTTGGTGAGAACCTCACTCAGGCTGCTTCCAGTCATGGCAGAAGGCAAAGGGGAACCAGCATGTCATTCCAAGAGAGGAAGCAAGGGAGAGCGAAGTCCCAGGCTCTTTTCAAAAATCAGCTCTCTCAAAAACTAATAGAGCAAGAACTCATTCATCACTTTCAGGATGGCACTAAGCCACCAAACTGTTCTTAAGGATCTGCCTGCATGACCCAAACACTTCCCACTAGGCCCCATCTCCAGCATTAGGGATCAAATTTCAACATGAGTTTTGGAGGGGACATACATCCAAACTATATCTAGTGGGTTGCAAAGGATGTTTTCCTAATTCCATAATTCCTTCTGCATTTATTAGTTGGCATTCTTCAAAGAACCTCCCATACTAACTGGGATAAACTATAATTTCTTCTTAAAAAGCAGCCAAGCAGAGTCTCAGCCTCCTGGATATCAGCTATTGTTCCTAGATGTGACTCTGATGGGCCACTTTCCTACCTCTTGCTGACTCTTAAATTGGACAACTTCCGCCTCTGACTCAGCATTTGAAATTAATTTCCCATGTGGGAATTTGCAAATAATCCTTACTAACAATTGATGTGTGCAGGACGGCCCAGCCACTGGCTTTCCCTGATAATCACAGCGATGACCCCAAGAAGTGCCCAAAGTTTGGTTATGTGTGACTAGTTTGTGTCTAAAAATGAGACCAAATGGTGCTTCTAAAAAATTCCAGTGACTTTCCCAAAGCTTTTTTGCTGGTCGTTTTCACACAATAGGTGTTTCATTTCTAAATTGTTGTATACTCTGATTTGGTCTTTCTGTGTTGCTTTGTTTATCATTTATTTTTCCCTTCAAGGTAAACGTGCTTCTTCCTATTTTGAAATCTTTCAAGTTTCACCTATATCTCTGTTTATTTGCTGAATACTCCTGAGACAATAATATCTGGGCTTGGCGCTCTGCTTGGCTGAAATGCATTCTGCCTGTTAATCATTTCTACTATCAGCACCCTTTAACTTAGCCTCCTGGATATCCGCTATTGTTCCTAGATGTGACTCTTCATTTTGGCAATTCTCTACTCTCTCCCTCTGTGAGTAATGAAATTGTCTTTTCAAAATCTAGTCTGTCTTTATCTCTTTTGTACTTTGAACCCTTCTTTTTCCCTGTGTAATAATATTTTATGTCTGTGTATATGGTTAAAAAGCCCATGATTATGAATACTGCTTGCAATATTGAGCCTCTTGATTTTTAAAATATTTTCCTGATTAAACTCATATATCATGATTAATTCTGCTTGTCTTTTATAATTCTCTTATCTTTATTCTGGCTTCTTCATATTATTTTTCTTAAAAGTCCAGAAACAAAAGTCTTCTCTATTGTTTTTTCTTTCTCTTTCTTTCCTTCTTTCTTTTTTTTTTTTTTTTTTTTTGAGATGAAGTCTTGCTCTGTGGCCTAGGCTGGAGTGAGTGGCATGATCTCGGCTCACTGCAGCCTCCACCTCCCAGGGTTCAGTGATTCTCCTGCCTCAGCCTCCCAGGTAGCTGGGATTACAGACACGCACCAACAAGCCCAGCTAATTTTTGTATTTTTAGTAGAGATGGGGTTTCATCATTGTTAGATATGAGTTCTAAATGTCTTTTCAAAGAATCAATATGTCAGTATGTTCAATTCTTTACCTTCTACTTTTAAACTTAACTTCCTCATAAAGCAACCTGTTCCATCCTGATTCATTTCAATCAGCTGCTCCACCCCGACTCATTCTGATTACCTGCTCTGTCATAACCATTTTTCCTGCCAAACCAGTCACCCCATCACTCTCTTTAAATTAGCCAATCGGAATTAGTTTAGCCTGTGTGGTCTAACCCTAGCCAATAGGGGAATGACACAGCAACAGGGGCCACATGCGTCAGGGATAAGAACCCCTTCCCCTCCCTTGTCCAAGTGTGCGCTCACCATTGCTCCATCTCTAAGGGTGCACCCTTCTATAGAAGTACCTTGCCTTGCTGAGAATTAAAAAGAAAATTTTATATTCAGGTGCTATTTCTTTTGCGGCACCAAAACTTTATATATAACACTTTGGGGGCTCACCCGTGATTACATTCCCCTCCTGGGACGGTCTCTGGTTCTCTCTCGTGAGGAGGCATGCGTCCCGCCCCTTGTGGTGGCCTCAGGGGTGAGAAATCAGAACCCACCCAGTGTGAGGAATAACCCAGCTCTCAGCAATGTGGGGGGAAAGAAAAAAAACAAAACTGGCCAGCAGTGTAGCTTAAAGGATCCTCACAAACTGTAGCGATGACTCTGTGCACAGCCCAAGGAAGGAGAAGCTGCAGGAGCCGGTAAAGTATTTCCCTGGTGTTCGGGACCAAGGTAAGAAAGCTTCAGGAGGTGTAGGGGGTGAGGTACTCCTTGGTCGGGTTGGCTTAGAGGTTAAAAAAGAGGCAAGACATCCCCATTGGGGGCATTTAACTTCACACAAATCTCCAGTAGTACAAAAGGTAAGAAATTTCCAGTGGGGAAATTGAGCCTCACCCCAAAAGGCAAGAAATTTCCAGTGGGGGGAGCCTCACCCCAAAAGGCAAGAAATTTCCAGTGGGGGAAATTGAGCCTCACACCAAAAGGCAAGAAATTTCCAGTGGGGGAAATTGAGCCTCACCCCAAAAAGTGAGAAATTTCCAGTAAGGGAAATTGAAACTTGAACCTTACCCCAAAACCATCAAGATGGGAAATACCCCAAGCAAGACAGGGAGCAAGGGGAATAAAGATGGTAACAAATATATCCCCCAGATAACACCCTAGGTCTCATGCTAAAACACTGGAAAGATAATGAAAGGATGAAACATAGGAAAAAGCAACAAATGATAAAATATTGCTGTTTTATTTGGACTCAGGGACCCATCCTCAGACCCTCAATTTTCTGGCCACAGTTTGGGTCAAATGAGGATGTAATGTGTCAGCTTCTAATCTGATATGTTAATGATAAAAGCCCAGTGTCTCAACAAGAACTAGGCTATGCCCTTTGTTGGAGGCAAGGACCTGCCCTCCTTTTCCCTTAAAAACAAATAGGGAGGAACCCAATCTGGCACCTCAAAATGAAAAGTCAGAGGAGCCAGCTCTCATGCCTAAAGACTCCAGCGCATGGGATCCCTGAGACTATCTCCCCCACTCATTGTCCCCAATCTTTCCCCTCAGACAGCCACTACTGCCTCAGATCCCATTCCAAATTCCCCCTCTTCTCACGTTATCCCTCCTTCTTATAACCCTGACACTTGGGAATTACCATCCCATCTCAGCCTGTTCCTTCCCAACCTAAATACCCCTTTCTAAAAGGACTCCAGCATGAAGTAGAACTATGTAAAAAAGATATTCAGAATTTCCCATTTCCCTCCATACCTAAGAGGTCAGCCCCGACTCTCTTCCCTTTGAAAGAGGTACCACAAGGAGGGGGCACCATTGGCTTTGTAAATGCTCCCTTAACCAGTTCAGAAGTCTGGAATCTTAAAAAGGAGCTTAAACCGCTAGTAGATAACACTTATGGAGTGGCAGACCAAATTGACCAATTCTTAGGACCTCAGTTGTACACTTGGGTCGAGTTAATACCCATCTTGGGCATCCTGTTTTCAGGGGAAGAAAGTATGATTCGTAGGGCTGCTATGGTAGTTTGGGAACGTGAGCACCCTCCCGGTGAAAACATTCCTACCGCGGACCAGAAATTCCCCGCCCGAGACCCCTGGTGGGACAATAACAACGCAGATCACCAGGAAAATATGCAGGACCTAAGGGAGATAATAATAAAAGGAATTCGGGAATCAGTACCCCGAACCCAAAATCTTTCTAAAGCATTTGATATACAACAGGAAAAGGATGACCGGCCTATGAAATTCCTAGACAGACTGAGGGAGCAAATGAGGCAATATGCAGGCCTCAATTGGATGATCCCCTTGGGCAAGGAATGTTGAAACTCCAATTTGTCACTAAAAGTTGGCCAGACATTTCAAGAGTTACAAAAGATAGACAATTGGGAAGACCCTCCCCTAAGTGAGCTTCTCAGGGAAGCTCAGAAAGTATACATGAAAAGGGACGAAGAAAAACAGAAACAAAAGGTAAAATGTATGTTTCCACCTTCCAACAGATGGCTCCAAACCCAGGTACTTCTAGACAGTTTTCAGGGAGCCAGAAACTATAAAGGGTCTGAACCCTCTTTTAAAGGATCCCAGCTTCCATCTGGAGGACCAGGGTTCTCGTCTACCAGGCTCCCTAAAGAGTATGGGGGAGAAGGGTTAAAGAATCCCAGAACTAAGAGGGAGGAAGGACAAGATAGGTGCTATAGATGTGGAAGAACAGGCCACTTCAAGAGAGGATGTCCTGAACTAAGAAAGGAGAAAGAAGCCCTTCCACTCATGACTTTTGAGGAAGAATAGGGGGATCAGGGGCTCTGTCTCTTTTATCTTGAGTCCCACCAGGAGCCCTTGATAAATTTGGAGGTGGGACCTAAACATGAGCTTATCACCTTTTTAGTCAATTCAGGGGCTGCTCACTCCTCTGTTTGTTTCCCCCCGTCTAATGTTGCCACCTCCTCAGAGGAACTTTTAGTCTCCAGGATAAAAGGGGAAGGAGAGGGGAGAACAGCCGCATAAGCAGCTGGCAGAGGCAGGAAAGACCAGCAGAGAGGAAAGAGAGCGAGAGAGAGGAAAAAGAGAGAAAAAGGCAGAGAGAGAGGAAGAGACAGAGACATAAAGAGGGAGTCAGAGAGAGAGGAAGAGACAAAGAGGGAGTCAGAGAGAGAGAAAGAGACAGATAGAGAAAGAGATAGAAGTAGTAAAGAGAAAACAATGTACGCTATTCCTTTAAAAGCCAGGGTAAATTCAAAACCTATAATTCATAATCGAATGTCTTCCCCGTGACACTATAACACTCCAATACCACTTTGTTGTCAGTGTTAACAAGGGCATAGCCTGAAAGCACTGAGGCTACTGATGACCCGTAGCCTTTCTATCAAAAATCCTTAAGCCAGTAACCCGCGGATGGCCCAAATGCATTCAATCTATAGCGGCAACTGCTTTGCTAGCAGATGAAAGTAGAAAAATAACTTTTAGAGGAAACCTTACTGTAAGCACACCTCACCAGTTCAGAAGTATCCTAAGTCAAAAAAAAAAAAAAGCAAAAAGGTAGCTTACTAACTCAAAAATCTTAAAGTATGGGGCTATTCCATTAGAAAAAGACGATTTAACATTAACCACTGATAATTCCCTTAGCGGGTTTCCTAACAGGGGATCTAAATCTTAATTACCATACAAAGGTCCAACCAGACCTAGGAGGAACTCCCTTCAGGACAGGGGGATAGATGGTTCCTTCCTAGTGACTGAGGGAAAAAGACATAATGGATATTCAGTAATTAATAGGGAAACTCTTGTAAAAGCAGAGTTAGGAAAATTGCCTAATAATTGGTCTGCTCAAATGTGAGAGCTGTTTGCACTCAGCCAAGCCTTAAGGTACTTATAGAACCAGGAAGGAAACATCTATACCAATTCTAAGTTAATTTGGACTAAACAAGGTCTTATTAATAGCAAAGGATAATTGAAATCCCAAACTTACAAGGTTTTCAAAAAAGTAAAGTTTGCTAAAAGTTAACAGTGTAACATGTATTATCCTGACTTCTAATCTTGTGGCGTTAGGCAGTCTAGTCCACAGACATGAAGGAAGTTCACTTTGGAAAAGAATGGTTATCATCTTTGGAAAAAAAAAAGGGGGGGAGTGGAGAATTTACGTAAAAAGAATGCTATATGGTAAATTATTGTGCGAAAATAAATTAACTGGTTGTTTAAAGAAAGGGATGTTTGCAACAAGACAAAGTTGAGGCATATCGAAGAATTGTCTGTGGAAGTCGTGAAAAAAAATGCATGTTATAAAAGGGGATTTATGCAAGAAATGTTGTATAATTTAAATGTATTTAGGTATCCTGAATGTAAAACTATTGAAGAAACAGTTTATGTGCAAGGTATATAAGGAAAGTAAAATATACTTTTGGTAAAAGGATTATAAGGAGGAATAAGAACGTGGATTTTTACCTACATTTAAAGGTTAAAAAATTGTTTTGAGGGTTTTAAGCAAGTTTAAAACGTTAATCGTAAAGGAAATTCTGTGTGCAAACGTATTGGCTAAAGTTATAAGGGTATCATCCAGTTTTTCTGTGAATTGGACATTAAAAGCACAGCGGGTTTTTCTTAAAGCACTAACCTGCTCTTTAACAAAAATTATAAAAGGTTAAAAAGAGTCTATAAAAATCTTACCTTATGGTCAGAAGTTAAAATTAGATAAATATGTCTACAAGGTTTTATTAAAATTGAGTTTAACATTAATAAACACTAATATAAAGGTGAAATTTAGTTTATCTGGTATAAAAATCATACAGGAAGCATTGTAAAATATCAAATGGTGTTTGGCTTTCTTTGGTCTAAAAACTAATAAAAATAGGTGATAAAGGAAATTTCTCAGTAAAAAGTCACCAGGAACTACAAAGTCCACTGCTGATGTCCCCACATTTAAAACAAAAGATTGATTTCTTAGAAATTATATACTTGGTGTATCTTCCACTTTCCTTTTCCTCAAAACTAAAAGTCTTTTAGCACAGGTACCACCCCTAGAATTTCTGGTAAACCAGCACCAGCCTGAAGGTCACGTTCTCATCAAAGAGTGGAAAGAAAGAAAACTCAAGACAGCCTAGGAAGGACCCTACCTTGTGCTGCTAACCACCAAGACTGCTGTTCGTACAGCAGAAAAGGGATGGACTCATTACACCTGAGTCAAGAAAGCACCGTCCCCTGCAGAGTCGTGGGCCATGGTCCCAGGGGAAAACCCTACCAAACTAAAGCTAAGAAAAGTTTGACTCTTTCATCTACTCTATTACTCTTTCTTCTTTCCTAGCTCTATTGCTGACCATCTAGTTATTAACATAACCAAGTTAATTTCGCCTCAAACTGTTGCATTTAATGCTGGCCTCGTTATACCCTGTGGGGGCTTGCCAAGTCAAAGACAGCTCTTGACTTCAGAAAAGTACCTCTGTCTGGCCAGGCGCGGTAGCTCACGCCTGTAATCCCAGCACTTTGGGAGGCCAAGGCGGGCAGATCGTGAGGTCAGGAGATTGTAGCCCTCCTGGCTAACACGGTGAAACCCCATCTCTACTAAAAATACCAAAAGAAATTAGGGCATGGTGGTGGGTGCCTGTAGTCCCAGCTACCCGGGAGGCTGAGGCAGGAGAATGGCGTGAACCCGGGAGATGGAGCTTGCAGTGAGCCGAGATCACACCACTGCACTCCAGCCTGGATGACAGAGCGAGACTCTGTCTCAAAAAAAAAAAAAAAAAAAAGAAAAGTACCTCTGTCCCTCCTGACTCTCCTCAGACTGGGCCTTAGTAAATTGGGACCATTTAATCCAGGGAGATTTTGATAAAGACCCCCATGTCAACCAGGAGTCTTGCCCCCCGATATAGAGCTTTTATGCCCTAGTTGGTCCAATGTTCTGTGGACCACTGAAGAGCAAAGATGGACTGCCCCAACCGGTTTTTGTAATTTCCTAAAACCATGCATTCATCTTACTAGAGGATCATAGAAGTTAAAGAATTAAAATAAACTTTGGCAATTAAGACAGGATACCAACATGCAAATGCCTGGTTGGAATGGATCAAATATTCTGTCCACACGTTAAACAAAAGCAATTGTTATGCTTGTGCACACAGCAGGCCAGAGGCCCAGATTGTCCCCTTTCCACTAAGGTGGTCTTCCAGTCGACCAGGCGTGGGCTGCATGGTAGCTGTTTTCCAGGATTCTACAGCCTGGAGTAGTAAGTCGTGCCAAGCTCTCTCTCTGCTATATCCCGAAGTCCAGCACCCTGCCGGTCAGCCCCTGAGGGCCATCCAGCTTCTGTCTCCCAACCCTGAGTTCACTTCATGTCTCTCATGACAGGGAGGAAACTTAGCATTCCTTGGAGACCTGAAGGGATGCAGTGAACTTAAGAATTTTCAAGAGCTTATCAATCGGTCACCTCTTGTTCATCCCGAGTGGATGTGTGGTGGTATGAGCGGATGTATGGCGGTATTGTGGTGGACCTTTACTGGACACTCTGCCAAATAACTGGAGTGGCACTTGCACTTTAGTCCAATTGGCTATCCCTTTCACCCTGGCATTTCATCAACCAGAGGAAGGAAAAATAAGACATGGTAAAGCGAGAGCAGCCCCTAATGGATCTTTCGACTCTCAGGTCTATTTAGATGCAGCTGGAGTCCACAGGGAACACCAGATCAATTTAAAACCTGAAGTCAAATAGCTGCAGGATTTGAGTCAATATTTTGGTAGGTGACAATTAATAAAAGTGTAGATTGGATAAATTACATCTACTACAACCAACAGCGATTTATTAATTACACTAGAGATGCTGTTAAAGGAATAGCTGAACAATTAGGGGCTACTAGCAGATGGCTTAGGAAAATAGGATAGCAGACATGATATTAGCAGAAAGAGGAGGAGTTTGCATCACGATTAAAACTCAATGTTGAACCTTCATCCCAAACAACACCACCCCTAATGGGAGTATAACAAAGGCGTTGCAAGGTCTGACTGCTCCGTCCAATGAGTTAGCCGGCAACTCAGGAGTAAATGACCCCTTTACAGGATGGCTAGAAAAGTGGTTCGGTAAATTCTTACTTCCCTCACAGCCGTAATGGGTGTACTTATTCTTGTCAGGTGCTGTGTCATACCATGCATCCATAGGCTGATACAGAGGCTCATAAAAATGGTACTTACTGAAACCTCCCTTAACTATCCTCCACCTTATCCAGAGAAGCTGCTGATTTTGGAAAATCAAGCAAAACAACTAAGCCAAGACATGTTAAAACAAGTTTGAAAAGAAAGCTGTAAGGAAATACCAGGGGAGGGGTTGTTAGACATGAGTTCTAAATTTCTTTTCAAAGACTCAATATGTCAGTATGTTAAATCCTTTACCTTCTACTTTTAAACTTAACTTCCTCATAAAGCAACCTTTTTCAATTACCTGCTCCACTGTGACTCATTTCAATCACCTGCTCCACCCTGACTCATTCTGATTACCTGCTCTGTCATAACCATTTTTCCTGCCAAACCATTTACCCCATCACGCTCTTTAAATTAGCCAATCGGAATTAGTTTAGCCTGTGCAGTCTAACCCTAGCCAATAGGGGAACGACACAGCAGCAGGGGCCAAGTAAGTCAGGGATAAGAACCCCTTCCCTCCCTTGTTCAAGTGTGTGCTCACCATTGCTCCATCTTTAAGGGTGCACCCTTCTATAGAAGTACCTTGCCTTGCTGAGAATTAAAAAGAAAATTTTATACTCGAGTGCTATTTCTTTTGTGGCACCGAAACTTTATAACAATCATGATGGCCAGACTGGTCTCAATCTCCTGACCTCAGGTGATCCGCCCACCTTGGCCTCCCAAAGTGCTGGGATTACAGGCTTGAGCCACCACACCTGGGCTGTCTTTTCTAAATTGAATATATTTCTGTAACCATTCTATCTTTTTAAAGTTATAGTAAATGAATTGTATTATTTTTAATATTTCAAGACAACATGATACAATCATTTCAACTCACCTTTAGTTTCAAAATCTTTAAAATGAAGGTTTTCATACAATTTTGGAGCTAGAGAATATGTTATGTACTGTAACACTTTCATTTTCAGACCAAGACTTTGAGGTCCAGAGAAGTTAAATTATTTGTCCAAAATTAAATAGCTCATTAGTTACAACGTCAGAACAAGAAGCCTGGTTCCTGCCTTCCTGTCCAGTGCTCTTTCTATAGCAGGACTGCATCTCCATTTAAAGTGTCATTTATATTTGAATACCATGAGTATAAGTCATCATTTTCACATCGTGTGTATTTTTCCCCTTCAGTATTCATAATTAGAACACCCACAAAAGAGAAATCTTCCAATAAAATTGGATGTCCCTACAGGTCCCCAGAGTTGTTATTGACAGAGTGAACAGTGAAAGTCCCTGGGCTTTATGTTCTGCTCTGCTGCTGATTTGGTGTATAACTTTGAGATTATTTCCCCCTTGGGCTTTCCTAATGTGTTGGATTCCAGTTATAGACAGAATATCTGAAAGCCCTCATCTAAGTCAGTCTATTGAGAAAAATGTGTATACTAACAGGAAAAATAGAAAATTAAAAAGACAGTTGAAAAACAAGATATACAGCATCATTTAGGAAATTAAATTTGAGGAAGTGCACTTACTTTTAACCCAGGAACTTGATCCTCATGTCTCTCACGGTGGTTAAGGGTATATTTCTAAGCCTCTCCTCTTAAGTGTAATAATCACTTACATAGATTATTGATCTATCTTGGCCAGAAAGCACAGACTCTGAACATCTGACATAAGTGTTATAAAGGACCAATTAACTGACCTAAGTATGAAAATAATCGTTTGTTAATTAAAAAAAAATCAAACAAGGTGACTTCCTGTTAAACTCTTGATTGAACACACATTAGTTTCTCTGGCCATTTTCAAATATAAAAATGACTGTAAATTTCTTTTTAATAAAAGGGACTTAAATACACAAGGAAAGGGGACTGGGAGAGGAGAGGAAATGTATACAAAACTTTGGAAGCTGGAAATCAGAAGGTGCGTGGCCGTATGCTTGACTGACCAGGAGAAGCTGGAACCAGGACATCACTGCTCAGAAAGTCTGTTAGGCAGGGGACAGTGGCTCATGCCTGTTAAATCAAATTTAGCCTAAAGCTGCCTCCTTACATATTTTAAGTTTGGCTTAAAGATTTCTCTGTACATGGTGAACTCTAACAAGTGGAAGTGTGAACAGACCATAGCCTACACTTGTGCCAATCACCAAGTTTTGGCCAATCAAATGTAGCCAGCTGTTTGAACTGTGTTCAAATAATGCTCACAGCTCACTGCAGCAGAGCCATCTTCCCCCACCATTCTGTCTGAAGTTGCTGCCACCACCCCTTGGTTCACTCTGCATCACACCAACATCCGTATCTTCTGTCTCCTCTTACACATGCACAGGTGGTCTTTGTCATTGTCTTCCCTCGTGGGAATATGAGCTCCTTTCAAAGAAGGACTCAGTTGTCTTGTTCAGCACTATGTCCCTGCCTGGTATGCTTTGCTTGCGTGAATGAATTCATGGTGATTATTTAGTTCCTACTAGTTCTTACAAAATGTATTTTCTTCCAAAATGCTGCCATCTTTATTCCCATAACTACCGTCTTGGCACAATCCCTCATCTCTTTACTCTGAGGTAAGCACAGTTGTTTCTCAATTACCCAGAACCCCACATGTTACTTCTAGACGATTCTTCCTAAAGTACCATCTTTGTTGTGAACTCTCCCTAGGATGGTTTTGTCGATGCCTGTCAGTCAAAGACCACCAGGAACACACTGTTAGTTGAAGAAGTTGGGTTTATTATTCATTGCAGTGAGAGAGAACACACGCCATGGGGACTCATGGGTGTCTCAGACAAAGGGCGTGAGAAAGAACCTATTATGTGACTTGGCAGGCGTGGTGGCTCATGCCTATAATCTCAGCATTTTGGGAGGCTAAGGTGGGTGGATCGTCTAAGGTCAGGAGTTCCAGACCAGCCTGGCCAACATGGCGAAACCTCATCTCTACTAAAAATACAAAAAAAAATTAGTTGGGCGTGGTGGTGCATACCTGTAGTCCCAGCTACTCAGGAGACTGAGGCAGGAGAATCGTTTGAACCCGGGAGGCTGAGGTTGCAGTGAGCTGGGATCATGCCACTGCTCTCCAGCCTGGGTGACAGAGTGAGACTCCGTCTCAAAAAAATAATAAAATAAAATAAAAAATAACCTATTATGTGACTTGGCTTTCGTTGAGTGATCTGAGGAAAGGCCCAAGGAAGTGCGGTATGCTCTAGATTGGATGTTGCCAGAAAGCAGGGGTGATTCTATGATTTCATGTCTTAATAAATCTTTGTTGTTGTTGTGGTTGTTGTTGTTTTGAGATGGAGTCTTGCTCTGTCACCAGGCTGGAATGCAGTGGTGTGATCTCGGCTCACTGCAACCTCTGACTCCCAGGTTCAAGCAATTCTCCTGCCTCAGCCTCCCGAGTAGCTGGGACTACAGGCACATGCCACCACGCCCTTCTAATATTTGTATTTTTAGTTGAGATGGGGTTTCACTATGTTGGCCAGGATGGTCTTGATCTCTTGACCTCATGATCTGCCCGCCTCGGCCTCCCAAAGGGCTGGGATTACAAGCATGGGCCACTGCACCTGGCCAATACATCTTAACTATAGGGAGAGGAGTTTAGAACTAGGATAAAGTTATAATTGGTAAAGAAGCAACAGCCACTCATTGGGGTGGGAAAGGGGGTGTTTGGTATTTTGTGATTGGGAGAGTGACCTTGTTTTGCCTGTGCTTAGATCAAATTAGGAAGTGGCCTTGCTTTTTCTCATTTTATCATGATCTCTTAATGGCTTTGTCTGAGATTGGGATTCTGTGAGATTGTTTATACCTATCTAATAGGAGATTAATATGCCTAGTTGGGAGAGTCAGACTTGCTTCTGAATGTCAGGGGCTGCCTTTTTTTTTTTCTTTTTTTATTCCTTTTATTTCCCTTTTGGCCAACGGCAGACAAAGTCAGACCACAGGACATTAATGATTATATCCAGATTTTCATCATTGCCAAGATATTGTTGATTAAGATCAGAAGATTGCTTGTTGAATGTAGCCTCTGATTGATCTAGGGTTAATCTTTCCTTTACCTTCTGTTGTAGGATGAGTGGCTGCACCTCTGATGAGACAATGGCTGCACAGAAGCATTTAAGACTCTGCACAGGATCCATCAGCCAACTGCACCACAGGCCATTATCAGAAGCAAAATGACAATTAGTTTTTACATTATGGTTTGAGGCCAAGGGCCTAGATTATGAAACCCAGGCAATGAAACCATGTCCCATAATCCATCTGAGAGAGCCAGATGGCTTTTTCTTTTAGCTTAGTCATTTACTGTTCTATTTACCCAGAAGTATTTATATAGGTGCAGCTGAAGTGTTTGCTGTGGCACAAACTCCTGCTTGGCTGGCTAAGAGAAAATCAAGGGCTGTACAATTGTTCATGACAACTCTAGCTAATGAGCTTAGATTAGTTCGTTTGGCTCCAAGAGCAGGAGTAGTGTTGTTTACAACTCCTGCTAAAGTCAGGGACAAATTTCAAATTTCAAGCCACTTTTTTTTTTTTTTTTTTTTTTTTTTTTTAGAGACAGGGTCTCCCTGTTGTCTAGGCTGGAGTACAGTGGCGTGATCATGGCCCATGGTAACCTCAAACTCCTAGGTTCTCTCTCTTCCTCCCACCTCAGCCTCCTGAGTAGCTGGGAGTATAAGTGTTTGCCACTACACCCGGCTAATTTTAATTCTTTTTTTTGGTAGAGATAGGATCTCACTTTTTTTTTTTTTTTTTCTGAGACAAAGTCTGGCTCTCTTGCCCAGGCTGGAGTGCGGTGGCATGATTTCGGCTCACTGCAACCTCCGCCTCCTGAGTTCAAGCAATTCTCGTGCCTCAGCCTCTTGAGTAGCTGGGATTACAGGCATGCACAACCACACCTGACTAATTTTTGTATTTTTTAGTAGAGATGGAGTTTCAGCAAGTTGTCCAGGCTGGTCTTGAACTCCTGACCTCAGGTGATCTGCCTGCCTCAGCCTCCCAAAGTGCTGGGATTACAAGCATGAGCTACTGCGCCCGACCAGGATCTCACTATGTTGTTCAGGCTGGTCTTGAAGTCCTCGGCTCAAGCGATCCTCCTACCTCAGCCTCCCAAAGTGCTGGGATTACAGGCGTGAGGCACCATACCCAGCCTCAAACCACTTTTCTAATTGTATTATTCCTATTATAGGAATCACAGCTTGCAGAGTATACATGAAGAGGAAATGAGGTATTGCTCCTGAAAGTTCCCTCAAATAATTTGTGTTTGCTTCATTTTGAAGGCTTCTGGATATCCTTCACAAGGATATAGGATCCAATAGAAGGATGATAGTTTTAAATATTTGGAAATCTCTGACAATTGCTCTGAATACACAGATCAGTGATCGTGAGGTAGGGAGGTATACACCTGATGTCCATTTAAGGAGTAGTATCCTTAGTGCAACATAGACTGAATTCCCTCGAGATTAACAAATCCCTTGAGTGGAATTAAACAGTTCCTGCAAGGCAGGCTGAAGTATCTCTGAAGAGAACAAACTGTCATGATCAGGATAGCCCAACATTAGCGTTTATTACCTATTGACTAGACTTTGCTGATACGATTGTGATGATCTCAGTAGAAACATTTCATTGATATAAAGTTAAGATTAATTTTTTGCAAGATTAGAGGTTGGGATTAATGACTTGAGGAAAACTCCAGCACCAGAAGGGTTCTGTAAAAGGGAATTTTCATTCTAAAGTATTTAAAGGAACAGCTGTTATATTTTTGTCCACAGGGTCAGTTAGGGGATTACAGATTCAGCAATCCATTGGCTTCAGAGCCACAGCTGTGATCTGGGAAAAACATATGAGAGTTTTGCTTTTTATTAAGGAATACAAAAAGATCACAACGGTCAGAAATATCAGGATGGGTCAGGCGCAGTGGCTCAGGCCTGTAATCCCAGCACTTTGGGAGGCCGAGGTGGGCAGATCAAAAGCTCAGGAGTTCGAGACCAGCCTGGCCAACATAGTGAAACCCCGACTCTACTAATAATACAAAAATTAGCTGGGCGTGGTGGCGCGTGAAAAAAAAATATTAGGATGAAAATAAGAGGCATTATATTAGTGTTCTAGAAGGTGTTGAAGTGGTACATTAGACAACATTGTATTGTTAAGGGAAATCAGAAAATTGATGACGAATCTGAAAATGTATCTTGTTCCTTCATCTTCAGGAGAAGCTGTCCATTTTGGAGCTTCATTATTTGTTCCATAATCTGGGGTCAGTGCTGTCCATTTCTGAAGTTGACAACTTCTAGAGAATTCCTAAGAATCTTCAGTTTAAGGCTTCAGATGAAATGGATGTTTAGTAGTCAGGAGGAAGAGATGTGTGTTTTTTTTTTTGAGACGGAGCCTCGCTCTGTTGCCCAGGCTGGAGTACAGTGGCTCAATCTCAGCTCACTGCAACCTCCGCCTCCTGAGCTCAAGCAATTCTCCTGCCTCAGCCTCCCTAGTAGCTGGGACTACAGGCACGTGCCGCTGCACCTGGCTAATTTTTGTATTTTTAGCAGAGACGGGGTTTCACAGTGTTAGCCAGGATAGTCTGGATCTCCTGCCCTTGTGATCTGCCTGCCTCGGCCTCCCAAAGCGCTGGGATTACAGGTGTGAGCCACTGCACCTGGCCAAGATGTGAATCTTTTGAACTGGGAAATGTGAATCAGAGGAACATTACTTTGGCCTTTTACTGCTATGTTATTTGTTAATAGTACCTGGTAAGGTCCTTTCATTGTGATTCAAGGGCAGTCTTTCTCTAGGGTCTTTTCCAGGAAGACTAAACCTCCATGTTGCAGATTATATAGAGGTTGTTCAGAGGGTGGTTTGGAAATGCACCTTTTGCTTGTTGATGAAGTAATTAATCATATCTGCCTGTAGAAAGATAATGTGTTGGCTTCCTAGGACTACCAAAACAGAGTTCCACAAACTGGATGGCTTAAAACAACAGAATACAGTTCTGGAGGCCGGAAGCCTGAAATCAGTGTATTGAAGAGCCACTCTCCCTCTGAAGGCTCTAGGGAAGAATCCTTCCTCTCCATAACTTTTGGTGATTGTTGGCCACACTTGGGTTTCCTTGGCTTGTAGAACCATCACTCCAATCTCTGCCTCCATCACCACATGGCCTTCTTTCTGCGTGTGTCTCTGTATCCAAATTTCTCTCTCTCTCTCTTTTTTTTTTTGAGACAGAGTCTTGCTCTGTCACCCAGGCTGGAGTGCAGTGGTGCGATCTTGGCTCACTGCAACCTCTGCCTCTCTGGTTCAAGCGAATCTCGCGCCTCAGCCTCCCTAGTAGCTGGGATTACGGTCACACATCACCATGCCCGGCTAATTTTTTGTATTTTTAGTGGAGACGGGGTTTTGCCATGTTGCCTGGGCTGGTCTCCAACTCTTGAGCTCAGGCAATCTGCCCGCCTCAGCCTCCCAAAGTGCTAGGATTACAGGCATGAGCCACCGCGCCCAGCCCAAATTTCTCTCTTCTTAAAAAGATGTATGTTGGCTGGGCTCATGCCTGTAATCCCATCACTTTGGGAGGCCAAGGTTGGCAGATAGCTTGAGCCCAAGAGTTTGAGACCAGCCTGGGCAACATGGCAAAGCCTTGTCTCTACCAAAAAGTACGAAAATTAGCTGGGCGTGTCAGTGTGCACCTGTAGTCCCAGCTACTTCGGAGGCTGAGGCAGGAGGGTTGCTTGAGCCCAGGAGGCCGAGGCTGCAGTGAGTTGAGATCACACCACCGCACTCCAGCCTGGGCAACAGAGTAAGACCCTATCTCAAAAAAAAAAAAAAAAAAAAAAAAAAAAAAGCACGAGGACACCTTGTAATTGGATTAGGGCCTACTGTGATCCATTGTAACTTAATCTTGATTGCATCTACCAAGATCCTATTTCCAAATAAGGTCATATTCACAGGTATCAGGGGTTAGGACTCGAGCATAAATTTTAGGGGAGACAATTAAGGTAGAATATAAGATTGGGGGTGAAATTCCCAAATACATGGGGCAATCTGTTATTAATTCATAAAGAGATAATCTGTGGGTTTTCAGAGGGGGTTCATTTTATAGACATTAAATCTAATGGTCATACTTCAGGCTATGGGAATTAAGAGTTCCTGAGTGCTTTGCTAATTTTATTTTAGAATTCCATTAGTTCTATTTTTTCCCTGAGTATTATGGATAATGCATTTTTGAGTAAAAGACAAAACTTTACAGAGTATTAGTAGTACTAATAAAAAGAATAGTACTAATAAAAAGAGAGATAAGTGGGAATTTCCCAAGTGGGAAAAACAAAAGCAAGATTTTTTTTTTTTTCTTAGAGGCGTAGCTCTCTGGCAAGGAGAAGATTCAACCAGCTCTGAGAATAAATAGACAATAACCAGAACATATTCATAACCCAGTGCAGGAGGCATTTATATAAAGTCCATCTGGAGTGTTCAAAGGGCCCTTGAGGTTTGGTTTCTGTCCATGTCTGATCTTTACAGTTTTGCCAGGATTGTGTCACTGGAAGGTAGGAGATGTTTTGGAAACATCCTCAGCACTAACTCTAAATTTAGCCCGCTTATGTTAGTCTAATATTGTTGCCAATTTATTTCTGCTATTACTTGTAATATCATGAAGCATCTTTACTAAATTCCATTTTTCATTTTTTGGCACTACTGGCAGATCATTCTGCAAATGCCAAATATTATCTATATGCAATGAGCATCCTAATTTTTTCCATTTGCTTTTTTCCAAACCAGGAGCTTGTCTCTGACAGTCAATAATAGCCTTTTTGAATTCTCCAAGGCCTCTCTTTTCTGTGTTATTACAGGAACAATTATGTTTGGCTAATGTTGCCTTTTTTGGCATAGTGGTCAGCTAAAGCACTACCATGAGATTTGGGATCCTTGCATTCTATAAGCAGGGAAGTAACTATAATAAAAGTGGAAGGTCATAAATTTAGGGCTCAGCCCTAAGTTTCTATTTTTAAAAAGAAACCGTCCACAAATAAAATTACATCAGATGGCCGGGTGCGGTGGCTCACGCCTGTAATCCCAGCACTTTGGGAGGCCGAGGCAGGCGGATCACCTGAGGTCAGGAGTTCAAGACCAGCCTGGCCAACATGGCAAAACCCCGTCTCTACTATAGATAAAAAAATTAGCCAGGCATGGTGGCAGGTGCCTGTAATCCTAGCTACTGAGGAGGCTGAGGCAGGAAGAATTGCTTGAACCTGGGAGGTGGAGGTTGCAGTGAGCCGAGACCATGCCACTTCACTCCAGCCTGGGTGACAGAGTGAGACTCCATCTCAAAAAAAAAAAAAAAAAAATTATGTCAGGGATATCTGGGGAATTGGTAACAAACCTGTATAAGATTCAGGTAAATCTGTAAGACGGACTTAATTGTGAAGTTCTCCTTCAGGTAAAGGAAGGGGAGTGGCTAGGTTTAGAGTGTTGCAGTGATAGTGATGTTTGAAGGTGAAAGCATAGCGTTTGATAGGATGTCAGGCAGCTAGCTGAGAAATGCTGACTATTTTCCATTAATAAAGGAGTGTGTACATGAGAAACCATTAAGTTTCATGGAGAAACTAGAACTGAGCCACCTGAGGCTTCCATAAATATGCTGGTGCTGCTATAGTTCTTAGACAAGGTGACTACATCTTAGCTACTGGATCTAATGGGAAGACTGAAAAAAGGGCCTCTGATGGTTGTCAGGTAATTGGGTTAGTATTCCTAGTGTTTAGACTTTTAATAACAAAATAGGAAAAGGGTTTATGATAAAAAGGTGACCCCAGGTTTGGGGACTGTTGCAGAGACTTTTTTAGGTTTCGGAAGTCTTATTATATGAATCTTCCTAGAGTAAGAGGTTCAGGATCTAAGGACTTAATTCACGGAAAGGGGTAGCAATGGCAGAAGAGGTTGGCACCCATCACCCATAATATATAGTCACCCTAGGAACCCTCAAAGTTGCTTTGTAATAGTTCGTTTGGGAAAACTGAATAATTTGTAATTTTTATGCTGCGAGAGATTTGCCTTCTTTTGATGGTGTGTGCCCTAAATAATGAACATTTTGTTGTTGCTATTGTTGTTGTAGCAGAATTTTAATTTCTCTTTGAAGGCTTTATGTCTCTTCTGAATGAAGGTCTTTAATAAATACACCAAATCAGTCTTAAAGTTTTGCTCATTTTTTGAACATAGTAAAAGATCATCTACGTATTATATCTACATATTATATTAGAATAGACTCACAAGGAAATCTCAAATCCTTGCAGTCCCAATTAAGAACCTGAGAGAAATAAGAAAGGATCTTCAGTAAATCCCTGAGGCAAAACAGTCCAGGTACAGTATATTGTTGATTTTCCCATGAGAAGGGAAATAAATATTGACTGCCTAGATCTAATGGGATGCTAAAAAACATAAGCCCATCACAGTGAAGTGAGTGGCTTCGGGTAGTATTGAAGACAAAATAGAATTTGAATTAAGGACCACTGGGAAAAGAGGAATCACGATCTTATTTATGGACCTCTGGTCTTGCATAAATCAATATCTATGCCTGTGAGGTCTTTTACAGAGCAACACTGGAGTACTACAAGGGCTGGTGCAAGGAATAATGAATGAGTCCCTGTTTATAAAATCTTCCATCATGGGCCTTGATGCTTTCTTAGCTTCGGGCTTTAAAGGGTATTGAGCAAGAACAGGTAAAGGTTTAGAAAAGTCGGTTTCTGCTTTGATGGGCTTGGTCCCCAGAATGCTTCCCTTATCAGAACTCTTGTCCCAGAGAGAATCAAGTACCTTACGTAATTCCTCATATAGACATTGGGTTAAACGTACAAGGACAAACAAAGTGCCATATAAATTGCATTATTAAATGATTATGCCTGGGAGAGTTTTTAGGTGCTTTTAGAAATAGGCCATCTGAGGAACATTTGAGTTGACAGTTCCATTCACACAAAAGATTCCTCCTGGCCGGGCATGGTGGTTCACGCCTGTAATCCCAGCACTTTGGGAGGCCGAGGCAGGTGGATCATGAGGTCAGGAGATCTAGACCATCCTGGCTAACAGGATGAAACCCCGTCTCTACTAAAAATACAAAAAAATTAGCCGGGTGTGGTGGCAGATGCCAGTAGTCCCAGCTACTCAGGAGGCTGAGGCAGGAGAATGGCGTGAACCCGGGAGGCGGAGCTTGCAGTGAGCTTAGATTGCACCACTGCACTCCAGCCTAGGTGACAGAGCGAGACTCCGTCTCAAAAAAAAAAAAAAAGCATCCCTCCCAATGCAATATACTTGTGTGGTGTCACAGAGACGAAATACATGCTGACTAGTGAAGAGGCCAAGAATTACAGTTACAGGTTGCGTAATGGGAAGTGTTTGAGTGCTGTTTTGAAATTCCAGAATAGTTTAGTGACTTTAAGGAAGATGAGTAGGAATCATGGTAGAATTTATAGTAGACAGAGTAGCACCTGTACCTATCAGAAAGATTTGCTTTCTCCCTCTATTATTAAAGATAATCCTCCTTAATGATTTGAAGGAGAAATTGGGCACTATAATATTGCCCAGAGTCCCTTCATTATTCCTATTTAGAATAACAGGGAAGGAGCATTACTTCTGTTTCATTTTAGTTAAGATGGGTTACTTTTCCTAGTGCTCTCCCCTTTGTTAAGTGCAGTTGGCCCTCTGTATCTGTGGATGACACATCCATGGATGTAACCAACCTCAGATAAAAAAATTTGGAAAAAAATGAAAAACAATAATACAAAAATAAAAATACAAATTTAAAGAACAATGCAGTATAACAACATTGTATTAGGTATTATAAGCAATCTGGACATGATTTAAAGTATAGGGGAGAATTTGTATAGGTTATATGCAAGTAGTACACCATTTTATTTTAGAGACTTGAGCATCTGTGGATTTTGGTGTCTGCAGCAGGTCCTGGAACCAGTCCCCTTCGGATATCAAGGGAGGATTGTACAAGTAAGTGTTTTTGTCAAAGGGAAGGTTTTTACTGTCTCTTGAGGTAGAGGAGGATAGAAATAATTGCTTTAATTGTTACATGATGTGCTTTGTTTCTGTGTTTGTTTTCCTTCTGGGTATCTGAAGCATCTTCAAAATGTTCCACTAAATGTTGAAGTTCAGGCAATATGGTAATTTGTAAGCCATGTTTTTTGAGTTTACGTTCCATATCTGTCCAACAGAAAAGGTGGGAAGGGCACTAGAAATGCCAACATCAGGTGTTAACCTAGAACACTATCTAAATGTGCTCGTTAGTCTGTCACCAAAGTCCCTTTGGTGTCTCTTTTGCTATTTGCAAGATTGAATCAAGGTCCAGTTTACTTTCTTTATTATTTTTATTTTTAAAATTAAAACAAAATTATTGTAGTAATAGTGTTACCATTTTATTTTAGCAGGAAGGTCTTGTGTTATAATTCCAAGAGGTTGTCACCCATTTGCTGTATTTTAAGTACTCCCAATTGAGCAAAATGCATTTGATTTTTAAAAATTAAATTTTATGCATGAATTCACATGCAATTCTGAGAAATAATACAGATAAATTTCATGTATTCTTTACTCTGTTTCCTCCAATGGCAACATCTTGCAATTATAATACAATTTCACAAGATACTGACATTGATACAATCTACCCATCTTGGTCAGATATCCACAGTTTTACTTGTATGCATTTCTGTGGGTGTGTGTACTTAGTTCTATATGATTTTATAGGTAGGTGTAGGTTTGTGTATTCACCACTACAGTCAAGATATAGAACAGTTCCATTATCACAAGGATCCCCTTTGTTGTTCCTGGATAAACCCATCCACCTCTCTCCCACCCCTTTTCCCCAAACTTCTAACGTCTGGCAGCCAATAATCCATTCTCCATTTCTAAAATTGCATCATTTCAAAAATGCTATATAAATGAAATCCTACCGTGTGTAACCTTTTGAGATTGGCCTTTTTCACTCAGCTTACTTCTCTGGAGATTCATCCAGTTGTAGCATGTATCAAATAGTTTGTTCCTTTTTATTGCTGAGTCGTATTCCACTTCTACCAATTCACCCACTGAAGGACATCTAGGCTGTTTTCAGTTCTTGGCTCTAATGAAGAAAAATTGATATGAGGATACATGTACATGTTTTTGCACAAACATAAGTTTTCATTTATCTTAAATAAATGCCCAAGAATATAACTGCTGGGTCATATGGTTGTTGCATGTTTAGTTTTATAAGAAACTGCCAGTTTTCCAGAGCTGCCGTACTGTTTAACATTCCCACCAACAATGCATGAGTGATCTAGTTTCTCCACATCCTTGCTCACATTTTTTTTTTTTTTCTTGAGACAGCGTCTCTCTCTGTCTCCCAGGCTGGAGTGCAGTGGCACGATCTCGGCTCACTGCAACCTCCACCTCCTGGGTTCAAACAATTCTCCTGCCTCAGCCTCCAGAGTAGCTGGGACTACAGGCGCACAACACCATGCCCAGCTAATTTTAGTATTTTAGTAGAGACGGGGTTATACCATGTTGGCCAAGCTGGTCTCGAACTCCTGACCTCAGATAATCTGCCCGCCTCGGCCTCCCAAAGTGCTGGATTACAGGTGTGAACCACCAAGGAATCAACTTCTTTCCTGATGAAGCCATTGTTAGTTTTGAGTCTCTGTCACAGCAGCTGAAGCAAGATCCTAGCTAATTTTTGTTTTGAGCCTCCTTCGCCCGTGAGTGACAAAAATTCTGCCTCAGTCAACTTGCTTTCCCTCAGTTTTTTATAAATTTGAGGTTCTTCATGGGACCCGGGCACTTCAGGGTCCTGACAGTGTCCATCTACGCAGGCTGATCCTGCTGTCATCCATGCTGGCTGCCGGTCCACATCCATGTCCTCCCGAGGCCCAGGCACCTCCACACTTTTCCTCTCTGGGTTTGCTGCCTTCGTGGGCTGTGTTAGGGAGGAGGGCATGGCCACTTTCTGCTCTTGGCTCCCACACACGTGTCTAGGGGTTGCACTGTCTGTAGGGCTCTGACCTGGAGCCAGTTCCTGGGCCCTCCCTGGAACCCGTGTAAGTCAACACTCATACCATATCCTCAGCCACACTTCCCTCAGCCAGCCTGGGATCACTCTCTAGCCTCCAGCGAGGCAACCACTCTCCTGAAAGCCTACACTCCTACTCTTGTTAATTTTAGGGCTGTGCCCTAAAATCCTCTCCCCTTCCCTGGGGGTTTTGGCTTTTGGGTTTCCCTCTCTTTTAGCCGGACACATCTTTCTCGTGAGACGATGAGCACAGAATATTGAGAGTGCTTGAATTCTAAGGTGAGGACAGGTGATAAGTTTAAAAATGTGGGAAAACAACTGACAAATACCTCAAAAAGTATTATTCTAGCAGAAGAGGAAATATTTAATTCCTTATTGATTCTGCTGATATTCTGTATACGCTACCTAATTCTTCTCCTCCTTCCCTTCCTTCTTTTCCCCTTCTTCTTTTTTTTTTTTTTTTTTTTGAGAGAGGGTCTCGCTCTTTTGCCCAGGCTGGAGTGCAGTGTCACAATCTTGGCTCACTGCAAGCTCCGCCTCCTGGGTTCACGCCCTTCTCCTGCCTCAGCCTCCCGAGTAGCTGGGATTATAGGCGCCCACCACCATGCCCAGCTAATTTTTATATTTTTAGAAGAGACAGAGTCTTGCCATGTTGGCCAGGCTGGTGTCGAACTCCTGACCTCAGGTGATACGCTCGATTTGGCCTCCCAGAGTGCTGGGATTACAGCCGTGAGCCACTGCACCCGATCCAGAGTGAGTTTTGAAAGCTGATAAGGAATCGGCTGAGGGAAATTGGAGAAAAGTGGTCTAGGGAGTGGGAAGAGGGTACACCAAGGCATGGAGTCACTCAAGTGTGGCTTGTTCAAGAATCCCCAAGTAGGCTCAGCATAATGGGAGCCCTCCATGGCAAGAAGTGAGCAGGTTAAGAGAGGCAAGGGCCAGGTCACTAAGGCTCTTATGTATCAAAGAGTTGGATTTTCTTCTAAAGCAGTGGTTCTCAATGTGGGGTAATTTTGCCCCTCAGGAGACATTTGGCAATGTCTGGAGACAGTTTGCATTGTGACATCGTGGAGACAGGTTGCTGCTGGCATCTAATGGTCAAGAGGTTAAGGTCAGTAAACATCCTCCAACGCACAAGGATATCCCCACTCCCCACCTCACCCCCAGGACTGGCTACGTAATTTGTAAGGTCCAGTGCAAAGTGAAATTATGGGACCCCTTGTTCAAGAAGCAGGAAAAAGGTGCCTTTAAAAGCATTAAAGGCCGGGCATGGTGGCTTACGCCTGTAATCCCAGCACTTTGGGAGGCCGAGGCAGGCGGATCACCTGAGGTCAGGAGTTCGAGACCAGCCTGGCCAACATGGTGAAACCCTGTCTCTACTAAAAATGCAAAAATTAGCCAGGCGTGGTGGCAGGCGCCTGTAATCCCAGCTACTTGGGTGGCTGAGGCAGGAGAATTGCTTGAACCCGGGAGGCAGAGTTTGCAGTGAGGCAAGATGGTACCACTTCACTCCAGCCTGGGTGACAGAGTGAGACTCCATCTCAAAAAAAAAAAAAGTATTAAAATATAAGGCCAACGTAGTGGCTCACATCCATAATCCCAGTGCTTTGGGAGGCAGGAGGATCTCTTGAAGACAGCCTGGGCGACATAGCAAGATCCCGTCTCTACAAAAAATTTAAAAATTAGCCAGCATGGTAATTTTTACATGCCTGTAGTCCCAGCTACTCAGGAAGCTGAGGCAGGGGGATCATTCGGGGCTGCAGTGAGCTATGATCACACCACTGCACTTCAGTCTGAGTAATGGAGCAAGACCCTGTCTCTAAAATTTTTTAAAAAGTATTAAAACCTAAAGTTTTTTTTTCCCCTTTTTTCCATGGTCTCTTTTTATTTGTCATCACGGTGTTTTTTATTTGCTATTTAATGCTATTCTAAATACATAAAAACTTAAAAATTTAAACTATAAGCATGAATTTTACCATTTACCTTTTTATCACTCAATGCCAGTTTTAAATTGCAAACATAAGAATATTTAATCATCCGCAGAATCATCAAAATTAAGCTATTTGTATGTCATAGTTCGTACATGCATAGGTATTTTGTTCTTACCAGAACAGTAGAAATGGTGCACAAAACTCAGCCACCTGTTTTTATTTCACTTCTTCATATTGGCACATTCCACCAATCCTCTCTACCTTCTGCTTAGTAATGAGGGAGGAAAGGCTGAAAGGAAAAGGAACAGAGTTTCCCTTTCCTTCTATGTAGGGTTACCTGATGAAATATAGGATTCCTAGTTTAATTTGGATTTTGGGTAAACAGTAAATAAAAATGTATTATAAATATGTGCCATTATATATTTTGGGACATATTTATACTAAAAAATTATTTGCTGTTTATCTGAGATTCAAATTTAACAGGTATCTTGTATTTTTATTTGCTAAATTAAACCCTTCTTCTGTAACATCATTTTCAGCATAAGTAGTTGGCAAGTTCAGGGAAGTAACATTAGTAAGAAAGAGTATGTTGGAGTTTCTTGGCCATTTGCATTTCTTAGTAGCCATTGCCTGCTTTCTGCATTCAAAGCAGGGTGTGGTCGGAAAGCATCTTGGGGCTATCAGGGACCCTGTGTACTCAACTGCAAACTCAACACACTTATTTTGTACTTGCTCTGATTTTCACAGAACCTCCATGCATCATGGGTCCACCCGAACTCTGTGCGGTGGGGCACTGGGAACATTATATTGCAAATGGGGCAGCAATGGCCATGGCGTGCATACTGCTGTATCTGCTCTGCTCATGGGCACACTGCATCGTCCCATTGGATTTAACTTACAAAACACAAGTTTATTTATTTTTTTTGAGACAGAGTGTTGTTCTGTCGCCAGGCTGGAGTGCAGTGGCATGATCTTGGCTCACTGTAACCTCCATCTCCCGGGTTCAGGTGATTCTCCTGCCTCAGCTTCCCAAGTAGCTGGGACTACAGGTGTGCACCACCACACTCAGCTAATTTTTGTATTTTTAGTAGAGACTGGGTTTTGCCATGTTGGCCAGGCTGGTCTCTAACTCCTGACATCAGGTGATCCTTCCCCATCAGCCTCCCAGAGTGCTGAGATTACAGGTGTGAGTCATTGTGCCTGGCCACAAAACACATGTTTAAAGTTAAGATTATTAGAATGTCAAGATGCTGAAGCAGAGCAGGAAACCAGGAAGAGGGCCCTTCTGAGTACCCGGCCCTGTGGGACTGTGTGAGCTGCATGCCCACGAATCCAGCCCTGTATGTGGCCCAAAATGTCAATACTGCTGAGGTGGAGAAACCCTGTTCTAAAGGAAATAGAGAGCCATTGAAGGATTTTAAACAGTTAGAGAAGACTGAGTTTGGTGACGGGTGGCAACAAAAGATTATGCTTTAGAAGAATCTTTTGGACACACAGTGTAGCATTTGGGTCCAAGTAGGGGAGGAGTGGACTTGCATCTTTCTTGCAGGGGAGAGGATTAATATATTTTATTTTTTAATTTTTAATTTTTTTGAGATAGAGCCTCACTCTGTTGCCCAGGTTGGAGTGCAGTGGAGCGATCTCAGCTTACTGCAACCTCTGCCTCCCAGGTTCAAGTGTTTCTCCTGTCTCAGCCTCCTGAGTAGCTGGGATTACAGGTGCCCACCACTATGCCTGGCTAATTTTTGTATTTTTAGTAGAGACAGGGCTTCACCATGTTGGTCAGGCTGGTCTTGAACTTCTGACCTCAAGTGATCCACCTGCCTTGGCCTCCCAAAGTGCTGGGATTACAGGAGTCAGCCACTGTGCCCAGCCATTAATATATTTTAAAAAGTGTGGATTGAAAAAATTGCATGTAGTCAAATACCCTTAAAATCCCTTAGGAAGGTGCTGGGTGGTGAAAGTCACACCTGCTTGCCATGTGCTACACCCAACCAGGTTTCCTCCAGCTTGGGTGCAGATTGTTCATCCTTCAGTTGGGATGATGTGTGAAGTTGGGAGCTTATGTTTAGCATCTGTGTTGCATGAAAAATGTTTAAACACTGGAATTGCACTCAAGGTAGGGAGACGCTCATGCCACCAGCAGCCCACAGGTACTGAGACTGACTGGGAGGAGAGCAGACACTGGTCTCTGTACCATGCTCACTCTAGAGTGGCCAGTCATTGGCTCACCATACATACTGGTGGGTAGGATTAGCAGTGCCATTTAAATTGCTGCTCCAGCATCCATGATCTCCTTGCCCCATTTTGTAGCAGCCATGTTGTGTGGGGAACTGACCCCAACCCCTGCCCTAGGCATGGGTCCTGACTAGTCTAAGCCAACCAGGTTAGTTCTATCCCCTAGCCACAGTGATTGGCTTGAATAACACAGGCCTAAGTCACCAGACAATGGCGGTCCCATGGCCACAGCAAAGAAGTGGCCAACCAACTTGAAGCCAGGACTTCTGTTCCATGATTTGGACCTGCTTGCTTTCTCCTTCTTGGTGTAAACAAGGAGTACCAGTTGCCACTGGAAGCCATATTGTCATGATGAGGAAAGCCATGTCAGCAAAAAAGCCAACACATGAAGGAAGACAGAGCTGAATGTAAGAATTAAAGAAAGGAGAGAGAAACACGAAGGTGGCTTGACAGTCAACAGGTTTATTTCAGAAAACAAACCTGGGAGGGACTTCTGACCAAGTTGGGTTAGGAGCCACACCCACTTACAGACTAAGAGTTTTTAAGGATTCAGGGTGGGAGAGTTTATTAGAGTCTTGGACTGCTTCTGTGTCTCTTTGTTGTGCTTATCTGGGAGGCAGAATTGCATGTCTGTTCCCATACATCTTTCTGCAGCTGCAGGCATATCCCCCGAGTCGGCTTTTAGCTTCCCTATATCTTAGTGCACCTGATGGGAAAGGAATGTACTTATTAAGGCCCACTAAGTTTTACTGGGGCCCATTGTATGAGGGTGAAGTTTGGCAGTTACCAAGAGACTTTCTTCCCACCTCCCTCTGTGCCCAAGCTGTCTTATCTGTGTTTTACTATCTGCTTTTTCTGGCTGCTTGTAGCTAGAAGAGAAATAATTTCTGGCTGGGCGCGGTGGCTCACCCCTCTAATCCCAGCACTTTGGGAGGCCGAGGCAGGCAGATCATGAGGTCAAGAGATTGAGACCATCCTGGCCAACATGGTGAAACCCTGTCTCTACTAAAAATACAAAAATCAGCTGGGCATGGTGGCATGCACCTGTAGTCCCAACTACTCGGGAGGCTGAGGCAAGAGAATCGCTTGAACTCAGGAGGCAGAGGTTGCAGTGAGCCAAGATCCAGCCACTACTGGACTCCAGCGTGGTGACAGAGAGAGGCTCCGTCAAAAAAAAAAAAAAAAAAAAGGCCAGGTGCGGTGGCTCACACCTGTAATTCCAACACTTTGGGAAGCCGAGACGGGCGGATCACGAGGTCAGGAGATCGAGACCATCCTGGCTAACACGGTGAAACCCCGACTCTACTAAAAATATAAAAAATTAGCTGGGCGTTGTGTCCCAGCTACCTGGGAGGCTGAGGCAGGGGAATGGCGTGAACCCAGGAGGCGGAGCTTGCAGTGAGCTGAGATCACGCCACTGCACTCCAGCCTGGGCGACTGAGCCAGACTCCATCTGCAAAAAAAAAAAAAAAAAAAAAAAAGAAAAGAAAAAAAGAAGTAATTTCCTTGAAATAGATGAGGCTAGAAAGGGAGCTGGAATTTAAAGTGGTGGTGTTTGTCCAAGGTGACGGTGCTCCTGCTCTGTCAGAGAGAATTGCCAATAAATGAAGCCAAATCATTGACTGAATTATACCTTAAGCCTCTTCCCATTAAGCTCTTAACTTTGCATTACAATCCTCTTTATGGCTTACTCCAGTTTGAAGTAAACTGAAGTTGAGTTTTGTGATGTTCTCAAGCACAGGCATCCTGCCTTTCAAGCAGGACCCCACTGCACACACAAGATGAAAGGTGTGCCGTCTTGTTGAGGAAGAGAGAATGAACTCTCAGAGAAGGGGGAAAGGGGTTCTGCTGGGTGTTCTCAGTTGACTCATACCCATAACAGCTCCCTTTGGGGGTGTATTGTCACTATTGTATCCATCTTGTGGGAGGTTTTATGACTTACCCACAGTTACATGCCACAGTGAAGTTGAATAAAGATGACTCTATCACCCTGTGCAGATGACTTCCAGAGGTTTGATGGTCCTTGGGTGCCACAGCGAAGTAATATTGATGAGGCTTAGGATACATGAATGGGAAGGTTGTGCATAATGAGCCAGTGCACACTCAACATCTAGTGTGAACTGGAATAGTCAGAACTCCTCTCTCCTCCCCGGTCAACACTCCTCCCCTCTCCTGGTTTCTGCTTTGCTCTTAGCCAGTTCCCATGTGGTAGGCAGAATTCTTAATTGGCTTCCCAAGATTTTCCACCTTAATCCCTGGGCCTGTGACTTTAATGAGATTATCCGCCCATGATTATGTTGTGTTACTACTGGCAAAAGAGATTTTGAAGATGTAATTAAGGCTAATAATCATTTGGCTTAGAGTTAATCAAAAGGGAGATTATCCAAGTGGGCCTAACTTAATTACATCCTTTTTAAAAGCAGAGTTTTCTTTGGCTGGTGGCAGATGAGGAGGTCAGAGAGATTCAAAGCATGAGAAGGATTTGGCATGTCCTTGCTGGCTTTGAAGATAGAGGGACCACACTCAAGGACCAGAGAGAAGCCACAGTTGCTGACAGTGACCCTTCACCAACAGCCAGCAAGGAAATGGACCTCAGCCCTGTGGCTGCATGAAACTGAATTCTGCCAGCAACCCCCAAAGAACTTGGAAGTGTGTTCTTTCCCACAGCACCCAGATGAGAGCCCAGCCAAGCTGACACCCTGATTTCAGCCCCTGAGTAGAGAATCCAGTAGAGTCTGCCTGAACTTCTGACCCATAGAAATGTGAGATAATAAAAGGGTGTTGTTTTAAACCATTAAATTTCTAGTAATTCATCACAAAGCAATAGAAAACTAATACACTCCATTAAGGTGTCAGCTAGTAATTCCTCAAGTGCTTTTTATTAGGAGCTCTGGAGGTAGACAAACTTAAACATGCAAATGTATGAATCTCTATTTTAAGCACCTGGTTGAAGAGGAAGATATTTTGGGTTAAGAGGTATGTCTGGCATCTTATTTTCATTTATTTATTTATTTAGAGATGGAGTCTCACTCTGTCACCCAGGCTGGGGTGCAGTGGTATGATCTCGGCTCACTGCAACCTCCGCCTCCCATATTCAAGCGATTCTCCTGCCTCAGCTTATTGAATAGCTGGGATTACAGGCATGTGCCACCACACCCAGCTAATTTTTGTATTTTTAGTAGAGATGGGGTTTCACCATGTTGGTCAGGCTGGTCTCGAACCCCTGACCTCATCATCCGCCCACCTCGGCCTCCCAAAGTGCTGGGATTACAGGTGTGGGCCACCGCGCCCGGCCTATTTTCTTTCTTTAAAAGCTGAGACCGATGATGTGGGAGCAATCACACACCTCCTATGCATATATAAAAACCAGTAAGATCCTTAAAAATAGGTTTGGTTTCCAATCATTGTTAAGGTTTTCAGGCTGGGTGCGGTGGCTCACGGCTGTAATCCCAGCACTTTGGGAGGCCGAGGTGGGTGGATTGCGAGGTCAGGAGTTTGAGACCAGCCTGGCTAGCATGGTGAAACCCTGTCTCTACTAAAAATACAAAAATTAGCTGGACATGATGGCGCTCACCTGTTGTCCCAGCTACTCGGGAGTCTGAGGCAGGAGAATCGCTTGAACCCAGGAGGTAGAGGTTGCAGTGAGCCAAGATCGCACCACTGCACTCTGGCCTAGGCAACAAGAGCGAGACTCCATCCCGAAAAAAAAAATGTTAATAAAAGTTATAAATTGGGAAAGGCACAATTATAGCTTTGTGAACAGGCATATGTAACCCTGATAGGCGAAGGGGCTGTCTTAGTCTGTTTTGTGTTGCTATAACAAAATACCACTGACTGGGTAATTTACAAACAGTATAAATTTATTTGGTTCACTGTTCTGGAGGCTGAGAAGTCCAAGATCGAGGGGCCATATCTGGTGACAGCCTTCTTGCTGCCTTATACCATGATGGATAGAAGGAAGGGCAAGGGAGGGCGGGAGAGAAAGCATGAGGGTCAGACTCCCTTTTATAACATCAACTTTTTTTTTTTTTTGGAGACGGAGTCTTGCTCTGTCACCCAGGTTGGAGTGCAGAGGCGCGATCTTGGTTCACTGCAACCTCCGCCACCTGGGTTCAAGCAATTCTCCTGCCTCAGCCTCCCAAGTAGCTGGGATTACAGGCATGTGCCGCCACACCTAGCTAACTTTCTGTATTTTTAGTGGAGACAGGGTTTCACCATGTTGGCCAGGCTGGTCCGGAACTCCTCACCTCAGGTGATCCACCCGCTTCAGCCTCCCAAAGTGTTGGGATTATAGGTGTGAGCCACTGCTCCCAGCCCTCCCTTTTATAACATCTGGCTCCCTCAAGATAACTAACCCACCCCCAAGTTAACGACACTAATCCATTCACCTCTTATTAAGCCTCACCTTCCAACATTGTTGCATATTAAGTTTCCAACACATGAACTCTAGGGGACACATTCAAATCACAGGGGGGTCTGATATAGTAACCTGGGAAAAGATAAAAACAAAAAATATTCCTTGACCTGTCTAATGACCATTTTAGAGGTGAAATGCTGCATTTAGGTACTAAATAATTTAAGTCTAAAATACATATTCAAGTAATGCATTTTAATTTTTTTTTTTTTCTTGAGACAGAGTCTCACTCCGTCACCCAGGCTGGAGTGCAGTGGCTCAATCTCGGCTCACTGCAACCTCTGCCTCCTGGGTTCAAGTGATTCTCATGCCTCAGCCTCCCAAGTAGTTGGAATGACAGGCGTGCGTCACCACACCTGGCTGATTTTTGTGTTTGTAGTAGAGACGGGGTTCTGCCATGTTGGTCAGGCTGGTCTTGAAATCCTGACCTCAAGTGATCTACCCACCTCAGCCTCCCAAAGTGCTGGGATTACAGGCATGAGCCACTGCACCTGGCCAAGTAATCCATTTTAAATTGGTACAAATGAAAGCAAAGAGGCAAATGCATGTATTAGAGTTGCAGGGCCAGATTCTGCCCATGAGGGTTTGTAATTCTCTTTACCTGAGTCTGCAGGTGGAGTGCATGAGTGTTGCCAAGGGAAACATCTAGCCCTTTCCTTGTCAAACATTGCTCTGAAAGCCAATTCATATGTACTCTTAATTGAACACCCAGTAATTTCACAGTATGTGCAAAATATCATTAGGCTGGGGGGTTAGGTGGAAGGATGAACAGGCAGAGCACAGAGGATTTTTAGAGTGGTGAGGAAACTGATACATGTAATGGTAGATACATGTCAGTATACATTTGTCCAAACCCACAGGATGGACAACACCAAGAATGAACCCTGATATCAACTATGGACTCTGGGTAATGATAATGTATCAATGTAGGTTCATCAGTTGTAACAAATGGACCACTCTGGGGAGGGACTTTGATAATGGGGGAGGCTAGTCATGTGTGGGGGCAGAGGATATATGGGATATCTTTGCACTTCCTCTTAATTGTGTTGGGAACCTAAAACTGCTCTGAAAAATTAAGTCTTAAAGATTTGGACAGGAAAAAAAATACATCAGGCCTCAGGAAGCTGAAGAAGATGCCTTTTGACCTAATGTGCTGATCAGGACCCCTTTGCATCATAAATATACCAACTCCCAATTATTGCACCTCTGTCTCATGTAAATTTCCTTCCAATGTTAAGAGGAAATGCAGCCTGTTCAAAAGTTTTCTTTCTTTATGCGTGTCCCATAAATCAACAAACAGGTAAAAAGAAAAACCCACTGTTTTTCTAGACATTAAGAATGCAGAAGGCAGGAAATATCAACAAAGTCTCTTCATTCATTCATTCATTCAACAGAGAGCAGGACTCTGCACAGCACACCACAGGCCGCCTCATTGGTTTTGGAGGTCAAGCTGGCTCATGGGGCTTCCCAAAGTCTAGGACCCTGGATCATCAATCCTAATGTAAAAGCCTGCATCTGTGAGTCCGTACTCCTGTCAATTCCTCTTCCTGTTCAGAGCCTCCCTGCATCTTACTTTCTGTGCACTCCGCAACTACCTCTTCTACTGCCTAATTGTTGACCTCAGATGTAGAATTTTCTTTCTCTTTTTTTTTTTTTTTTTTGAGATGGAGACTCCCTCTGTTGCCTAGGCTGGAGTGCAGTGGCACAGTCTCGGCTCACTGCAACCTCCACCTTCCAGGTTCAAGCGAGTCTTCTGCCTCAGCCTCCCAAGTAGCTGGGACTACAGGCACGTGCCACTATGCCCGGCTGATTTTTGTATTTTCAGTAGAGACGGGGTTTCACCATATTGGCCAGGCTGGTCTTGAACTCCTGACCTTGTGATCCACCTGCCTTGGCCTCCCAAAGTGCTGGGATTACAGGCGTGAGCCACCGTGCCTGGCCAAGATGCAGAATTTTCAAGTCACCAACTGTTTGGAGATTCTCAGGCCAAACCTGTCCATTTTCAGAATGAGTCTTTCATAGAAAGATACGAAGCGGCAATCCAGTGGGAAAGGATTGGTGGGCACAGATTCAGCCTGTGTGCCCTGTTAGAATTTGTCAGACTGTCGTGATCATTCAACCAGATAGAAGGGGCCTCCCTGAAGGTGGGAAATTATTTTCCTGACATCAGACATTCATCTTAGCATGGATGACGGCTCCTTCCTCTCCATCTTAATGAATCCATGTGAATTAAAAGAAATCAGGCAGATCTAAAGACGTCATTCAACTGTGTTTCCCTTCCTTGCTCCCTCCCTGCCTCTTCTCTCTTTCTTCCTTCCCTCCCTCTCTGCCTCCCTCATCTCCTTTCTCCTCCCTCCCTTCTTCTTCCCCTCTAGGGCTCAAGCGTGCACCATGGTCAACAGGTCTCTCCCTTACTACCCTGAGCTGTAGAGAAAGAGGCTGGGACCACAAAGAGGTGGCAGAGGGAAGAGAATCCACAGAAACCTCTAACAGTCCTCATTTTTCCTGGCCAGTCTGAGGTTGGGTTATGTGGCTATAGAGGAGAACAGAATGAGAACCTGTCCCTGCTTTACTCAGTGATTTCTTCATCGTGTTCTGGACCATTTGGAAGCTCCATGAGTGGAGTGAAGGAGAGAGGCTGAGCACCATCCCCGCTGCCCTCAGCTGTGTGACCATGAAGAAGTTGCATGTTTCCAGTTTCACCATGTGTAAGCCAACCTTACACCAGATAGGGAGCCCTAGCTTCCTGCCCCACTTGTTGCAAGGGCTCAGTCAATGGCAGGCCTGTGTGCAATGGGTTATTACATGAAATGCCAGTGCGGAAGGGATTGTAGGGGTCATTGAGCCCAACTGCTTGACCTTCCTGATGTGGAGACCACAGCCCAGAGAAGTTAATGCACTTTTCAAGGTCACAGGTGTTATTTAGTGGCACCATCCCCTGGGCCTCAGAGTCCTCGGCTGGAATTGTCAGCGCTTCCTAAACCCTTCTTGGAGTGAATACTCCAGAACCATTGAAATATGCATTTGCGTCTTCCATATTTTCTTTGATATGTGTACTGGCCATTGCTGAATACAGGGTTTGAAGCTATCTTTTTTACACCGAAACAAAACAGAATAAAACAAAACAACCCATTCAAGATGATTTACAAATTGAAGGCACCTAATAATAATACCTCGCATTTTTGGAGAGCTTTTTATTTGCAGAACACTTCCCAGACAGTAACTAATGAATTCTCCAACTCCCCTTAGGAATAGTGACATATGCATTCCCACGCACACTAGGAACTTAATTTACATGAAACGAAGAAAAAGTCATTATAAAGTGGCATTCCCCTAAATCATAATTACAACCTTCAGCCCAAGATAAACATGCTGAACCCTCCCAGGGATGCTGCGATGTTCACCCACTGCGGGGGTCTCCACTTCGATCCCAGCGCTGCCTGCATAAGGAGGACAGACCAGGAGTATTCACACAAAGTCAGTTCTCTCTGGGATCAAGGTCCCATTTTCCAGCCAAACAACTGGAGGTTAATGGCTTGTTAGGGGGCAAGTGCTGGGGCAGTGGTCTCCTTCTGTCAATTAAAAAGAAGACAGAGTGATGGGATGTCATGGAGGTGCCAGGGACTCGTGTGTGAACCGGGAATGTGGGTTTTTACAAAGAGGAGTCTGGAGGTGGACCTCCAGGAGTTTTTGGTCCCTGAGGGAGGGGCAGCAGTCTTCCCGGCACTTCATGAACCACATACTGGCTGTTGCTGCCTTCGCCTCCCCAGGGGGCTGGTCCCATGCTCTGGCGGCCAGGCTCAGGCATCCACCTGTCCACTCAGTGCCCTGGCCCCCTGCCGTGGGTCTTGCCTTATTTAGCACAAATAACCCTCAGTGCATTGTGATGACATCAGCCACCAATGTCGATGTCTCCATGTACCACATTTGACATGTCCCAGGCTAAATAGCTGCTTTTTTTTTTTTTTTTTGAGATGGAGTTTCACTCTGTTGCCCAAGCTGGAGTGCTGTGGTGTGATCTCGGCTCACGGCAAGCTATGCCTCCTGGGTTGAAGCGATTCTCCTGCCTCAGCCTCCCGAGTAGCTGGGATTACAGGCACCCGCCACCATGCCTGGCTAATTTTTGTATTTTTAGTAGAGACGGGGGTTTCACCATGTTGGCCAGGCTGGTCTGGAACTCCTGGCCTCAGGTGATCCGCCCACCTCAGCCTCGCAAACTGCTGGGCTTCCAGGCGTGAGCCACCGCGCCCGGCCAATGGCTGCTTTCTTAACGGCACAATGACTAAATGTGGAACTGCTCCTCTCTGGTCAGCAGGCACATTGAGAATGGGTCCCAGGGGGAGGACTGCACCCTTTTACCTGCTCCTCATCCCTCAGCCTTTTCCTGCCCATGGCTGATGCCAAGCGCCCCAGGCTCTGGACTCTGGGCTGTCCTGAGTCAGAAGCCACATCTCAGCCCAGGTGGCTCAGTCCACCCTCCTTGTGCTGCTCCAGCTCATGTGTCCCCGCATTAATAAGTGGCTTCTGGCCGGGTGCGGTGGCTCACGCCTGTAATCCCAGCACTTTGGGAGGCCCAGGGGGGCGGATCACGAGGTCAGGAGATCGAGACTATCCTGGCTAACACGGTGAAACCCCGTCTCTACAAAAAATACAAAAAATTAGCCGGGCGTGGTGGCGCGCGCCTGTAGTCCCAGCTACTTGGGAGGCGGAGGCAGGAAAATGGCGTGAACCCAGAAGGCGGAGCTTGCAGTGAGCTGAGATTGCACCACTGCAATCCAGCCTGGGTGACAAAGCGAGACTCTGTCTCAAAAAGTAAAAATAATAATAATTAAAAAAATTAAAAAATAAGTGGCTTCTGGCCAGGCATGGTGGGCGGATTGCCTGAGGTCAGGAGTTCCAGACCAGCCTGGCCAACATGGTGAAACCCTGTCTCTACTAAAAACACAAAAATTAGCCAGGCGTGGTGGCACAAGCATGTAATCCCAGCTACATGGGAGGCTGAGGCAGGAGAATCACTTGAACCAGGGAGGCAGATGTTGCTGTGAGCTGAGGTTGAGCTACTGCACTCCAGCCTGGGTGACAGATCGGGACTCCACCTCAAAAAAAAAAAAAAAAAAAAAAAAAAGGTGGCTTCTGCCCTTGTTCCTGGACTAGGTTCCTGGTTCATACCCAGCATAGGATGTACTGTGTTGACCCGCAGTGGGTCGGAACCATCTGGCCTTACTTCTGAGTGCACCTGTTTCAAGGCCAGGGTAGAAATGGTCTCAACGTGATCTCTGATAGAGAAAATATTTCTGCCTCAAGGGGATATTTTTAAAGGCTAAATTAGGAGTGCCTGCCAAAAATCTACCTCACACTAGACTCACAGCTGTGGCTGAGACAACAAAGGCCAAAAACAGGTTGCAGGGAGGAGAGACCTCCCCAGGGTCCCACTGGATGTACTGAGCAGAGATGTGGCAAAGCAGCCAGCGGGAATGAACAGCAAAGTGAACCAGGAAGGCCAGAGTAGCCAGAGCTGGAGCCAAGTAGGGTGGCAGCCAGCAGGGTTGCAGCCTCAGTGAGGTGCCCAGATGGCCAAGGCACTCTCAGAAAGCAAGTTAGACGGGGCCGGGTGCAGTGGCTCATGCCTGTAATCCCAGCACTTTGGGAGGCTGAGGTGGGCACATCACTTGAGGTCAGGAGTTCGACACCAGCCTGACCAATATGGTGAAACCCCGTCTCTACTAAAAATACAAAAATTAGCTGGGCGTGGTGGTACACGCCTGTGGTCCCAGCTACTTGAGAGGTTGAGACAGGAGAATCACTTAAACCCGGGGGCAGAGGTTGCAGTGAGCCAAAAAAAAAAAAAAAAAAAAAAAAAGAAAGAAAGTTAGAAGAAGGAGGAACCCACCCACCAGCATGCAGAACACCCCGTGGGAAGTCTGAGCTGCGTCAGATCTGAGGCTTACATGGAAATTCTCCTGCCACTGGCAAACATTTGATTTATTTTATTTTATTTTATTTTTTGAGACAGAGTCTTGCTCTGTCTCCCAGGCTGGAGTGCAGTGGTGTGATATCAGCTCAGTGCAACCTCCGCCTCTTGGGTTTGAGCAGTTCTCCTGCCTCAGCCTCCCATGTAGCTGGGATTACAGGCACGTGACATGATGCCTAGCTAATTTCTTTTGTATTTTTAGTAGAGATGGGGTCTCACCATGTTTGCCAGGCTGGTCTCGAACTGGCAGGAGACTTCAGGTGACCTGCCCACCTCGGCCTCCCAAAGTGCTGGGATTACAGCCAGGAGCCACCATGCTTGGCTGATGTTTTTAAAGCAGAGAGAGGATCAAGACAGCCATAGAGAAATAATAATAATAATAATAATAATAATAATAATAATAATAATAATGATAAAATCCATGATTTCATTAAAAATCAAGAAAGGGTGCCTTAAAAGGTCCAGGAGCTTTGAGGCACCTCTGAGAGATGGAAGAAGTGTGGGATCATTGTGAAGAAGGAAATCACAGTCCAGAGGCTATGCAGAATGAAAAATATAAGGGCCAGCTACAGTGGCTCATGCCTGTAATCCCAGCACTTAGGGAGGCTGAGGTGGGAGGATCACTTGAGGCCAGGAATTTGAGACCAGCCTAGGCAACATAGGGAGACACTGTCTCTACAAATAAAAAATTAAAAAATTAGCTGGCCACAGTGGAGGCACACCTGTAGTCCCAGCTATTCAGGAGGCTCAGAAGTTCAAGGCTATGGTGAGCTCTGATCACACCACTGCATTCCAGCCTGAGCAAAAAGAATGAGACCCTGTTTCTTAAAAAATAAATAAATAAAAAACAAAAAAAGGCACAAAAAGAAAAAAAACCCTAAAGGATGGGCTGCTTATGCTCATGGAGGATCCCTAGAGGAGCAGCAACTTCTCCATCCTCAGGCCAAGAAGCAGGCAGCAAGATGTGAGCCCCTAGTATAGAGCAGAGGGTTCAGATGGTTGGGATGGAGAGGTCGCTGGCGCCCCGGCAATGCCCAGGAGGGATGGCATGCTCTTTCTGTCCAGGAGGTGAAATGCAGGCTATAGAAAGAGCATTGGTGGAGAGGCTGCAAACCGAATCCCAGAGTTGAGCTCACACCAATAACCCCTCAACATTTGAGAAAAGCCATAAGAGAGGTATCAATCCTAACAAATCGAAAAGTTTACATCCAAAGAAGCAGTTTTAATAGAGGAATCCACACAAGGATTTGGCATATATATAATTAGAATCCTCAGAGAGAAGTAAAATGATATTGCATCCATAAAAAGGAATGTTTTAGAGATCTTGGAAATGACAAATTTGATGATTGAAATAAAAATCTCTGTAAATGGGCAGAAGCATTGGAGATTATAGAATAAATTGAAAGCCTGAGCCACAGGATGCTCTTAGAATAGCAAAAATGGACAAGGAGATGGGAAGTACAGAAAATGGTTAAGAGAATTCGAAGATAGACCCTATAGTTCCCAACGTGCACCTAACAGAGCTTCAGAAGACAAGACAGAGGGACCGGAAGAGAGAGTGTGCTCAGAGCAATCATGGAGGGTGGGCTCCCAGGGCAAGGGCAGGTGACAGCCCCAGAGTGAAAGTGCCCGGGAATGGCTGAGCAGAATCATGGGCAAGCTACAGCATGGTGACATTTCAGACAACAGGGATAAAGAGAAAACCCCAAATGCTTCTGCGGTCAGGGGAGTGGGGAGAGGTGAGACTGTATTACTACAAAGATGTACTGAATGCAAGAAGAAACTGGAGCAATCTCTTCCAACTTCTGAGGAAAATACTCCTGAATTAGAGTTCCACAGCAAGGCCAGGTGCGGTGGCTCACGTCTGTAATCCTAGCACTTTGGAAGGCTGAGGCAGGTGGATCACCTGAGGTCAGGAGTTCAAGACCAGCCTGGCCAGTCACGGTGGCTCACGCCTGCAATCCCAGCACTTTGGGAGGCCAAGGTGGGTGGATCACTTGAGGTCAAGAGTTTGAGACCAGCCTGACCAACATGGTGAAACCCTATCTCTACTAAAAATACAAAAATTAGCTGGGCGTGGTGGCGCATGCCTGTAGTCTCAGCTACTCGGGAGGCTGAGATGGTAGAATCACTTGAACCCAGGAGGCAGAGGTTGCAGTGAGCCAAGATCGCGCCACTACACTCCAGCCTGGGCACACAAAACAAGACTCTGTCTCCAAAAAAAAAAAAAAAAAAAAAAAAAAGCCAGGTGCAGTGGCTCATGCCTGTAATCCCAGCACTTTGGGTGGCTGAGGTGGGTGGATCACCTGAGGTCGGGAGTTCGAGGCCAGCCTGACCAACATGGAGAAACCCCGTCTCTACTAAAAATACAAAATTAGCAAAATTAGCTAGGCATCATGGTGAATGCCTGTAATCCCAGCTACTCGGGAGCCTGAGGCAGGAGAATCACTTGAACCCAGGAGGCCGAGGTTGCAGTGAGCTGCGATTGTGCCATTACACTCCAGCCTGGGCAAGAAGAGCGAAATGCTGACTCAAAAAAAAAAATGTATAGGGTTCAGTAATTTTTAGTATATTCACAAGTTTATGCAACCATCCCACTACTCAATTCCAGAATATTTTCATCACCCTAAAAAGAAACCTTGTCTCCATCAGCAGTCACTCCCCATTCTCCTTCCCCGACCTCTGGCAACCACCAATCCACTTCCTGACTCTCTGAATTTGTCCATTCTGGACATTTCATATGAATGGAATCTTACAACATGTGGCCTTTTTTGTCTGGCTTCTTGTACTTAGCACAATGTTTTCAAGGTTCTTGCATGTTGTAGCATGTATCAATATTCCTTTTTTGTTCTACTATATGGGCATACCCACTTTGTTTATTGATTTATCAGTTGATGGGCTGTTTTCTTTTTTTTGACTATTATGAATGACACTGCTATGAAAATTCATGTACACATTTTTATGCGAATATATACTTTCAGTTCTCTTGAGTATATACCTAGGAGTGGAATTGCTGGGTCATATGGTAACCTGGGTTTCACTGTTGGAGGAGCTGCTAAGCTGTTTTCCACAGTGGCTGCACCAGTTTCTGTTCCCACCAGCTGGCCCTGTCCTCTGCCTGAAGGGTGGTCACTTTGCTGGGCACTGCAAAGAGAGACAAACCCCACGGTGTCATTAGGCCTCACTTGAAGCCACGCAGGTCTTAATTCTAGTTTAATGGGAGGTTCACACAGGACTCTGTTTTCTGAGGAGTCCCCAAGACAGTAGGTGTCAACCACTCTCGTGTCCCACAGTGAGGTGAGGCCTACCACGCAGGGAGTGCAGATAGCAGAGAACTGCGCTTCAGAACCTGAGTTGAGATGACTTGCTTCAGGCCTGGAGAGGACGCTGGAGAGGCCACAGGAAGGGCTAGGACTACGGACAGGAAGAGGTGCTGTGTTCTGAGTCTCAGCCCTGCTCTCTGTGTTCCAGCACATCTAATGAGAAGTGCTGAGGAGAAAGTTTGGCCTGTGCTTCTGCAGCTTGCGTAGTGGGATAATTTCTCACACTCACAGGTGTGGAAGTCAAAGCTGCCTGTGGCAGCAGAGAAGGGATGTGTTTGGGAGGTAACCAGTGCCCCCCTGTCCTGCTTGGGTCAAATACATGTCCTTCTGTGTATCAGGTGGGGCCACATGCAAGAGAGCTGGTCTAGGCTTGATTTAGAGCCTAGCCTCCAGTCCTGCCCAAGATGTGTCCTGGAGAGATGTGGAGGCCTCAGCAGAGAAGCTGGGGGGTCCCATAGGATGCCCAGATGCTGAGGAGGGGCTGGATATTTGTTTGCTCAGGCTGCCCTAACAAAATTCCACAGACCTGGGGCTTAAACAACAGAAATAGACTGTCTCACAGTTCTGGAGGCTGGAAGTCCAAGATCAAGTTGCTGGCAGAGTTGGCCCCCTCTGAAGGCTGTGAGGGAGGGATCTGTTCCAGGCCTGGCTCCTTGGTGCTGTGCACCCCTGGTGGCTGTCTGTGTGTCCATATCTCCTTATAAGGACACCAGGTAGAGTGGATTAGGGCTCACCCTAACAGCCTCATTTTAACTTAATTACGTCTTTAAAGGCCCTATCTCTAAATGCAGTCACATTCTGAGGCACTGGGGGCCAGGACTTCTGCCTGTGAATTGTGGGGACATGCTCAGCCTATACAAGTTGGCATACTTCTGTCTGTCTGGGGAACCACAGGTGAGAGATCCCTGTGATGGGAGTGGAGGAGGCAGGAGGAAGAGAGTTTTCTTCCAGAGTCACGTTAAGGACACCCCAAGACAGAGTCAGCACCAGGCTAGGACCCCAATCCCAGGCACATCCAAGCCAGTGAAGGAAAAATCTCCCTCCCTACACTTTGGGCTAGAGTTGGAAGTCACTGAAGGAATGCTGGGCAGGGAAGCAGTGAAGAGGTGGCCACAGCCCTTTGCCTCTGATGACCTGCCACCAAAGGCACCAGGCAGTGCCTTTGGGTGGGACAGAGTGTACAAAGCAACAAATCCATGCAGGGTGCAGCAGGGCCGGAGCTAGGGGTGAAGGACCAGGGACAGGGGGGCAGGGGGAAGCTGCTGGAGTTTGCAGTCATAAAAATTGCTGGAACAGCTTTGTGCTTCTATTTGCCCCCAGGTCACCATGGTTTGGGGAGACATATTACATGTATAAAACACTGCAGCTTGGTGGGCAGGGGGCAGCTGGACACCAGCCCAATAACCCTCATATGGGCCTTGTCTCTTGGAGAACAGAGACTGAGAATGGTCAGGAATTTGGTTGGCAGTAAAAGGCTCATGAAGTCATTCGGTACTTTTCATACAGTCCTGTAAGCCATGCTACTAAGGCATGTAGTATTTTTTTTTTTTTTAAACTGGAACAGATAGTCCCCTGTTTGGAACAAGTTCATTTATAGGAAATATGATATGCAATGGATAGTTAATTTAAAAAGAAACATTTAGCCCAAAATAATCTTGCAAAAGAAGAACAAAGTTGGAAGACTCACATTCCTGATTTCAGATATTACTACAAAGTTACAGTAATCAAGATGGTGTGGTGCTGCCATAAGGATGGATATAGAGGTTATTGGAATGGGAATGAGAGTCCAGAAATAAGCCCTCGTGTGTGCAGCCAATTCATTTTGGACAAGGGTGCCAAGAAAATTCAATGGGGGGTGGGGAGAGAATACTCTTTTTAATAAATGGTGCTGAGATAGCTGGATATCCACATGCAAAAGAATGAAGCTGCACCCCTACCTCACACCATACACAAAAAGTAACTTAAAATGAATCACAGATCTAAATACTACAGCTAAAACTTTGAAAGTCCTTGAAGAGGATATAAGAGCAAATCTTCATGACCTTGAGTTGAACAAAGCCTTCTTATATATGACATGAAAGCCTGAGACAAAATTTCAAATGGATACATTAAACTTCATCACAATGAGAAACTTTTGCACAACCAAAGGCAGTATCAAGAAGGTGAAGAGAAAACTCACAGAATTTGAGAAAATATTTGCAAATCATATATCTGATAGGGATCTAGCATTCAGAACATATAAAAACCCCTTACAACTTAACAATAAAAAGACAAATAACCTAATTTTAAAATGGGCAAAGGATTTGCATAAACATTTCTCCAAGGAAGATATAAAATGGCCAATAACTATATAAAAGGATGCTCAACATCCTTAGTATTAGGGAAATGCAAAGCAGAACTGCTATGCAATATTACGTCACACTTACTAGGATAGTTAGAATAAGAAAAGATGGACCATAACAAGTGTTGACAAGGACATGAAGAAATGGAAAATCCCGTTCCTCGTTGGTGGAAATATACAATGGTGCTGCTCCTGTGGAAAATGCATTGGCAGTTTCCCAAAAGGCTAAACATACAGGTAGCACGACCCAGCCATTCCACACCTAGGTATATACTGAAAAGAATTCAAAACATATCTTCACACAAATACTTGTGCTATGAATGTTCATACTGGCATTATTCATAGTAGCCAAAAGGTGGAAATAACCCAATGCCCATCAACTGATGAATAGATAAAAACAATGTGTTTCTCTCCATGCAAGGAGATATTCAGCTGTAAATAAAAATGAAGTGCTGATAACATGCTACAATATGGATGAACCTTGGAAACACTGTGCTAAGTGAAAGAAGTCAGACACAAAAGGAGACATATTGTATAATTCCACCTATATGAAATGTCCAGAATGGGCAAATCCACAGAGATGGAAACTAGATTCGTGGTTGCCAGGGATTGTGGGGAGGGGAGATTGGGGAATGACTGCTAATGGGTCCAGGGTTTCTATCTGGGGTGATAAAAATGTTGTGGAGGCTGGGTGCGGTGGCTCACACCTGTAATCCCAGTACTTTGGGTGGCCAAGGTGGTTGGATCATCTGAGTTCAGGGGTTCAAGACCAGCCTGGCCGACATGGTGAAATCCCATCTCTACTAAAAATACAAAAATTAGCCAGGAGTGATCGTGGGTGCCTGTAATCCCAGCTACTCGGGAGGCTAAGACAGGAGAATTGCTTGAACCCTGGGAGGCGGAGGTTGCAGTGAGCCAAGACCACACCACTGCACTCCAGACTGGGCAACAAAAGCGAAACTCCATCTCAAAAAAAAAAAAAAAAAAAAAGTTCTGGAATTAGACAGTGGTGATGGTTGCATAATCTTGTGAATACACTAAAAACCACTGGACTTTACACTGTAAAAGATACATTTTATGCTTTGTGAATTATATATCAATTTTTAAAAACGTAATGAGTCAACTTAAATATCCATCAATAGGGAATGTTAAATAAACCAAGATGAATTGTACTACAGAGATACTGAGCAGAGGTCCCAAGCAATGAGGTAGATCTTTCTGTACTGATACTGAACAATGTCCCAGATTTCCTACTAAATGATAAAAGCAAGTTTCAGAACACAAAACAGCATGTATAATGTGAATCTATTTGTGTTAAATACACACACATACACACACACACACAGACATGTAAATGAATATGGACAGATATATCTAATTGACAAGAGTGGGTGCTGTGGCTCACACCTGCAATCCCAGCACTTTGGGAAGCTGAGGCGGAGGATCACTTGCGGCCAGGAGCTCAAGACTAGTGTGGCTCTCTTTGGGGTGAACTGTATGGGGATAAAGGGGAACTCTTATCTATTTATATTGTATACTTTTTTTTAAGCAGCATTGTATTACTTGATTTAAAATAAATTTCAAAGAAGAAAAGGGGAAAGAAATGTAGTGAACTAAAAACGGCTTATGTTGGGGTTTAGCATTGAATATTTTAAATATTTGTCTGCTGGTTATTTGAATTATGTCACAAAGTAACAGCTTACATTTGCACACTGCTTTACAGTAAATAAAGCTTAGACATATTAAAAAAAAACATAAAAGCAAAAAACCCCCTTTAGCAAGAATATTCCAGGCTCTATTACAGGTTATTTCTTTTTCACTCTAACGTGACACTTACTTAACATTTCCTTCCAAGAGTATTCTCAGATTGGTGTGCCTTTACTTTTTCTTTTTTGAAACAGGGTCTTACTCTGTTGCCCAGGCTGGAGTGCAGTGGTGTGATAATAGCTCACTGCAGCCTTGAACTCCTGGGCTCAAGTGATCCTCCTACCTCAGCCTCCCTAGTAGAGTAGCTGGGACCACAGGGACGTGCCACCATGTCTGGCTAATTCTTGTATTTCTTTTCTTTTCTTTTTTTTTTTTTTTTGAGACAGAGTCTTGCTCTGTCACCAGGCTGGAGTGCAATGGCACGATCTCAGCTCACTGCAACCTCTGCCTCCCAGGTTCAAGCGATTCTCCTGCCTCAGCCTCCCAAGTAGCTGGACCTACAGGCATGCGCCACCACACCCGGCTAATTTTTTGTATTTTAGTAGAGATGGGGTTTTACCATGTTGGCCAAGATGGTCTCCATCTCCTCAACTCGTGATCTGCCTGCCTCGGCCTCCCAAAGTGTTGGGATTACAGGCGTGAGCCACCGCGCCCGGCCAATTTTTGTATTTCTTGTAGAGTCGGGGTTTCACCATATTCCCCATGCTAATCTTGAACTCCTAGGCTCAAGCAAGCTGCCTGCCTCAGCCTCCCAAAGGGCTGGGTTAACTGGCCTGAGCCACTGCCCCTGGCTGCTGCTCCTTTCTTTACAATGATGTTGCCCATTTTAGTAGGTCGGGTGGATTCATACTTTTGTAGGGGAAAAGGTAGTTTTTTTATGATTAGTTGATTATATTTAAGACAAAACGTAACACATGTGAAAGGACAACATTTTACTTGGAAAGAAGTTTAAGGAAGAGACACTAGGATGTTTTAGAGACAGAGTGATGTTGATTTCAAGGTTTATTGAGACATTAAAAAAGTAATTTCACTGATAAATTAATATTTCCCTTTAAATATAAAAGTGCTTATGCTTACGAATCCTTAAGGCTCGTTCTGTTACGGTACAGTAAGATGTTTCCCCATCCCAGGAACTGCACTGCGTGAGTTTCAGGTGAATTTATAGAAACAGCAAAATCTCCAAACAGTAAAGTAAGTGGTCAAAGACTCCATCATCTTTGCACTTGTAAATTTTAGACTCAGATAAAATACAAGATCCTTCTAGACAAATTCTTAATATTAGATGTGTTCTCCACTCCTTCCTAAGATTGTGCCAAAATAATTCACTATTAAATTATTCATGATTTGAATGTGGAGTTTTCTTTGCAATATGATAAATGCAACTGTGGTGACACGAGAGAGAGAGAGAGAGAGAAAGGGGGTTTAACGTTTGCACTGCCTCATGCAGATATGGGTAACCCCCAAAGTGAAGATTTTAGGTTCCGGGTGTGCAGATATCTTAAAAGCAGACTGGGAGATGGGATTCCTAAACAGGAATAAGAGATTTGGCCTGCTTAGGGGGAGGGATCCACTTAAACTTCCTAGGAAGACTTAAAAGGTCACTGTTTCAGCTGATATACTTTGCACCCTCACCGCAGATTGCAAATTATTTTTGCACAGTACTACACTAGAACTATGCGCAATGTCCTCATAGTTATGTGTAGATGTGCTTTTATGAAGAAAACAACATTTATTGTAGGTTTTTAGAATTTCTTTTTCTCTTTTTTTTTGAGACGGAGTCTCGCTCTGTTGCCCAGGCTGAAGTGCAGTGGCGTGATCTCGGCTCACTGCAACCTCCGCCTTCCGGGTTCAAGCAATTCTGTCTCAGCCTGGTTTTTAGAATTTCTAACTTCAGAAGAATCACAAGCTCATTGCAGAAAATTTGGAAAACAGAGACAAGCACAAAAGAAAACACCAGTCTTCCAAACAGTGAAATATTTTGATGCATGTACTTTCCAGTCTATTTATATGAATGCCTTAAAATAAATTTTTATCATATATAATGTTTTGGAGTAGAAAAAAACAATAAAGTTTCCCTGCAAGAAGTATTCACAGATTTTGAGAAGAAAGGCTGGAAGAAGTGATTCTTACTAAAGCCAATGGTCTTTAATGAATTGCTTGGATTAACTTTTTTTTTTTCCCACATACTCAGAGACACAGATAGGAGCCTGCAACTTTCTCAGCCGTAGTGTTTGTAATGTTGCTGCTTAACAGAGCCATTACAGCTACTTGGATTAAAATAGTGACTATCAACACAGATTCTGGACTTTCTCCACAATCACATCCAAATGCACTAACAAGAAGCCCCAAATGAATATCACATAACAAAATGAACTTGATCTACTTTAATAGAGAATAACTAGAAGAGATATGAAAATGGTATTGGACCTAATAAACGGCATTTTCATCAATGCTACAATGTGTACATTTTCACGACATAAATTACTATACAGAATTGTCCTACTTAAAATCCTCTTCAATTCTTGAAACCATCCTAAGATTGATGGCTGTAAGAAGATGAAGATCTTATAATTTGTTTTTGTGACTGCCAAAGCTGGATACCTGGAAAATTCTCGAGGGAGATAAGCTGGCTCCCAAGTTGCTGACAGCTTTCCCAAGACCAAAACGCAGAATTTGAAACGGTGTTTGATGTGACACACTAGGCCTTTGATATCAGAATACTGAAGCAGAGTTGCTAGCTCCATGAATAAACCTCCAAGATGACACACACAGCATAAAAAAATGGTGGAATTTTAAATTCCTTCACTGACTGGGGCAGAATTCATGCGAGGGACTTTAGATGTTTACAGAATTGTGTAAGCAAGAGACTATTACACTGTAACAGGAGTATCTGTTCCTTAGCACCCTGCCTGAGAAAGGGTGAAGTCCAAGTGTCCACCTGGTGTATTTCCTCCTGCTAATAAATATTGTGTTGCCAGGCTGGGTGCTGTGGCTCACACCTGTAATCCCAGCACTTTGGGAGGCAGAGGCGGGCAGATCACCTGAGGTCAGGAGTTCGAGACCAGCCTGGCCAACATGGTGAAACCCCATCTCTACTAAAAATACAAAAATTAGCCGGATGTGGTGGCAGGCGCCTGTAATCCCAGCTACTTGGGAGGCTGAGGCAGGAGAATTGCTTGAACCCGGGAGGGGGAGGTTGCAGTGAGCTGAGATTGTGCAACTGCACCCTAGCCTGAGTGACAGAATGAGGTTCTCAAAAAAAAAAATTTTTTTTTTTGTTGCCACTCTAGAAGTTTTTAGCCAACTACTTGGAATTTGCTTGCACTGGGCAAGGTCTCGTGCACCTGTGAAAACAACATTAGTATTAAGTTAGGCATAAATCAGGCTGAACCTTTCATCATCTCCAGCCATGGTTCCTTTTATTTTTTTTATTTTTTATTTTTTTAACTGGAGAAAGGTTAGGAAAGGGATTTCCAGTGAATATGAAAAGAAGGGACTCTTCAGTATGTCATGATTACTTTGGTTAAGCTCAAAGCACTGATTTACTGATGCAAGGCAGACACACTGGCCCTGTGCCTAAAAAATGTAACAGCTAAAAATTTCAATCCACCATTTAGGGCTTTGACCCTAGTGGTATGCAACATCCAGATCATTAGTTGGATTTCTAGTCTTTGTCTGCATGTTTGGGGCTAGAATGTCCAGTCATTGGGCATCACAAAGATCAATGAGATCATATGTTGATTTTCCTCTCTACTGGTACAGCCACTAAAGTTTTTCCTACAATTAAATAGTTATGTTGATGCAACCACCTAACCTCCTAGAGGAAAAAAAAAACATCCATTTTCTCAAGAGAGGTTTCCTCTTTCTTTCCCGAAGCTCATGCATGACATACCTAAGTCCCTTATGACAGATCTCCTTTCTCAGAGACGAACCTCCCTGAGCAGCTGTCCTCCACCTCCTACCCCCACCCCCTAACAAAAATTACCATCAGAGGCACAAGATCCACATGAAGAGAACTCACCATGGGGGCACAGGAAGCCTGACTGTGCCACAGGTCTCTGGTGACGCTTGTAGCATGATGTGCAGTGCACACGCTGTTTTCTCATGGAAGATGGCAGCCATTGGAAGCTTGGACTCCATGTTGCTTCTTCCCCTTCCCATCTGGATAGCCCCTGCTTTTTTTTCCTTTTTTTTTTTTTGGGATGGAGTTTTGCTCTTGTTGCCCAGGTTGGAGTGCAGTGGCACAATTTCAGCTCACTGCAACCTCTGCCTCCTGAGTTCAAGAGATTCTTCCACCTCAGCCTCCCAAGTAGCTGGGATTACAGGTGCCCACCACCACGCTTGGCTAATTTTTTGCATTTTTAGTAGAGACAGGGTTTCATCATGTTGGCCAGGCTGGTCTCAGACTCCTGACCTCAGGTGATCCGCCTGTCTCGGCATTCCAAAGTGCAGGGATTACAGGCATGAGCCACAGTGCCCGGCCCCTCTGATTTCTTAAAACTAGGGTGTGATGATGAGGAGGAGGATGGGGCGTACCACCCACAGTGGGGTATTAGGTAGCCCTGCTGCCCTGCCCGCCTTGGTCTGTTAGAACTCTGCCTGCAGCCAGGAAGGACTCAAAGTGGTAGCCACACAGGTGAAGGAGCTCCCTCACTGGTGTCTTCCCTGGCTGGTCCTGTCTCTCTCCCATCTCATGGGGGTGGGTATGGCTACCCTGCTGTCATCCTCTTGGTCTGCTAGATCCTAGTCCAATCTAGACCCTAGGAGAAAATTCCATCTCCCACATTGTACATGTCTGCACCTTGGTGCCTGCAGACATAATATACTTCCTTTGCCTCTGTTCCTACAGTAATGTTTAAAACCCTGTCAAGTGTGACACCTGGGTATCTCAAAAAGCTTGCCCAGATCTGTCGCTCAGTAAGGTGATTGACATGTTAAGTTACACCTCACATAGAGAAAACTGAGGCACAGAGAAGAGCTTTATTCAAAGACCCGGTGCAGCAGGACAACGGAAGAGGGTGCTTGGGCACTCCAGTTACTGTTCCAACTGCGTGGCCCCAACATGAGTGCATTCTTACACTGGAGCTCCATTTCCTTAAAGCCTCCACTGTTGCTAACAACTGTTCTATTAATAGTAAGGAGTCAAGAAATGAAATCCGACTTATAGAACTTACAAGGAAAAACTCTAAAGGAACAAAAGATCAACCCAGCCCACAGAGGAGGACGTGTGTGTGTGTGTGTGTGTGAAGCCCTGGGAACTTCAAGGGATTAATAATCAGTTTGCAAATTACTCAAAAGTGTCAATGCTGCTATGTCACCATTTAAAGAGGCCTCAGAGATGGCTGGTGATGCTATGGAAGTGTCTGTAAGTAAAGATCCATGTGACACATGCTTAGAATTACAGACATCTCAGCTACATGGCCATCCTTTGGGCTTTGTGATCACTCATGCTACAGATGAAGGTAAGATGGGAGACTCCAAGAATGTTCTTTGAAAAGTCAGATACCCTTGGCTCCTGTGGATGGAATGCTGCTTAGTGAAGTAGTGCACATTCCTCACTGCTGAGTATTTTCTTTTTGCTCCTATGGGCATCTAGAAATAAAGGGATCTTGAATACTGGGGAAAATTCAGTTTTGTTTTATGGAAAATTGAAAAAGCAACGATAAGGAAACTAGAACATTGATATTATTTTAATTACCCAACAGCACTCTAAAAATCCTAAACATTGGTGCTATGTTATATCATGTCTAGATCCAAGTATTTCTGGATGAGCTTTCCTATTTTAAAAATGGGTAAAAAAAACAAAACAAAACAAAACCCAAGTCCCTGATTCAGCTTTTCAGGCTACATCAATACCCCTGGTGCTTCAACACAAATGCTGACCCTTGTACTGACTGGCAATTAGTGCCCTGAATTCAACCCTCAGATCAATGTCTATAAAATTGGCTGTAAGAGGTGGATTTTCAAAGTAACACACAGAGATTTAATCCCTTGATTCCCATTACTGTGAGTAAGAGCTGTGAACCTAAATCCCCTTGCAGCCAACACAAAATTTACCCCCTGCTGCCTCGGAGTGCCAATTAAAATAATAAAAACCAAAACCGTGGGCAGATGTAATTAGTTTGAGAACGGAGTTTATAATTTTCCTCATGCCAAGCAAACAAGTTAACCCCTTTGGTGACATATACAGAATAATCTGGACAAAGGGAACACAAATCTCAAGTCTGAACATTTCTTGTGCTATTTGCCAGGAAGTTGTAATATTGAAAAACTGTGCTCTTCTGAGAATGGGAAAATGAGGACATAAACTCTGGTTCCAAATGGTTGGAAGTGCAGTTTATGTGGTCAGGTTGTTTTTCCCCTTTCATTAAAAAAACTTTCAAGATTCCACTTGATCCGGGTTTCTTCGAAAATGTATTACTTTTTACAAATATAATTCTTATAGGGACAGACTTCAGCTGTGTAGCAGGCAAAGCTACAGAAGAGAACGTTCTTGAAAGACTGCTGGGTGTTTCTTAGCACAAACCACCTCTGAAAGAGTATCAAGCTCAGTGGTTGGTGAAGCAAAGCCAAGTTCCTGTCCCACCCATCTCTGGGATGAGGAGTTCTCCATGGTGACCCTGAGTCAGGCTTCTTCTGCACCCCTCTGCCTGGTTAATGAGGACTCAACTGAACTGCCCATCTGCAAACAAACCCTTTCTGCATTTTTCTCTCTAGACACGAGTGAGTTATGTCAGATGGTATAATGGGAAAAAGACAAAGGATATTTGAATCTAAGGACATGGGCTGGATCAGGTGAAGGGATGGTTTTGCTTTTGTTGCTGTTTCTGCTTCTTTAGTTTGGGGAGGAGGATAAGGAAAAGGGTTGGAGATAAGACTAAAAATGAAGTTAACAAACTTACCCTCCCACATAGGGGATGCTTCATGTCAAGCCACTGGTCTAATGCCTCCGTCTTCTTTAGTTCAAAATTATCTTATTTTACTCAACCAAATATTGCAAACATGATTCCACCATGTTGGTTTCAGTTGTGTGCAGTTCCCTGACTGCACACAAGTCAGGGAACTAACTTGTGACACTAAAGAATGACAAGCAAAGCGGCATCCCAGGGCTACTGGTTGAACAGGAACCCTGTGGCCATTGAGATGACCTTCTCAAGCTTCCTGTTGAGCCTTCACTGGGACACTGGGAGCGTGCATGTGCATACGTGCATGCATGTGCGCGCGTGTGTGCGTATGTGTATGTATCAGGAAATAGCAAAGACAAATAGTAAACTATAGTTATAATGAAGAAAAACATACTTCTTTTCCATGAAAAATGTCAGACTTCATACTGATAATCTGTGGGAGCTACATTTAAGCCATTTATGAAACAAAAAGATTGCTTTTCGAGATTATAAACTGGGAGCCAGAACAACTGACTTGAACGTATTTTGATTCTCAAGTTTCCGTGTAAAAATATTCACAGAAATTGGTGGATGTCTTTTACGTACAACTCAACTTCTCTCATTTACAACATAAATCATTTAATGTAACATTTGCAACCTTAGAAAGGCAGACATGTTTAATCCAAGTCCGTTTATAAATTCCAATTTCACATGGATTAAAAACTGCAGATAAATTAAGTCACAATAATATCCTGTACATGCATTAAGGCTGGTGACTGCTAAAGTCTCTTGGGAATCTACAAATAGGAAATCACACGCAGATTACTGGGTCTGAAGAGTGTCTACATTGTTAAAAAAATCTTGCTTTTTTTTTTTTTTGGTGATGCAGATTTCAACAGTAACTCTGGAAAACTGTGAAAAATGTTATTTAAAAATATATATGTATATGCTACTGCACAGTTTCAAAGATGTGATTCATAAATAATGTTGGCTGCACTGATTAATTTTATAACAATTACTGCACTTCCAAGTTGATGCGAACACGCAGTGACTCATACTCAATATTAGGCACTAGTAATATCCTTCAGGCGTACTACAGTTTTATGTTAGCTGTATTGTACATATATATTTTTAAATGTATGCATTTATACAAACTGTGTATATTATGTATGGGGTGTCAGAAATGTACACATCACTGTTATATAATACACACATCATTGTTGTACATATGAGGATAAGTTTTAGTGCAGAAAGTCTCATTGCATTGCATTCCATGTGTTCAATCTAGTACACAATTTGTCAACTCTTCAGATTATTTTTCCAGTACATTCCTCATTAGATTGTGGGTTTCAAGTTTCCATTTGCAATTTGAATGTTTCCAGAAATCTCTGTCTTAACCAAACCTCTCTCTCCAGGCACGATTCTGCACATGAGTCTGATCTGTGTAGAGTAGTATCATCAAAAATGCCAAATTTTGATCAGGAATATACCTGGACTACTCTCTTTCAAAGGCAATTGAACATCGTGATAAAGGATAGCATCTATTCAGGTCATGGAAGGATATGGTCAGTTGAACTTGTGTTGAACTTTGGAGGCAAATGTACGTCTTCAAATAAAAAGACATGGTAATAAAAATTATTTGCTTAAATTTGAGAGTCTCTGGAAGGATATACATCAAACTGTGAGCAGTGGTTGTCTCAGGCAGAAGGGACAACCAGGGACTTACACTTTCTACTTTCTACATTTCTGCACTGTTTGAGTTTTTACAATGAGTAGATATTACTTTTCTAATTAGAAAACACAAGAAAGGTATTTCAACTTGAAACAAAACTAAACAGGCCAGGCATGGTGGCTCATGCACTTTGGGAGGCCGAGGCCAAAGGATCGCTTGAGCCCAGGAGTTTGAGACCAGCCTGGGCAACATAGTGAGACCCCCATCTCTACAAAAAAAATAAAGAAAAAATTAGCCGGGTGTGGTGGCACGTGCCTATCTTCCCAGCTGCTTGGGAGGCTGAGGCAGGAGGATTGCTTGAGCCCAGGAGTTTGAGGCTGCAGGGAGCCATGATCGCGCCACCGCATTCCAGCTTGGGCTACAGAGCCAGACCCGGTCTCAAAACCAACCAAACCAACAACAACAGCAGTAACAACAAAACTAAGTAAAAGGAACAAGTTATGAATGACTTTCACAAGCAACAATTGGAGGATGGTTACTAACCAAAATCACCCATGCCAAACCCCACAGAAACTGCTGTACCAACGTGCTCCACACGTGCTCCACAGATGAAACAAGACAGTCATAAGAACTACACGCTCTGACCACTGCCCACAACGGTAAGTTTCAAGAAGTTTTCCTGGGAAATGTGGGCCATCAGAGTGCTGATAAAACACTGCTGGCCCACCTGTCAAATGGGGCTTCACAGGGAAGCTCATCACATAGATGTTACAACAAAGTCTGCAACTTTCAAGGTGGGCAGGACCAGAGAAGCTCTCCAGGTATGCAGGATAGACCTCCAGGGCCATCCCTTTATGTGTTTGAATATTTCATCAGGATTCTTCAAGAGTAGGTAGAACAAAGCCTCAGTCCTCCAAAAAAATGACTCAAAATTTCTTAAGTTAGGTTCAAGTTTCTGACATAGGATGGGATTGTGAACTCTGCCAAAAATTAGTGAAAGGGCTGGGTGTGGTGGCTCACGCCTGTAATCACAACACTTTGGGAGGTGGAGGCGGGTAGATCACCTGAGGTCAGGAGTTTGAGACGAGCCTGGCCAACATGGTGAAACCCAGTCTCTACTAAAAACACAAAAATTAGCTGGGCATGGTAGTGCACACCTGTAATCCCAGCTACTTGGGAGGCTGAGGCGGGACAATCACTTGAACCCAGGAGGCAGAGGATGCAGTGAGCCGAGATCGTGCCACTGCACTCCAGCCTGGGCAACAGAGCGAAACTCGTCTCAAAAAAAAAGTGAAAGGGTTGTAAGAAGCACCCCAGTTGGAGACATGTAAAATGGAAATTCTCTTAATATTTCCAAATGCTTGAAGGCCAAAGCCAAATGCAAATTCCACAAGCCCTTCTTATTTTCAATTAATTTCAAATCATCTAAGTTGTTCAGTCATTTATACAATTTTGAATCAGTGCTCAGAGCTAAGGAATTATGATGATCTTACTTCCCACCTACAGATCAGGCTAACAAAAATGTTAACACTGCAAACCAACCTGTAAGAATATCAGTGAATGTTTATGGATCAGCATCTAGTCTAAGTATTTTGTGCCGTCATCACCTTGAAAAAATGGATTGCACCACATATTACACCGCCTGCCTTTCTCAGACCGTCCTGGTGCAACTTTATCAAGTAAGAGGCCACAAGGACATTATTTTTGTTTTTAACGTGTGGCAAGATAGACCCTCTTTTTCAGGAGTTATTTTCTTTTCGTCAAGATTTCATATCCAAATATATTTAACAAGATGACTAAATCTAGGGCATAAGACACTACAAAAGAAAAAACATCAGACAAAAACTGTAAACAAGATGTCAAAGAAACTAAAATGTAAACTTAATTAAAAAAAGAAAACAAGAGAAAAACTCAGAGCAAGGTGTAAACATACCAGACACACAGGACACAGGAAGAGGCTCTGGTTGCTGCTGCCCCAGAAAGGAACTGTGATCTTCTGCATTGCAAGCAGCCTGCTAATCAAAGCCTGAAAAATCGCCCCCAAATCAAAACGCATCAAAGGGCTGCAGGTGCACATTCTGCATGAGGAGTGAGAGAATCAGCATTATCATGGCAAATAGCTCTCAGCCTGGTAAGCGAAGGATTCAGGCTCCTACTGAAGGGACAATCTAGGTAATGGCCTCATTTAGCCAAGAAAATCTGTAAGAAAGCTATTGGTGGAAAGAAAAGACTTGAAACAGATTGGCTGACAAATGCCATGTGGCTCTACAGCCACCGAGTCACAGTGGCAGGAAGAAGAAATGCATGTGGCTGGTGGGCTTGTTATCACAGGTGCAGAAAACTTCAACTCCTAACTGAGCTCCAACACACAGGCACTGCTACCTTAGTGTCTGTTAACTTTCAAAGACGCCGCGTTTTTGCTAAATCTCAGTGCCATTTGCATACTACTTGGAGGTGGGGCTGGGAAGGGCTGTGAGTGTCCATCTGTTTGCCTGGAATGCATTTAGTTGATAATAGAGTCAGATGGGGGAAGGGAATTAGAGGAAGAGCAGGGTATTTGGTAACATGCAATCTAGTAAACTTCCGGCACAAAAATACCTGGCTTATTTTCATTATTCAATTACCCATTAATACATACCAATCAAAAAATAATTGGGGAATAGTATATTAATACTGAAAGTAATCAACAGTATAAGAGCAGGTCCATCTTCACTGGCAGTCAAGCTTTTGGTGTGCTGTATTGCACCTGGTTAACTAACCCATGAGATTTTGGTTGAATTTTCTAAGAAGTCACGGTTTAGCACTGGAATGGAATAGAAAGTGTGTGTCTGTGATTGTGTGTGAGTGTACGGTGTGTGTGTGTGTGTGTGTGTGTGTGTGTACTTCCTCTAGTCAGAAACCTCTGATCACTTTGTCTAGCCTGGGATTATGGAAACTAGACAAAGAAGGTGTGTTCTGAAGAGCTGTGTATCTTACACACATACACAGGCGGCTTCTTATATACCCACACATACAAACACACATGCCCTGCAAAAGATCATTGTTCAATGCTGAGGAAATGTTCACCGCAGTCTGATAAATGCTGTGGCTGGGAGTTTCAGTAGCACAGTGTCCAAAAACGTTGAGCCATCTGTGGAGACCAGAGCCCACTCTGGCCCCAGGGTGAGGTCCCTATGACAGGTGGGCGCTGTTCCGCAGCCAGTGCAGGCCCTGTTGGGAGTACTGGACCAGGTGCTCCATGCTGCTGTGCAGGGTGACCGGCCCCATGAGCAGATCCAGGTCGTTGAAGAATTCTAGGGGGACAGAAAGAGTTGTTAAGAATGCCACACATGCTAGGTGTGCTATCCTGAGCAACTGATGTAAGGAAAAATTCCATTCATGGTCTCTATATAAATCAAGGATTCTCCGTTCCATCATGTAACTTTAGCATTCCTTTGAACAAAATAAAATCCAAGGATGGGGAACTCATCCTATATCCAAATAAATAAATACATGATATCTGCCATTTCTAACTCAAATGAATAGTATTTGCTTAGCCAAATAGCAAAGAAAATCCATATCCTCCAGCTGCATTCTCCTAGTCCAGTAATGCTTCCCACTCCTGAACGTGAACGTGGCTCTGTCGTCCCTCACCCTGTACTCAATTCTGGTATGCGCTGAGCCCCTGGAGTGAGTCCAAGGGGTGAGGCTCCAGGTTCCTGGGGGCAAATCAGAGATGGGTCACGAGACATCTGGACTGAAGTCACCTTCTAGCTTTTGAACATTCCCTAGGTTTGCCCTTTCACCAAATGTTTATGATGTGGCCAAGCACGGTGGCTCACACCTGGAATTCCGGCACTTTAGGAGGCTGAGGCGGGTAGAACGCTTGAGGTCAGGAGATCGCGACCAGTCAGGACAACATGGCAAAACCCTGTCTCTACTAAAGATACAAACAAACATTAGCCAGGTGTGGTGGCGCACACCTGTAATCCCAGCTACTCCGGAGGCTGAGGTGGGAGAATCGCTTGAACCCGGGAGGAGGAGGTTGCAGTGAGCTGAGATTGTGCCACTGCACTCCAGCCTGGGCCACAGAGCAAGACTCCGCCTCAAAAACAAACAAATATCTATGATGTACCAAGGCACTCTGCTAGGTGCAGGGGTGGGTAGGGGATGATAGCAGGATGAATTGTGTGGGCTCTGCTGTCTCAAAATCACAGTTTAGTGGCTGATAGAGGAAAACACATTCATATGGCTACTCTACTGTCATGGCTGGTCACTGCATACATTTCTTGGGAGTAAGCATCTGGGAGAAGTGTCTCAAAGGTCCTCACATACATGCTGAATGAAGACTTGCTGGGGCAGGGATGGGGAGGTGGCTAGGAGGTTGGCCAGGGCAGGGATCCAGGGGTAGAACAGAGGAGGAGGAGCAGGTAGGGGTAGGGGAACAATGCCAAGTCTGCACTGGACACTTGGCACTGAGCCCTCTGGTAGGAGACATCTAGCAGGCAGCTGGCAGTGCCATCTGGAGCTTGGCCTGCTCACAGTCTCCCAAACTGGACACGTGTATTTCTATACATTTGTCCTTTCTGTTTTGTCCACTGGTGACACCCACCCCACCTATTTCAGTCACTCAACTGCTAAGCGCTTTTCTTTTCTTTATTTTTTCCTTGAGATGGAGTCTCGCTCTGTCGCCCAGGCTGGAGTGCAATGGTGCGATCTTGGCTGTCTGCAACCACTGCCCGCCTTCCAGGTTCAAGCGATTCTCCTGCCTCAGCCCCCTGAGTAGCTGGGATTACAGGCGAGCACCACCACACCCGGCTAATGTTTGTATTTTCAGTAGAGACGGGGTTTCTCCATGTTGGCCAGCCTGGTTTCAAACTCCTGACCTCAGGCGATCCACTCACCTCAGCCTCCCAAAATCTAAGTGCTTTTCAAAGCCCTGTTCCATGGTTCCATGCCAGCTCCTCTAGCAAGCTCCTCCTGGTGGCTTCTGACCCCCATGGCATTCTCATTGGACTTTCTCTGGGCTGCATGTTATGTACTATGTGGTTTTATTTACAATCTCATGCACTCTGCCATACATTCCTTATCTCATCCTGAACATCTTGCTCTTTGGAGCTATCATGCTCCCATGCTATCATGGGAACATAGTTTGCATTTCATGGAGTGAACTCAGATTTGCACTCTTACCTGCTGCTGTAGGGCCAATAGTAAATTAGTATAATCTTTCAGGAGAAGAGTTAACAGCATATGTTGATATATATAACAATATATATCTTAAGAGAATCTGTATCTGTTGACCCCCAAATTTTATTCCACAACTCCCTCCTAAGAAAATAATCAGAAATATGGCCGGGTGTGGTGGCTCACGCCTGTAATCCCAGTACTTTGGGAGGCTGAGGCAGGCAGATCACGAGGTCAAGAGATCGAGATCATCCTGGCCAACATGGTGAAACCCCGCCTCTACTAAAAATACAAAAAAATTAGCTGGGAGCGGTGGCACATGCCTGTAGTCCCAGCTACTCGGGAGGCTGAGGCAGAAGAATCGCTTGAACCCAGGAGACGGAGGTTGCAGTGAGCCGAGATAGTGCCCATTGCACTTCAGCCTGGCAACAGAGCAAGATTCTGTCTCAAACCAAAAAAAAAAAAAAAAAAAAAAAGAAAAAGAAAAAGAAAAAGAAAATAACCAGAAATATGAACAATGACTTATGTAGGGATATTTACACCAACATTATTTGTCACAGTGGAAAAAAATTGGAAGGAACTTAAATGTCTAACAACAGGGGAATGGTTTGAGAAATCAGGATACTTTGTGACTGTATAATCAATGTACTAGGATATTATTATAGAACCACCATAAAGGGTGTTTTTGAACTAGTTAGTGACATGAGAAAATGCCTGATATAATGTCAAATGAAGAAAGGATATACAACTGTGTGAGTATCCCAGCTACTCAGGAGGCCGAGGCAGAAGAATCGCTTGAACCCGGGAGGCGGAAGCCCCTGGTTCCCCGTGGGGTGTGCGCTCACCTCGGTTTTCCTTGGCCAGGTTGTCGGCCATCTCCCAGTAGTCGTAGCTGTGCAGGATGCTGTTGGTGATGCTGACGTGGTTGGCCGCCATCTGGTGGATGCGCTGTGGGATGCTGACGATGGTCGACGGGGACAGGGCGCTGGCGTTGGAGAGGCTGCCCTGAGACCCCACGGAGCTGGCGGGAGAGGGGTTGGGAGACATGGGGGATGGGGTTCCAGTGCTCCTGGAAGGGGAGAGGTAGAAAAACCAGAGTGGCGAGGTCGGGAGCAAGCGAGGCAGGGCAGCCCCTTGGGGAACAGAAAGCAAAGCGCAGTGGCCCAGCACCATGCATTGTCTGGCTTACGGCATTGACTTTGGAAAAGCGAACTTACTTTCCACTGGCCCCCCACGGAGATGGGGCTTGGGCGGCTTTAGATGAGTTCTGCAAGAAAATAAAAACACTGACAGTGAGTGCCATCTGCGTGAGGTGAAACAGGTGACATGAACGTGTTTTCAGGTGACTGCAGAGAGAAGCAAAGGCAGACACTGCAGGAAAAAGGCACCTTCAGAGAAACTGGACCTGGGAAGTCTCCATCACAGTTCTCTGTTCCCTTTCTGGAAGGGAGTCGGGACAGCTGCCTGGACTTCGGAAGTTTAACAGTATTTCTCTTAAAGGGAGTTGCTCTTGAACATTCCTAAGAGAATATATTTAAATGTATTTCCCTAGCAGACAGGATACTCAAAAGTTCTAGTTTATCTGAATATTCTGATTTAGAAGTTATTTTGCATGGACAAGGTGCCTGCATCAGCCCTCAGTGAGGTAAGTGAAGGGCTTCACCCACAGCCTGGGTTTTTATGTACAAATTTTAGGTACCACATTAAGTCATAATCCCAACGGTCTGTTAAATCTTGAAGCAGCCTTACTTTTTCATTGTAAATTAATTTTTCTTAAAAGGAAAAAAGAGCAGGAACACCCTCATATCTCCCCTTATATACAATACTTTATATTTAAAAGTAGGACATGTTTGCAGAAACAGTCGACATACATTTACTTAGTGCCTGAAAATACATGACATCAGATTGTATTGTTTTAACTTAGGAAGTTTAAAAGTATTTCTTCTTAAAGTAAGTTGCTGTTGCATATTCCTAATAGAATTGATTAAAATATATTTCCAGAACAGACAGGATGTTCAAACATTCTGGTTTATCTGAATATTCTGGTTTAGGAAGTTCTGTTGCACAAGCCAGGTGCTTGCATCAGATATTTAAAAGTTTTGCCTCTAGTTAGGGAAGTTGCTCAATGCACAGTTAGATTTCCCCTCTGAGAACCCAATCATGCCTTCATAGGACTGTTAAGGGAGAAAGCGGTCTTTGTGATGCTGATGGGAGTTTTCCCCTTCCAGAGACAAGAAAACAGCCTCAGCCTGGTTCTCCAGAGACAACATGTTTCTTTTGGTTAGAAAGAACTTTATGGAGTGGTGACTGATTTTTCTGGTTTTAGTGCGGGTGTTATTAAAATGGCAAGAAATGGCCTGTCAGAACTCTGAGGTGCTACAATGGCAAGATGTAAATGTAAGGACAACACCGCAAACCATGCCACTTTTACCTGTGTCAGGAAATACAATTATTTTCATGAGGAGAATTAGGAAACCTTCCTGAACAGGGGAGCTTATCCTCCCTTTCTTGACACAATGTTACTGACACCTTTCTCAAGCTGGTGCTACTGGACTGATCACTTTGTTTCCACTTCATCCTGTGGTTCTGAGAACGTGATCTATAGAATGCATGTTCTGGATATAAGAACACTAATGGCAGAAGGGGAGAAAGGCTTGGGGGTTGCAGAAACAGTCCAGTAAAGGCTACTGAATGGAGGAAGAAGGCAGTGACTCACGCCTGTAATCCCAGCACTATGGGAGGCTGAGGTGGGTGGATCACCTGAAGTCAGGAGTCTGAGACCAGCCTGGATGACATGGTGAAACCCCATCTCTACTAAAGATACAAAAAATTGGCCGGGTGTGGTGGCACACGCCTGTAATCCCAACTACTTGGGAGGCTGAGACAGAATCGCTTGAACCTGGGAGGTGGAGGTTAGGGTGAGCCAAGATTGTGCCACTGCACTCCAGCCTGGGTGACGGAGCGAGACTCCGTCTCAAAAAAAAACAACAAAAAAAGAAGTCTTGAGTTCTCTTCCTCTACCACTAAGCCCCATGCCCAAGAAATACCGGTAGGAACAAAGTTCTTTTTTTTTAGAGATAGCTCTGTACTGATAAAACACATATAGCCAAATTGTCTTGGGTACCTAAAGATTTCATGGTTTCTGAACTCAAAGTAGCATTTAAATAGCCCTTGAGGCTGGGTGTATGGCTCACATTGGTAATCCTAGCACTTTGGGAGGCCAAGGCAGTAGGCTCGCTGGAGGACAGGAGTTCGAGAAGGGTCTGGACAACACAAGGAGACCCTCTGTCTACAAAAAATGAAAAAATGAGCTGGGTGTGGTGGTGTGTATCTGTGGTCTCAGCGACTTGGGAGGCTGAGGTGGGAGGACTGCTTGAGCCCAGGAATTCACAGCTGCAGTGAGCTCCGACTGTACCACTGCACTCTAGCCTGGGCAACAGAACGGGACAGAAAAAAAAAAAAAGTCCTTGAAACTTTGTATCCAAGTTTCAGTTATCAGGAATAAGTTCTGGAGATCTATTGTATGGGATGGTGACTACAATTAATAATGATATATAGTATACTTGAAAATCTCTAAAAGAATCGATTTTAAATGTTCCCATCACAAAAACGGTAAGTATGTGAGGTGATGGATATGTTAATTAGCTTGGTTTAATCATTCCACAATGTATAAATATATCAAAACATCACATTATACATAAGTACACGCAATTTGTTGTTGATTAATTAAAAAAATTTTAAAAATAGCTTTTGATGAAGGGTAAATGACATTAATTCCTTGAGGAGCAACTCTGATTTTCTGGTTGTGTTTTCCTTTTTTTTTTTTTTTTTTGAGACAAAGTCTCACTCTGTCGCCCAGGCTGGAGTGCAGTGGCGCCATCTCTGCTCACTGCAACCTCTGCCTCCCGGGTTCAAACGATTCTCGTGCCTCAGCCTCCCTAGTAGCTAGGATTACAGATGCCTGCCACCACGCCTGGCGTGTTTTCTACCCATTCTGTATGTATTAGTGGGCTGCAGAGAATATTAAGAACTTGTATCCCTTAAAAGTTTGTTGTAGCCCCTGGCGGCTTACAGAATTCAGCTTCCTTCTTTATTCAAGCATTTTCCTTGACTGTAATAATTCTCTTTAGTAGTAGATCTTACGTTCTGGATTTTTGAACACTATTGATGTTGACTTTAGGCACCTGAAGGAAAGGGAAGGCTCAGTGCTGGTTCTTGTCCTGAAGACACAGGACGGTCAATGGGCTGAGAAAGTGATGTCCATGGCCTAGCACCTGGTTACTCTACATGCACAATTGGAAGGCAGTGTGCTGAACATACCCCAGGAACCCCCAGCACAGCCTGGCCATTAGAGATCACCTCTAGAGGAGGTTGGGCATGAACAGATCTCAAATGATGGTTGTGTATCTGACAAAGGGCTGTTGGAGATAGAGACGGCATAATTTCTAGTTTCTATAGATAAACAGAGAAGAGGACCAGAAATCTCAAATTAATTATTAATGTAAGGTCGACCTCACAACAGTACATCAGCGAAGGCTTTTAAAAATTTATTCTCCCAGTGAAAATAATTTCATTCCCTGAGATAAGTAAAAGGTGGCATGGTTTGCAATTTTATCCCTATAGCTACACACTGCTATCTACTGCTTCTGAGTTCTAACAAGCCATCTCTTACCATTTTAAATAACGCCATTAAAAATTAAATAAGCTACTAGAGACTGGCTAAGAGGGAATGGCTCTAAGGGGTTACTTCTAAGGAAAAGAAGCTCTAAGTGAGCATGAGGAATTTATGTTAGCTATAAAGATGAATTTCCTAGGACAGTGGAACGAGTAACTGGATCTTCTTTCTCTTGAAGCCATAAAAATACCTGGACAAGGCTGGGCGTGGTGGCTCACACCTGTATTCCTAGCACTCTGGGAGGTGGAGGCGGGGAGATCACCTGAGGTCAGGAGTTCGAGACCAGCATGACCAACATGGTGAAACCCCATCTCTACTAAAAATACAAAATTAGCCAGGCGTGGTGGTGTGCGCCTGTAATCTGAGCTACTTGGGAGGCTGAGGCAGGAGAATTGCTTGAACCCAGGAGGCGGAGGTTGCAGTGAGCCGAGATCGCACCATTGCACTGCAGCCTGGGCAACAAAGAGTGAAACTCTGTCTCCAAAAATACATAAAAAAATAAAAATAAAAAAATAAAAATACTTGGACAAGAAGGCAGGGAGATACATTAGATGGGCTCTCAAAGGTCCATTCTGAGGCCTGAAAGCCACAAGTGTGGCATAAATGGGGTTACCTTGGGGACCAGAGGTGACCTGCATTAACCCCAAAGCAATGGAGTCTACCAGGTGCTTCACAAATTTGACAGGGAGACAAGTGAAATTAAGGAACAATTCTGCTCATTCACTAGACAGTACCTTGAAATAGTCGATTAGTGCTTTTGAATACTTTACAGCGTGGTCCCTTTTGAGTCGAAACATCCGCCAGTACAGGAGGGCCAGGCATCGGTAACTGCAGGCGAAAAGAGAAACAGGCCCAGAAGCGGCTGAGTGCGTCGTGCGCAAACAAGACTTAAACATTTTTGTTGTTGTTCTAAGGTACTCAATAACAATACCTTGTTTCTACATAGGAAATCTTTCTATACGTGCATATAATGTCTGTGAGGGAACATCTTTTGTCCAAAAATAGAATTCAAAATTCCAAGAAGGTATTCCATAAATACATTTATCACTAGATAATTTTACAGCATTAGGTGAATCACTCTGTTGGGTCACAGGGGCCGGCCGCTTCCTTCTTCCACCACGAGAGGGCGCTGTCTCTCCACGAGAGGCGCGAGGTAGCTCTAGTACGCAGCCTTCACTGCTTCGCGGGCGAGCCCCGCTCTGCGGAAAGGACGACGCTGCCACCTGATGTTACTGAACTATAAGCAGCTCCACTAAAGTCACAAACATGAATGTACTTTATAAACAACAAAAACACTATGCTGGGAATAGGTGCCATCATTATAAACAACAAAAACACTATGCTGGGAATAGGTGCCATCATTTTATTATTTCCTATAATATTTTGTATACTTATTTATATATCAGTATTCTATCTTATATAATCATATTATTGTCATTTAGTGTATTATTCCAATATGGGACTTAAAGTTTGAAAGGGGCACAAAAGGCGTTTCTGAGACTTATCCTCTCTTCCTTGGAGCTCTTCACTCAGTTATTTGCTAACTCGGATCTGATGCTGACATCCAGAATACCAACATTCTGGGTGCAATGGCACCATCTCCTCCTACCAACCAAATCCAGGACAGGTAACAATTTGAGACCTTTTTTGTGTCTGTTGCTGTTATTATTATTTTTTAATTCAACTGTCTTTATTTCACTGCTTGGTAGACATGTATTCTATCAACATTCTCTGCCTTCCACCTACTGATGAGTAAGAAAGGGCTGACAGGTAAAGGAACTATAGGTTACCCGATCGTTCCCTTTTTTCTGTGGCATCATTTTCAAAGTAAGCGGCTGCGCCGGGTGCGATGGCTCACGCCTGTAATCCCAGCACTCTGGGAGGCTGAGGCAGGCAGATCACTTGAGGTCAGGAGTTCAAGACCAGCCTGACCAACATGGTGAAACCCCATCTCTACTAAAAATACAAAAATTAGGCCGGGCACAGTGGCTCATGCCTGTAATCCCAGCACTTTGGTAGGCCTGTCGATTTTCAATCACTGTGAATTCAGATCATGTATAGTACGGCAGCAAAAAATGGTCTGGACTTTCCCTGGTCATTAGAACTGCTCTGGGGCTTTGTATGTTAGAAGACATTGGGCAAACACTATGCCTTTCAGCACCTGGTTTGCCAATGATGGCATGCGAGGCTGGGGCTGCTATTCTAAGCGGAGATGGGCACTCACCATAATGCAGCCAGTTGTTTGTCTTCTGGTGTGGCATTGGGGCCTGAGTGGGTTTTTAGTCTCATAGCATACCTTAGAAAAAGCGGGGAGGAGGAATAGAATAAAAAACATAAAAAGCAAAGAAATAGTAAAACTAGCTTTTTTATTAACAGAACTTCTATGATGGTAGTTCTCCCTGCCTGATCCTTAGCTTTTCATAGTACTTGCTGATAATTCTTTCTTAAAAGCTAGCTGGTGCTGCTCCATTTTCCCAAGTATTACATTACTGTGATGACTAGAACAGCTACTTTCTGCTCTTTAACAGTACAAGTTCAAATGCTACAGATTGTCGGGAGTGATACCAGTTCAAGAACTATTCATGTATATGCTAACATGTCCATTTTTCCACATTTTGATTTATGGCTGAGTGTCTGACAGATGGAGGTGAAGTTCTATCCTTCTGTGCTTACCTCCAGAAGAATTTCCATCCTGGGTATGCAGAGGAATGCTTAGATTTACCCCTCTTTCTTTGTTATGTAACTTTTACTTTGACAGCTACATAAGTGTCCTGAGTACATTTTTAATCTCTGTTTGCTTCTACAGACAGATACTACGAGAAACTAGTGGCTTTTATGGACTGCACTTAATTCCATTTATTTTTCTGAACCAAGGGGACTGTGGCCATTGCTTTCTCCCAACAACATACCAAATTACATATGCAGACTCTTTGAGAGAGCTGAGGCAGTATGTGTAATGATCAGATTGTCCTAGGTTCAAATCTCAGCTCAGCGACTTATAAGTTGTAAGTGCTTAGACAAATGTATTAACATCTTTAAGCCTCCATTTCCTTATCTATAAAATAAGACTAATACTGCCAATCACATAACATTGTGTTAAGAATTAACTAAGATAGCGTTTGTAAAGCTCTTGGGATAGTTGGCTGGCTTGTAAATTGCTCAAGAAACATACTGTTATCATCGCACTATCTCCTCAACATGCAGACTTGTAGCATTTTTCAGTGTTATCTCTTTGCATAATTTTTACAGCGGTTGCTCTGGATTTTACAATATACATGTAATTTATTGGTATCAACATTTTATCACTTTGGGATAGTATGGAAGTCTTACTTCAATTTAGATACCTTTACCTTCCCCACTTAAAAATAGCATTGTCTTGAGTATCAGATGGTGGTATAATTTTTTATTGTTTTGTTTTGTAGCAGTGGGGTCTTACTATGTTGTCTGGGCTGGTTTCAAACTCCTGGCCTCAAGCTATCCTCCCAGCTTGGCCTCCTAAAGTGCTGTAATTACAGATGTGAGCCACTGTGCCTGGACTGCTGGTATAATTTTTGTTTCAATCCTCAAACCTGGTTTATAAACTCATAAGGAGTAGTTTATTGTATATATATCTATGTGTCTGTTCTTCCTTCTTTCCCAATGCTCCCATATTCCTTCTTTTGTCATTTTATTTCTGTTTGAGAAACTTCTTTTAGCCAGTCTTTAAGGGTGGGTCTTTTAGAGACACATACTTGTACTTTTCCTAAATCTGAGGCTATCTTTATTTCCCTTCATTCTTGAAGAATAGTTTCACTGACTCTAGAATTCATGGCTTCACAGTTCCTTCTTTGAACCCTTGGAAACTGTCACGCCACTCCCTCCCAGCCTGCATGGTTTCAGAGAAGCCTGCTGTCATTCGAATTGATTCTCCCCTGCAGATAATTATCGTTTCTCCCTGGCTGCTTTCAGGATATTTGGCCTTTAGTTTTTGGAAATGTAATCATGGTGTGTTTTTGCATGCATTTCTTTGGGTTTATCTTATTTAGGTTTTTCTCTGCTTCTTAAATCTGTAGGTTTATGTCTTTTGACAAATTTGGCAAGTTTCAGCCATTATTTCTTCAAATACTCTCTCAGTCCTACTCTCTATTCCTCTCCTCTGAGACTTCCATGACACAAATGTTGGATTTTTTCTTATTGTGCTTGAGGCTGTGTTCATTTAATTTTTTCAGTCTATTTCTTCTTTACTGCTCAGATTGGGTAAATTATATTTTTTGTCCTCAAGTTCATTGACTCTCTCCTGTCATCTCCACTCTACTACTGAGTCCATTTTTGGGGTTTATATTATCAAATTCTACAGTTTCACAATTTCCATTTAGTTCTTTTTAAAATAACTTCCATTTCTTTGAAAAGATTTTCTGGTTTTGTTTGTTGAGTGATAACTGTGATTATTGAAGCATTTTTACGATGGCTGCTTTAAAAATCCTTGTCAGATAATTGCAGCAACTGATTCATCTTTGCATTGAGGTCTTCTGATCATCTTTTTTCATGCCAGTGGTGACTGTCCTAGTTCTTGGTATGATGAGTGAGTTCCTATGGTATCCTGGACATTTTGACCATTAGGTTAGGAGACTCTTGAGTCCTATTTTAAACCCAGCCACCCTGTTTAGGTCTAGCAGGAAGGCCCTAGCCTACTTTGGGGGCTGTGGTTCCAATGATAATTTAATTTTCAGAGCCTTTCTGATACTATTTTAGTCTGTGTGGTTGATCTGGTGCCACCGGGGCTTCAGCTCATCCCTGATGGTACTGCCTGCGGAGAGTGGAAGGGTGGGAGGAGAGGGTCACCAGGCTGAGCTCGTGTGGTGGCAGTGCTCCACTGACCCACGCCTGCTTGGCCATCTGGAGTTCCCTGGTGAAGGGAATTCTGCCCGTAGGGACAAAGTGTACATCCTGGGCTAGGTCATCTTGGTGGTGAGAACCCCTTGCCAGCGCTCCAGGCCCTTCAGTGTCTCAGTAGGGGAGAGGAGGGTCAGGCAGGGTGGGCAATGTGCGGATGTAATTAATGCTGTTTTCTTTTTTTTTTTTCTTTCTTGAGACAGAGTCTCGCTCTGTCGCCCAGGCTGGAGTGCAGTGGCGCGATCTTGGCTCACTGCGAGCTCCGCCTTCCAGGTTCACGCCATTCTCCTGCCTCAGCCTCCTGAGTAGCTAGGACTACAGGTGCCGGCCACCACGCCCGGCTAATTTTTTGTATTTTTAGTAGAGACGGGGTTTCATCGTATTAGCCAGGATGGTCTCAATCTCCTGACCTCATGCTCTGCCTGCCTCAGCCTCCCAAAGTGCTGGGATTACAGGCGTGAGCCACCGCGCCCAGAAAATTAATGCTATTTTCTAATGTAGGTTGAAAAAAGAGCTAGCCAGGTGCGGTGGCTCACGCTTGTAATCTCAGCACTTTGGGAGGCCGAAGCAGGCAGAGCACCTGAGGTCAGGAGTTCAAGACCATCCTGACCAACATGGAGAAACCCCATCTCTACTAAAAATACAAAATTAGCTGGATGTGGTGGTGCATGCCTGTAATCCGAGCTACTGGGGAGGCTGAGGCAGGAGAATCACTTGAACTCGGGAGGCAGAGGTTGTGGTGAGCTGAGATTGTGCCATTGCACTCCAGCCTGGGCAGTAAGAGTGAAATTTAGTCTCAAAAAAAAAAAAAAAAAAAAAAAGAAAGAAAGAAAAAGAGCCAAATTTGTCTTTTTGTCTTTGTTTTCTCTGTATTTTGCGTGATTCTATCGATTCTGAAGTATCTAGAAGGTGGACAGTGTTCTCTACCTGTGAAAGATTACTTCCATCAGTGGGCACAGTGGGTGTGGTACCCCAGCACCCTCTCTTTGATGGTATATCTGGCTGGCATGGTTTTTTGTTTGTTTGGGCTTGCTTGTTTGATTTTCAAGTGTGAATGCCTTTAAGCAGGTCATGATACTCCAGTTCACAGCAGGCCCTATGGCTTGCTTATTCATTGATTCCTTAATTGTTTATTAAGCACATACTATGTGCCAGAAAATATTCGAAGGGCTGAGGATTCCCCAGTTAGCAAATCAGACAAAACCCAAAAAACTCCCTGTGCTCAAGGTACTCACACTCTAGGGCATCTTCCAGCTTTGTCCCTGTCCAGTTTCTCCCACTTTCCTCCCTGCCTGCCTATGAACATCTCAGGCTGGGCCTTGTTCTGAGGAAGGAATGTATGGATCTAGGATCCGTTAGAGTAACTTTTACCAGTCTTTTTACTTTGCTGCTTTCATTTCATCACTACTGAAAGTAATGTGCCATATAAAAAGACAGTATAAAGGATTCACCAATATATTGATTTAGTAGAAATACTTTATTAAGAAAAATGGGCAGTGTTGACTTTAAAACATTCTTGAAAAATGCTTTATGGAGGTGATGTGTTCTCTGATGTCGGCATGACAGTTTCAAAGGCTGGAAACTATTTACTGAGGGAAAGTGGTGTGTAAAACACCAAGTAGCATCTTTGGGCCAATGTAGACCAAAAAGATCACATCCTAAGATGATTAGAAATCTTCCATGCAGAATGTTTGGACATGGTGGAAAATGTCTAAGCTTTGATTGCACAGAACCCCAGAATCAGAAAAACTTTTAAAAGTTAGTTTTAGGAAGAATTATTTCTCATTATGGATATTAGACATTATGTCAAGCAGTTAAACTGGCTAAAAACATAAACCATACTATGAAGGTTCTCAGTAGGGCTAATGGATGAAATTCCCTTAACTGTTGGTTACAGAGATGTGATGGAGGTGCCTTTCCAGGTCTCCATCATGGAGGATAAGTGTTTGCCATCGAATGCCTTGACACGTCTGCTCACAGGTCTTCACCCAGGTTTGGGGATGGTGCCCATGTCCAGTTTTTAGACCAGACAGTATAAGATGGCTTCTCCTTCCATAAAATCCTCCTGAATGTTCTTCCATTAAATACTCCAGAAGTATTTACTGATGGAGCTAAGATTTAGATGATACTAACCTGAACCAGATTTTTTTTTTTTTTTAAAGCAGCCTAGGGCTGAAATAGGCTCAAAATCTGCCACTTCCTAGCTGAGAGGAGCAGGCATGTCACAGCCCACTCAGACTCAGCCTCCTCCCTCAGCAATTGGGGGCTACAGCAGCTGCCCCCCTTGCTCACGGAGGACAGAGGGGGCAGGGTGTGCCAAGACGCCTTGCACGACCTTACCCTCTTATTTTGGGGGGATGAACACTGGTTCCTGGTGGGGGATGGTGCAGGCTGACATTCTTTTCTCTGTAACCATAGTGCTTCCACACATTCCTCACTCCTCCCCTCATCCAGCAAGAAAACACGGTGCTTACCTGATGAGCTCTACTGTTTCTGAATACATCGTATAAGGAGATTTGGATTCCATGGGGCCTTGTTCCATTGCATTTCCACACTCGATAAACGACAATGCTGCTTCAGCATAGTTCAAAGCCTTTCCAAACTTTTCCACCTGATCAACAGAGTTAATACAGTGTCTTCCTAAACAATAGTTTTTTTTAAATGGCATTGTCATGTAGTTTATACACCTTATTTGAGAAACCCAACTCTGACTTCTAAAATCCTATGAAGCTGAGAGAAGAAAGAAATAGAATACTTCTTTTCCTACTTATTTTCTCAAACTGCTACTGGCTTGGAGTAAGTGAGCGAACAGTTATATACAGAATTGTATCAAACCCATGTGACAGCTGTCAATCAACAGAGCTCAGAACTGCATGGCTGCTCTGATTTCTGTTTCCCTCTTTCTAACCCCTAATGGTTTGGCGACTTCATTCCTTGTTCCTCCATGCTATGCTAAATATGCATCAAAGTTGGTAGGTCTGGTCCCATATAAGAGTTTTCATACTTCTTTTGGTACATCCCCAACTTGGATGGTTCTAGGCCTTGGTTATTATCTTTTACATTATTTGTGGCACTTATATCTCCATGCCTTCCTCTTCTCAATTTTTTTTAATTTTTTTATTTTTGAGATGGAGTCTCCCTGCAACCTCTGCCTCCTATGTTCAAGCGATTCTCCTGCCTCAGCCTCCCACGTAGCTGGAATTACAGGCAGGCATAGGCCACCACACCTGGCCTCAATTGTTTTTTTTTTTTGTTGTTGTTAATATTTAGAACCTCACTTAAGAGTGAGAGTGAGTAGGGGAAAGGAGAGGAGATAAACCTCAAGGAGCTATTTCAGCTTTGCTAAAATAGGACAAAAAGTTGAAAATTATTAATAAAAATGATTTTTGGTTGGGCCTGGCGGCTCATGCCTGTAATCCCAGTGTTTTGGGAAGGTGAGGCAGGAGGATCACTCGAGCCTGGAAGTTTGAGGTTCCAGTGAGCTATGATCGCCCCACTGTGCTCCAACCTGGATAACACAGCAAGACGCTGTCTCTAAAGGCAAAACAAAACACATTTCTACGGGATTATCTGTAGCTGTCGAAATTTGTGTTATTCTTTCCCCACATCAGCAAGGGCAGCCACAAATCAGCTTTATATTCTTAAGATCTCATCAGTCTAAACTTATGCATCAAGTTCCTGGTTCCATACCTTACTACTCTTTGTAGGTAATTACATATTCTAACTCTGGATTGCAGAATCTCCCCAGTTTTCAAATGATTCATTCATCAATTAAAACAGAATGACATAATACTCAAATACTATTCCAAGTCTTGCCACTAAAAATACAAAAAAAACTTCATTAGTAATGATAGCTTCAAAACCAGAAATGCAGAGCAAAACTTCCTCTCCTTAGCAAATCAAAATTTTAAACTGCTTATAAAGGTAGTGTAGGCTATAATGCAACATTTCTTTTTTCTTTTTTTTTTTTTTGGAGACAGGGTCTCACTCTGTCACCCAGGCTGGAGTGCAGTGGCATGATCTTGGCTCATTGCAATCTCTGCCTCCCGGGTTCAAGCGAGTCTTCTGTCTCAGCCTCCCAAGTAGCTGGGATTACAGGTGTGCACCACCACACCTGGCTCATTTTTTTTTTTTTTTTTGTATTTTTAGTAGAAACAGGGTTTCACCATGTTGGCCAGGCTGGTCTCGAACTCCTGACCTCAAATGATCCACCTGCCTTAGCCTCCCAAAGTGCTGGGATTACAGGTGTGAGCCACCGTGCCTGGCCTATAATGCAACATTTCTTGATAACACTTTCAGATGAAGTCATTTCATTTAGTATTAATATTTCCTAAAGCACCCAATTCTGTGGTATGTGCACTCCACAAGCGAAAGCTCTTTCCAGGAACATATAATAGACTTGGAGAGAGAAAATGTACACCTACAAGACAGTTCAAAGTGCAAGGCAGTCTGTGATTACCCAACAAAATACAAAATGAGGCATCCAGTGCAAATGAGATGGAGGAAAGTGAGCTAGTGATGGGGCCGCAGAGAGGCTGGGAAGGCCACAGGGAGGAGACTGAATATGACGCCGGGAAGGAATGGTAGGGTTTGGCTAGATTTGGGGAGGATGCTGAGGGTGTGAGTGTGCCCATGAGAGTGTGTGAGAGTGAATCTCTGCAGGTGCAAAGGCCCGCTGGCTGGCAGGAGCAAGGTGTGCTTAGAGGTCAGTAGGGGACCAGCCTGGCTGGAGCAGAGTGTCTCCTCTTGGGAAATCGTCAACAGGAAAGATAGGGTTGGGCAAGAGGACAATGAATGAATAATGCTGTAAACTTTAGATGCTGGATTCAGGCAGAAAATCTCTTTCTCCTTAAAAATCTGATGCTCTTCTCCAAGAGTGGCCATTCATTGGCTTCTCCAGATGACCAGAACTGTCCATCAGACTCAGATTGTGTGGACAAGAGCTGTACCTTCCGCTGCCCTCCTCTATTTTCTGATACGTAGGGGTTATTCCTCCTGTACCCCAGTGTACATAGGCAGTGGTCTTCACGTAAATAAGTGTTTAATAGGTGACACTGGTAGCATTGGAAGAGGGGTACTGTTACTGTTTAAACATCTTCAGTATTCTGAAGGTCACTGGAAATGCCTTCTTCATTTCCAGCACCTGCCTCAATCTCAGTTATGAACACTGGAGGAGACTAAAACTGGAATTACTAGGTGGGAAGATGTCCCTTTGGACTTCATTCATTTAAGATGGAACAACCACATGATCTCTTTTAGAAAAGAAAACAAAGTTTTCCATCTCTTGCCTGAGAGCTTCAAGCTTTCCAAAACAGGAGATCATCCAAGCAAGAAAAGTTATTCTTTGAAAACATCAAATCATGGTGACTTTAGAGTCTTACGTGCAGATAATAGTTTCTGTGTTGTACAGTTTCAGAGAAAGCATTCATTTCGGCAGATACATGTGAAGAACACAAGTGTTTTTGAAAAGAGATTTGATCCTGGGACCAAGCCAAGGGTTTGTCAGGCTAACAAGAGAAAAATGCAAATCTAGATTTTACTTTTTAAAGGAAAAAAAAATACTACCGCCCACTGCCTCCACTGGCTCTAGTTACTATTCAAACCTTAGGACTAAATTGAAATATTCATTTGTCTAGGGCTTTTTCCCAGTCAGGCATTATTGGTTGAAGTCATACTTTATTGGGCTATGAACATTTGATTATATAAACATTTCTCCATTGAACAGACCCGGCCATCCTTGTAATAGATTTTATAATTACCCCAGCTATATTGTCCCAGTGATGAAGCTGCAGTACACACATAATTTGGAAGAACGTATCTGGAAAGAAAAGGGTCTCACCATTGCATCTGCTTTATGCTTCATTCGTTTAGCTTCTTGCATAAAATAATCGGCACTGCGAGGCCTACAAGGAGAGAATGATATTAAACGTCATTATGGCTTAAGTGCAACGTCTTTTTAAAATATTCCTTCCTTTCACTCAAACTTAAGGCACAATTTAAAAACTCTGCTTAATGCGGAATTAAGTGTGTTTTTTGCCTTTCCAAACTACTGCCTGTATGTCAAATACCACAATACATTTTCTCTTAAGTTAGCAATTCGAAACACACTCAACATACGCCAGTAGTCTCTATTTACAGTGGATTTAACATGGCCCCCTAGGGCCTAATTTGTGAATATATTTTTTTATTGTATGGTTAAAAAAAAAGCGAGAAATCTTATTTTAGGTAATATTTACATAAAACAATCCCCTTTTAATGTAAAGATTGTAAATATACCTCATAATAATTGTATGGCTATATATGGGTGAGTATATTTATGTATCCTTATGAAAATAAGTGTCATTTATATGCATATCTAGTACCTAGAGTTTTATGTATATATTGAATTATCTTAAAGCCTCACAGTGAAAAATAAAAAGAGGTAATGTTGGATGATTACATTCCAGTTGTAATGAAGTTAATTGTAAAATGATGTCTACCTTGTAACAATGCAAACATGCCATGTATTCTCTAGAGTTCTGATTAGCTAGCTGGTAAACATTAACAGCAGACATGTGGATTATTAAAGCAATAACCCTGGCCAGCGGTGACTCTGCCGGGAGATGAAGGTAACTCATCCAGAGACTGATTTGAGTGTGTGTAATGAGGCCCAGTTACGCTAAGGTACTCATTAGACAGTATCTTTAAGTGTTTAGCCCGATAGATTAAAAAAATGACATTTTTAGGCACCGGCAGCATAAACTTTATATAATCAATAAACTTGACCTATTCATGAATATCAAATATAAGCCAGGACTCTCTGAACGGGAGATTCGACGGAAGTAGTGATATTAATCATGGACTGTTTAGCCAATGATTACATGCTTATTTTGAACTGCCTTATTTCAGATCCTAATGGGTCTTTTACCTTATTGTAATATTAGGTAGTCAGAACATTCATGTATCCAAAGAGGTCAAAACGCTTAGAAAAGCAATGTGTGACAATGACATTGCATTTTAATCAAACAAACCAGAATCACAGCATAGTTTTGGGGTCAAAATGTTTCCTCACCCCATCCCCATGCCCCCCTCTGAGGGCTGGAGCCGTCCATTCATTGTGGTGGGTCTTTCACTGAGGGTGAGGCCTGAGGTCTCCTTCCTAGGAAGGCCCTGCTCCTGCCACTCCGTTTTCTCTCTTGCATCTCCTGGGTGCCCATGCTTTCTCCATATGAATGGCTTTGTTGTTGCCTTGGTGAGTTTTCCTTCTTTGTCCACATATTGACACATATTGTAAGAATGTCCATATATTGTCTGGTCTTTGGTTCCAACTCTGGCAATTGATGTTATTTTTGTTGTTGTTTTTTGAGAAAGGTTCTCACTCTGTCGCCTAGGCTGGAGGGCAGTGGTACAATCACCCATACTGCAGCATCAACCACCTGGGGTTAAGCGACCCTCCCACCACAGCCTCCCAGGTAGCTGGGACTACAGGTGTGTGCCACTATGCCTGGCTAACTTTTTGTATTTTTAGTGGAGACGGGGTTTTGCCATGTTGCAAAGGCTGGTCTTGAACTCCTGAGGTCAAGTGATCCACCTGCCTCGGCCTCCCAAAGTGCTGGGATTACATGGCTTCCATCACATCACCATCCTGCTCACAGACCTAAAATCAATCTCCAGGGTCTACGAGATAAAATCTCAGTTCAGATCCCCAATAATCTTGCCCAACCCACTTAATCATATTGCTTACTCACGAAGGCCCTTGACCAAAGTCAGAGGTGGCTCCTCATTGTCTTGATAACATGGCATCCTGGTCCGAGGAGCTCTGCTCATCACTTCCCCCACCTGGAACACTCTCCTCTCTGTTCATTCACTGAGTGCCTTCTAGGAGCCGAATGTTGCCTGGCCCTCAATTTCCCCCGCCGTAAGGCGTTCCGAGTAACCTTGGTCCATGTTCCCCTCTGTCCTTCCTGAGCTCACACAGCACTTCTTGTTTACTACACTTGGTATTTCATTATCTTCTGAGCTGTACTGGGCATGTGTGCAACTTGATTGCTGGTACGTTTTTAGTAAGGACCATGCTGTAGACTTCTTTGATCTTTCCCACCCTGTAGTTTTTGGCACACGGTAGAAGGTAAGCAGGTCTCCCTTGAATGAATGGCACTGAATTCATTTTGAGCTTAGAAAAGAGTGGTGCCTTCCGATGGGGTGCAGCATCGCATCCAATGAGCCAGAGAGTGTCTCCATGGCAACCTGAAATTCTCCACATCATTATCTGTTCTATACTCTAGTATATAAGTTAGGTCATTTTTTTTTTCTTGCCCTGTTTTGTCACTAACAGTTCACTACTTCAAATGCATTTCATTAAAGGATTATCTTGGTAATAAGCTATGGTATCTTAGTTTCCACCAGCCTTCTAAGTTACCCTTATGGATGGCAGTGGCTCACAATTCCTAATATAAGCTCCTTAATCAATATTGTTTTCATCTGCAGCATAGGGGCATATTTTTAAATCCTGATATGGAGGCTGAGTCACAGACTCTCACCATAGCACATGTGGGTAAGTAACACACCTAATTTTCTGACCGTATCAGAGCAGCTATAATCAGAGCAGTAACCTGAGATGCTAATAGCATAGGTACCATCTGGAGGCCACTTAACGAACACATTTGTTAGAACTCTCATCTTTGCATAGAATGGAGGGCTCACTATAATGAGTCACTGAAGATTGCCTGATGATTGGCCCATTTTCTCCTTTCGAGTGATTTCTAGTGCTGTACTTCCAGAGCAGATCATTATAAAGCCAGCAGGACCAATGGGATGTCACCCAGTGTCCAGCCTTGCCACGAATCACAAAGGCATCCCTTCTGACAGCAATACACAAGTCAGTAGGAAAAGTAAAATTGCTTGTCACCATTGTGACAGTTATAGAATATAATACAGCAAAGGTACTAAAATGAGATCTTATCTGAGTGTTCAAATAGATTTTCCATCTAATCTTCTATTTTTTTTTTAACATGGAAAACCTAGAGTTTTCATTTTTCATTTGTGTAATAAAATTCTTCCCATTGTTTCCCACAGTGATGGTATTTTATGATGACACATGAGCAAACCTAATAAAAGTTTAATTAAACACCATAAATGGAACTAACTGTGAATCATGGGCTCTTCAGAAACGGGGCTTGAGTGATCTGAAAGCCAGAGCTTAGCTGCATGCATCTTCATTATGAGAGCTCTCTCCAACAAAAGCATTCTGAGCACTTGATCCAAATAGAATGTTTTCTTTTCTTCTCTTCCCCCTCCCACCACCCCCCCCCCCCCACCTAGAAACACACGGTCTTGGTTCTCAGCAGCATCAGGGTTTGAGCTACCCCCATATTTCTTCTGGCATGGGAATATTAAAGCAACCTTGCTTTTTGTTCTCCTTTGTGGCCGGGATAGAGTTGAATGGTCTCCCACGGAGAGCCTGGCAGACTCCTTTCTGTAATTCCTACCTCTGTGAAATGCCGCCCTCAGTAGAGCCAGCCTGTTTTGTGAAAACTGGCAGGGATGAGAGCTCAATGTGTTTGAACAACAAGTTCCTCGGCGCGGCAGAAATTGGATGATTTTCTTAGGGAAGTTGAAATCCAAATCAGACAAATAGGCAACTGCATACCAAATGAATTCATCATCTGCTATCCGATATGTCAGCTTGTCATCTGATAAGCCCCAGAGGTGTTAATATGTCCCAAGCTTTGAGGAGAATGCATAAGAAATTAAGTAATTATTTTTAATACACAGAGTCAGTGAAGACTATGGATGAGGGCACTTCAGAGTCAGCCACTCCAGGATGCTGGCACTGCCTTTATAGGCACTTCCCCACAGATCCAGGTAGATTGCATTTGGGTAGCAAGGATTCAAACACAGCTTTTATTTCCACAACTTTGATGTCGGCTGGGGCTCAGAGTCCCTGGAACCGGGCTTCTCCCAGGCACAAGCGGTCATTCACTGTTTCTTCAGGCCACAGGACTGCTTCCCTCTCAGCCGGCCACAGAAGGCAGGGTTTGCTCTGCAGGACGCTCAGGCTAAGTGGGGCGGGTGTTGAATCAAAAGTAACTTTCTGTTGAAATGGGAAATTATCAATCTGATGGTTGTTTTTCTCTGAGTGTGACATTTAAAATAATCTTACAAAACCCTAAAGATGATTGGACAGCTGAGATTTCAATCCAGGAGATCTGAATGTCCTTGTCTCCGCACCCTGTCCCCCGCACCCCTTTGCAAATCCTACTTCATTTCTTTCTCTCTCTCTCTCACTCACTCTTACTCTCTCACTCTGTTTTGGTTAGAACAAAAGAAGCTCCTGGCCTTGAGACAGGGATTTCATAATGGGAGAAATTCCATATGAAGACCAATAAAGGCTTAATGATTAATCAGGAAAACAAAAAGGTAGGGTCCCTGCTTTGAAAGGACTAGGAGAGGAGACCCTCAAGAGAACATGCCCACTGCAAGCCCCTGGTGGGGGAGCGCCTTCCCAGCTGCAATTTCGCCTACTCAAGGATCTTAATTGGTGTCCTTTGACTAAATCATGCTGCTAGGGATTCAACCTTTTACAATATGCGAGTATTCCCATCCTCTATAAAATTAAAATCCTTTAGCTCTGAGACTGCTGTGCAAGTACATTACAAATGTCAAGTCCCTCTTCCTTCCTCCCGGCCACATTTCACATGCCATGGCCTTCAGCGCCTGGCGTCTATAGTCAGTCTTTCCTCACTGTCGGGAGGTTCAGGTAGCCGGGCTCCTGTTACGGGCACCATGGGGACAGAAGGGACGTTTGGTGGTTTGGCTGAATGTGCTGATTGTGACTGACTTTTCCATGTGACATACAGGCAGCAGCCAGCACTTCCTCCAGGGAGCGGCAGGCAGCCCTGGCACCTGGGGTTCTCTGGCTTCCTAGCACAGCAGAACGGTGGGCAGGATGGAGGAGGTGGTTTTCCAGCCAAGCATCTCACCACCACTTAGCCCTGTTCAGGACTTCTGTACGGAGGCCTTCATGACACAGTTGTTCTCTCTCAATTTTCCCCAGCCAAGAATTCCCCTGTCACTAATTATGATACCAAGTAACTTACAGCTCATGGCTTTGCACTAATAAGATCAGTTTCTAGGCCTCAAGTTGAATCAAGTGTTGTCATTCATTGACACAAATTCTTACAGATCCGTTTTTTAAACAAAAGTTTGATAACCACACTAGTGTCACCTTAATACTGTGGCTGTCAAGTAGTGAATGTTGTGCGTTTGCTTAATGTCAGGGGAGGAGGTGAGGTCACACTGCCACCAATATGAGCCCACAACATACAAAGGACAGGCTGACCTGATTACATTTTTAAAAATAAATGTTATTCTTCTCAGTTCTGTCTGTATCCCAAAGGAACTAACTGGTGCCTGTTTACAGGCATTATAGGGATTACAGGCACATGCTAACACGCCCGGCTGATTTTTTGGTAAGTAACCTAGGAAAACGGGCTTGGAAACCCATTAATTTACATTCACCTGCATGTAGATTCCTTATAGTCATAGAAAAAAAAAATTGCAGGCACTCTTCCCTGGGAATGTAATTTATAATTCAGCTGGGTTCATTCAACACTTGTTATTGAGAGCCTACTGGCTTCAGCTGTTGTCTGAATCCCATGTTTATTCAACCATTAACAAGTATTTATAATACAAAGAGATGAGTTTACTTTTTTAAAAAAGCTGCATGATGCGGCTTTAAAAATTAAATGACAGTGTGGCATCTGTTACTTTTTGGATCACTGTAACTGGATTTCCATCAACTCGAAATCACTCCAGTGTTAATTATCTAGTCTTTTCTTCCACTGGTGGCCTCTCTTTGGTCATTTCACTGCTTGTTTTTACAAATGGCTGAAGTTCACTCTTCACCCTCGGTGAAGAGAAGTCAAGGGAGGTGACAGGGCTGAGGTCTTCCTCTGTCACTGAGGCTGCTGGTGGGGAAGCTGGCACAGAATGGAGGTGGGCAGGAAGGAGGCCGAGAATTAAATTTAGTAATCCTAGGAAACCTTCCTGGAGAGGTCATCATGTGCCTCTCTCTCCCCTGAAGAACTGAGAATTAATTAATCATTATACTTCAGCTCTTGTGCCTGTACTTGGCACTTAGTAAGTGCTCCATATGTACCAAAAGGAACCTGGGAGACGTTTTGCACAATTTTAGGTGACATTCTAGCCCAGTGATCTCTTGAAGGTTGCTTATTTTTACTGCTTAAAGGAAGAGACGATGCCTATTTTTGCTTTTTTTTCTTTAAGATGGAGTTTCACTCTTGTTGCCCAGATTGGAGTGCAATGGCATGATCTCGGCTCACTGCAACCTCCGCTTCCTGGGTTCAAGTGATTCTCCTGCCTCAGCCTCCTGAGTAGCTGGGATTACAGGTGCCTGGCTAATTTTTTTTTTTTTTTTTTGTATTTTTAGTAGAGATGGGGTTTCACTGTGTTGGCCAGGCTCGTCTCAAGCTCCTGACCTCAAGTGATCCACCCACCTCGGCTCCCCCAAGTGCTGGGATTACAGGCATGAGCCACCGCGCCTGGCCTATTTTTGCTTTTCAAGCTTGAAGAATCTTTCCACAACTTTCTTAGTTCGATGGTTGAGTGGCTGTTTGAGTTGCATGTTTATTTTACTGTTATGGATTTCAAATCAGTTGGGACATATGGCAATTGGAATGCGACATCTATCTCTCCATATGATGGATATGTAACAGTGTTTTTTTATTCTATTATATCTATATCCATAAAAGGAGAAACAGTTTCATTGTAGCTGTCAGCCAGGAAAATTATACACATTGCTAATGGGAAGAACAAATGATAACAGCCTCTTTGTTGACACCAATAGTGACAAGATTATATTAGTTTCAGCCATAGCAGATTAAGAAACATTTCCTCTTATAAAAAGTCCAAGGGCTGCCAGCCACGGTGGCTCACGCCTATAATCCTGCACTTTGGGAGGCTGGGGTGGGAGGGTTGTTTGAGGCCAGGAGTTCGAGACCAGCCTGGACAACATAGTGAGACATGATTTTTTTTTTTTTTGAGACACAGTCTCGCTGTTGCCCAGGCTGAAGAGTGGTAGCACGATCTCAGCTTACTGCAGCCTCCACCTCCCAGGTTCAAGCAATTCTCTGCCTCAGCCTCCGGAGTAGCTGAGATTACAGGTGCCTGCCACCACACCTGGCTAATTGTTGTATTTTTAGTAGAGACAAGATTTCACCATCTTGGCCAGGCTGGTCTTGAACTCCTGACCTAGTGATTCACCTGCCCCAGTCTCCCAAAGTGCTGGGATTACAGGTGTGAGCCACTGCGCCCAGCCGTGAGACGCTTTTTCTACAAAAAAAAAAAAAAAAATTTAACTGGGTGTGGTAGCATGCATCTGTAGACCCAGCTACTCAGGAGGCTGAGGCAAGAAGATAGCGTAAGCCCAGGAGTTTGAGGCTGCACTGAGCCATGCTCATACCACTGCACTCTAGCCTGCGTGACAGGGCAAGACCCTGTCTCAAAAAAAAAAAAAAAAAAAAAGTCCAAGTACCTGTAGATCAAAGTACAATCATTTAGTTGTTGCTGTTTCTGACCTAGCTTTCTGGTTCATACACTGGAAAATTCCTTGCATTTTAATATGACATATGTGTTTGTATTTTGTGTGTATATACCATGCTCTCAAAACCACCCACTGCAAGTATGCGGTGGTGTGAGTACCTCAGGGTCTAATGCTCCTTCTGTTTGATCATGTTGTTGGGTTATGACTTCCAAATGCAAATTTCTATGTTATCCTTATATACAATTTTAATCTCTTCTTTTTACAAATGGCTGAAGTTCACATGAACAATTTATATCACTGAACCCTAATTATAAATGTAGTTGGCCACCTGACTGTACTCCCACTCCATGCCCTCCCTGGGGGGTTAATCACCACCTACCTCCCTGGCTGCTTGGCAAAGGCGATGAAGACAGTGAGAGGAAGCGGGGTGGTGAGGGCCAGGAGTGTGTGTGGGGTGGGACGCAGCTGCCACCACAGGAAGAGAAGAAACACACATGCCCTCCTGGGCTGCCCTCAAGCCTTCCTAAACCCAGTTACCTTGGAATGTGTTCATTTAACAAAACAAACAACAAATGTGGATTTGGCTTTCACCCCCAAAACCCTGTGCCCTAATTAGCTTACAGGAGTTCATGCAATACTTGAAGACTAAAACTTAGTATTTTAAATTTCCCAGGGAATTGTACAGAGGTGAATAAATAGATCATGCCGAGACTCCGGGTGGCAGTTAGGGATGGAGGAGCGGGGCGGACGATGAGGCTGGAGTAGCCACCCCTGCATGGTGCTTTCTGTGCTCCATGTGACACCCCTTAGGAGACGGCATTTAATGGATCCTAGGAGGGCCCCGCTGAGCGAGCTGTGGCATTTGTCACTGGGACTCTTGGACATGTAGAGCCATTTTATTTTCCAGTGTCCAGTGGGGTTAGTGGTTTGTAGTCTGCTCCTCAGCTGGACTGGAAGCCCTCAGAGGGCAGAAGTGCCTATTTCTGCTGCTGCTCCACCCCAGAGCTGAATTTTTCCTTGTTCACCCAGCCATGTATTTGACGCCCGTAGGACTGCTAAAGCTGAAAAGAGGATTCTTCTGCCTTCCAGGCTTGTCCTTGACACATACATTTTCCCTACGAGCCGAAATAATTTTCAGCATCATTTTATCATTTCTCATTTGTCATTTTCAGCCTCTCGAGAGCATTCCAGGATGTTGTTTTTATTCATCTTCTCCTCTTGTTTTTCCTCCTTTTAAAATGATGCTGGGAATGGAAGTTATACTTGTGTGAAACTGAAAGTGCTAGAATTGGGTGAAGGATGATGGCATTTTTCTTCCTATATAAGAATCATTTATACTATGATAAAGAATATAGCAGTTGGAGGAAAAAAGCTTTCAGGAGTAAAACACTATTATTCATTGCCTATTATAATTTACAAAAACAACAATGCTTCTCTTTCTAGTAGCATAAAACCGCCAACAGCCCAAGTACAAGTGCTTAGAAGTGTAAGACTCATTAATGCTATTTGCCTTTGTTTTTTGATGTCCTGGATCCAACCCCATTAGCACTGATTATTCCGTCTACCCAAAAACCCCACCAGGACTCAGGCGTGCACTCAAAATTAAGGCTCCAATTCCATTCAAGAGGGACATTTAAATGACCAAGTCCCAGGGGAAAAAAAGGCCGCACTGTAGCTGAAGGTGGCCACACCAAGGTGCCCATGCCCCTTCCACCTGAGCAGCTTCTGTTCTGTCTTGCCCCTCACCACATTTAAAAGCGTCTGAACTTACATATCATCGAAGACAAGTTTCTGCCTCTTGCAGTCCCTGTGGCCGTTGGAGCCTGGAGACCACGGCTTCGTCTGCGGCCGTGACTTGTGGAGGGGAATGTTTTCAGAATTGTTGTGAGCTGCTTTCTAAACAACAAACAACACACATCTTTGAGAAATTGGCCACCTGGTGAAGCGAGCAGCCCATCACATACATACATACGTAGAATATCTTTGGCTCTACAGAACATCTTTGTGTGCTGTATTAGAATTGATGGTGATTTTGTCTCAATAAAGAAATACATGCATTCTAGGTATTTGCTGAGGGCTTCTACCTGTGTTCTCAACTGTCATTCTTATGACACTATCAAAAGGGAAGTCATGACGCCTACTCTCACAGATCCAGAAACAGGCTTGGTGAGGTTCAGCAAGTTGCCCACACTCAGTGACTGTGGTGGAGGCCAGGGGTTAGGGTTTAGATGCCCACTTTTCCCAGTCCGCTAGACTGGAGGCTGGCCAGTTCAGTCTTCATCAGCATCCTCCAGGGGGCTGGTGAAAACACAGATTGCCAGGCCCCACCCTGAGAGTCTGGGATTCAGCAGGGCTGGGGTGGGGACCTAGAATCTGCCTTTCCATCTGGTTCCCGGTGATGCGGATGCTGTAATCACCCATGATCCTGGAACCACGCTTTCAGAACCATTCACTCATCTCAACAGTCAACCAGTCACTCATCTCACAGGTTTGCTGGTTCTTGTTGGCTGTCTGTGAAGACCAGAAGGAGTCAACAGGAATCACTAGGAATTACTTAAAAAATAAATCGACTGGGCACGGTGTCTCACACCTGTAATCCCAGCACTTTGGGAGGCTGAGGCAGGGAGATCACCTGAGGTCAGGAGTTCGAGGCCAGACTGACCAACATGGTGAAACTCCGTCTCTACTAAAAATACAAAATTAGCTAGACGTGGTGATACATGCCTGCAATCCCAGCTACTCGGGAGGCTGAGGCAGGAGAATCGCTTGAAACCTGGAGGCAGAGGTTGCGGTGAGCCGAGACCATGCCATTGCACTCCAGCCTGGGCAACAAGAGTGAAACTCCGTCTCAAAAAAAAAAAAAAATAAATAAATAAATTCTAGGCCAGGCATGGTGGCTCACACCTGTAATCCCAGCACTTTGGGAGGCCAAGGCAGGTAGATTACCTGAGGTCAGGAGTTCAAGACCAGCCTGGCCAACATGGCAAAACCCTGTCTCTACTAAAAATACAAAATTTAGCCAGGCGTGGTGGTAGGTGCCTGTAATCCCAGCTACTCAGGAGGCTGAGGCAGGAGAATCGTTTGAACCTGGGAGGTGGAGGTTGCAGTGAGCCAAGACTGCACCATTGCACTCCAGCCTGGACAAGAACAAAACTGCATCTCAAATATATATGTATACATATGTGTGTGTGTATATATATATATATGGAACACACTAGTCTGTGGAAAAGTTTTAAAAATCACATTACTTGGGATACAGACATTTACATGGCACCTATTGTGTGCCAAACACATGGATCATAAAACAATGTCAGTGGTTAGGAAATGCAAATGGTTTCTCTGAAGTAATTAAATTGAGTGTATACAAATGCTTCTTTAAATAGGGACTGCTTTTACGTGTAGCACTGTAAGGGTTAGAGTCTACTGTCATAGAAGACCAGGAAGCTCAGATGTCAACATTTTAAAATTGTTCTTAAACTCCTCCAGTGGCCTCTGCTTGCTCTTGGTAAAAGGAGCGATCCCAGCCAAGTGGCCCCTCAGCCATTCTTTGCCTGTGGCCTCTGTTCCCCAGATTCATGAGCGTGTGCAGTTCTTTCTCGGGACCTCTGCACTTGCTGCTTCCTCTGCCTGTAATGCTCTTTGTCTCTTAGTATATGGTGACTTGCCTTTTAGAGATCTCGCATCAGGGGTCAGCCATCTATGGCCAGGGAGTCAAATCTGGCCCTTTTTTTAAAATAAAGTTTTACTGTAAACCAATCCTGCCTATGTATTTATCTACTGTCTGCTTTCCTGCTACAACAGCAGAGTTGAGTAGCTGGGATGGAGACTGTGCAGCCCATAAACCCTTAAATTATTTATCTGACTCTTTACAGCAGCAGTTCTCAACTGGGGCAAGTTGACAATGCCCGGAGACATTTTTAGTTGTCACCACTGCGAGTGGGTGCTCATAGCATCTACTGGGTGGAGGCCAGGGATGCTGCCAAACATCCTACGTTGCACAGGACAGCCCCACCACAAGTAATTACTCAGTCCAAAATGTGAAAACCTGCTTCGCAGAGGCCGGGCGCGGTGGCTCATGCCTGTAATCCCAGCACTTTGGGAGGCTGAGGCGGGCAGATCACGAGGTCAGGAGATCGAGACCATCCTGGCTAACATGGTGAAAACCCGTCTCTACTAAAAAAATACAAAAAATTAGCCCTGGGCGTGGTGGCCGGCGCCTGTAGTCCCAGCTACTCGGGAGGCTGAGGCAGAAGAATGGCGTGAACCTAGGAGGTGGAGCTTGCAGTGAGCCGAGGTCGCGCCACTGCATTCCAGTCTGGGTGACAGAGCGAGACTCCGTCTCAAAAAAAACCCAAAAAACCTGCTTTGCAGAAAGTTTGCCACTCCTAGGACTAATTCAAGCTGCTTTGTTATAAGAGCTCCTAGTTCTTTGTGAGTTCCCTTTTTAGTACTGAAACCATTGGTGGTGAATCATGCATGTGTGTGATCCCCTGTATAAGGCTCTCTCCCTAGAACTGTAAGCTTCATGGGGGCACAAATGGGATCCGCTGGATTGTTATTGCATCTCTGGTGCTCAGCACAGTGCCCAGCACGTAATAAGTACTTACCGAATGAGCACCTCTTCGGTGAAAAATAACTAAATAAAATCTACAATTGGTTTATAGTTCTCTGCGTATCATAGTTGCTCATGATATAAGGATATAGAGGGAAATAAAAAAACTTGAGTTGGTGGCTTTTTGTTCCATGTTTTTCTAATATAGGTCTTCCCCAATTCTTTCAGTCTAGAATTAAAGACCACTGCTCCCAAGTGAGGGTGCACAAAAAAGGTTCATTTCCTGAGGATGCTGTAAGATTTAGGCTCTCGTGGGAACTTCCAGCAACTTGTAATAATCTTTAATTCATGGGATAAAGTGTTACACACTGCTCCCTCCCTCATCTTTCTCATCTTTCTTTGCAGAATCCTGTTCTTTTTTTTTTTTTTGAGACAGAGTCTCGCTCTGTCACCCAGGCTGCAGTGCAGTGGTGCAATCTCGGCTCACTGTAACCTCCACCTCCCAGGTTCAAGCGATTCTCCTGCTTCAGCCTCCTGAGTAGCTGAGATTACAGGCATGTGCCACCACGCTTGGCCACCCAGCTGGTTGTGATAGGCACAGTGATTATGACAGGGGAGGGTTTGGAAGTAACTAATGTTCCTGAAAGGATGAGTGGTCCAGGACCACTGGCTGTTAGAGGCTGGCATGGCAGTGAAGAGGAACTAACATGTAGTGTTAGTTGCTTAGGCGTCCCTAGGTGTTGGAGTTTTTTTTTTTTTTTTTTTGAGACAGAGTCTTGCTGTGTCGCCCAGGCTGGAGTGCAGTGCCGAGATCTCAGCTCACTGCAACCTCCACCTCCCAGGTTCAAGCAATTCTACTACCTCAGCCTCCTGAATAGCTGGGACTACAGGCGCCTGCCACCACGCTAGGCTAATTTTTGTATTTTCAGTATAGATGGGGTTTCACCATGTTGGCCAGGCTGGTCTTGAACTCCTGACCTCAGGCGATCCGCCCGCCGCAGCCTCCCAAAGTGCTGGGATTACAGGCATGAGCCACCACGCCCGGTCGGGGTCTTTTCATGATATTGTCTCTTTTAAGTCTTATCACTACCATTTTGCAGGTAAAGAAACAGGAGCAGAGAGATTAAGCAACTGGCCCAAGATCACACTGCAGCTAAGAGGTGAGGTCAGATTGTGAACCCAAGTCCCCTGCTCTTCCCCTGGGGCGTGCTGGAATCACCCGAGATCACTGGAAAAGGGGTGGTGGTGGGGGTCCCCCACTGCAGCTGCGACACTGGCCAATAAGGGCAGAGTGGGGGCCCTGTAGCTTTCAGTGTGGGGTTTCAATCCCAGATTTAACTCTGCCCTGGGATAAGAAATTTTTCCCAACAGAAAGATTGGTTGGTTCAAACTCCTAATTTACTTTGTCCCGGGATGGTATTACTTTGAGGTCTTTTCTTTTCAGAAGGAAAAATAAAATCTTGCCTAAGCAACCGAGGGTTAGAACTCTCCCTCAGGGTTCTTCTTCCCCGCTCTCTGTTGGGACAGTGAAGGGGGCTGTCCTCTGTTGGGTCTTCCTAGAAGCGGGAGGCATTCAGGAATTCTCAAGGGACCTCAAGCATGTGTTCAGACTGTGCTAGGTTAGAGACAGAGCTTGGGGGTGCTCAATTTCATTTTGGTTTTAATTGGGAAAGGAAGAGCATCAACAAACCGTGAGGTCTCCGCCGTGAGGCTGCAGCTGGCTGTCGGCCTTAGGCTTTTTGCTGGAAGAGGCTGAAGTAAACAAACTGTTGCCATTAGGTCGGCTGGAAGAAGTTAAGTCCTCGCTGGTGTATTTGTGTTTAGATGCATCAGAGAGGGGTGAGATGGGCGACCGAAGCATTTTTTCATTTTTATTTATTGGTATTGCCACACTGAAAAAGGAAATTACGGTAATGGAATGTTACAGAGTCAGCACAGGGAAAGGTAAATGTTTTCATATGACCCAAACCACCCAACTGGGACCTGTTGGTAGGAGAAGCTTATTGGGAATTATTATACCAGGAAACAAGTTAATGGCATTAGGATCATAACAAACAATAAGCAAATCTCACTCACTCTTTCTTTTCTCTTCCCATCAGGATGAGTAGTAATTCTGGAGCCAGCACCAAAGTACACGACTAAGACTAATAACACCTTCATTTTCCAAGTCCTTTATCCAAGGATCTCAAAATACCCAACAAACAACTTACTGTTTTCCTAACAAGCATAAGGAGCAAGCAGTGGGAAAGTCAATCAACAACAATAAATGAATTCTACATTTCTGTCTTTTTTTGAGACGGGATCTGGCTCTGCTGCCCAGGCTGGAGAGCAGTGGCAGGATCTTGGCTCACTGTAGCCCTAACCTCCTGGGCTCAGGCAATCCTCCCACTTCAGCCTCCTGAGTAGCAGGGACTACAGGTATGCATCACCACACCGGGCTAATTTTTCATATTTTTTGTAGAGATAGGGTTTCACCATGTTGCCCAAGCTGGTCTCGAACTCCTGGATTCAAGGTGCCTCGGCCTCCCAAAGTGCTGGGATTACAGACATGAGCCATCGTGCCCAGCCAAATTCTACACTTCTTTTTATTTTTTATTTTTTTGAGATGGAGTTTCGCTCTTGTCACCCAGGCTGGAGTGCAATGGCACAATCTTGGCTCACTGCAGCCTCTGCCTCCTGGGTTCAAGTGATTTTCCTGCCTCAGCCTCCCGAGGACTCCCGAGTAGCTGGGATTACAGGTGCCTGCCACCACATCCAGCTACTTTTTGTATTTTTAGTAGAGACGGGGTTTCACCATGTCAGCCAGGCTGGTCTTGAACTTCTAATCTCAGGTGATCCACCTGCCTCGGCCTCCCAAAGTGCTGGGATTACAGGCGTGAGCTACCGTGCCCAGTCCATATTCCACATTTCTAAAAAGACTTTTGCTATCTCATCTGAGCTTGTACTAAATATAATATAGAAAAATAATAAAACCAGAGAACAACCTGCAATATGTGAAGCCAATTCTTAATATCTGAGTTTATGACTTAACCAGGGATTGATCAGATTAAACCTAGAATATAAAAACGGTGAGTAGGAGGCCGGGTGTGGTGGCTCACGCCTGTAATCCCAGCACTTTGGGAGGCCAAGGTGGGCGTATCACTTGAGGTCGGGAGTTCGAGACCAGCCTGGCCAACACGGTGAAACCCCCTCTCTGCTAAAAATACAAAAATTAGCCGGGTGTGGTGGCGCATGCCTGTAATCCCAGCTACTCAGCTCAGGAGGCTGAGGCAGGAGAATCGCTTGGGAGAGGTGGACGTTGCAGTGAGGCGAGATTGCGCCACTGCACTCCAGCATGGGCGACAGAATAAGACTCCGTCTCCAAAATAAATACATAAATAAATAAAATAATAAATAAAAATGGTGAGTAGAAGTTACAGTTTCTGATTCCTAACTCCTTATTTTACCTTCAAAACTACTGTCTGTGCTTGAATGTAACATTCTCCAAAATCAACCATCAGTGAAGAGGGATTCACTTATATCTGAGTTTGCAATGTATATTATATTGTTAGGCCTCTATTACTTAAAAGTATTGTTTGGGGAAGACAGATTAGTTTGAAATAAACTCAGTCATCACTAATTTAGGATACTTCCAGAGGTCACCTGGTAGAGTCAGTTAAAAAATGGTAAAGCCATCTAACAAAGATTTACTCATTATTCTTGGGGTTGGGATCTCTTAATTGCACGTGTTGGTTATCACCGCAAAGAAGCCACTAAAGTCACTTCGAAAAGCAATTTCCTTAGCTGGTGGTCACAGTGGAGAAATTACAAACACAGACCTCTAGAACAAATGACAAAACCAAGGTTCTGAATGTTATGCAAATGGATACATGTGGGGATAGCATTTCTGGTGAAAAGCACTGTTCCAAAAGCACGGTGTGTCTAACAACATAGAGGCTGTGTCACGCAAAAGTGCTTTGGGAGAATCAAAAGTTGCTCATCTAGTGATGGCTAAGATGCTGATGCTGAAGATAATGCGAACAGCCTGATTATAATTGTTTCTCGAAATGTGAGTGAAGAAAGACCTTTTCCTCAGTCTCTATTATTTGACATACTTTATGATTTTTACAGTGCATGGAAAACAAAACTGTGACATTAAATATTATCATGGATATCATGATTGCCTGTTTTTCATCACTGCAAGTTTATATATATATTCAAGTTGGCCAAAGAAACTTTCTTTGGAGCTCTTCTTTGAAATTGGCAATCCCCTTCTCTTGGACTGCTGTACAGCACTGGTAAAACTTGATAGTAGTAATCACAATTCCAGAGGTACACAGACCACCTTTCTCAGAATGTACTCTAAGCATTTTATATGCATTGTGTCACCACTTAACAGCAACAAAACCATCAGAACTAAGAGGCTCTTCCAGGCTAAGTCTCTAGAGCAAGAGTTTTTTAACCTGGGGTCCAATAACTTGAATAGAGAAGTGACCTCTTCATTTTCACTAACCTCTCACTGTAACAGAACATTTCCTTCAACTATGAGTAAAGGTATGAAACCAGAGTCATGGTTTAGCAGGAGCAGTAGTACAACACTTGAGACCGTGTCACCGGTATAAATCACAGCTATTTTCTTTTTTTCTTTTTCTTTTCTTTTTTGAGATGGAACCTCTCTGTCGCCCAGGCTGGAGTGCCATGGCACAATCTCGGCTCCCTGCAACCTCTGCCTCCCGGGTTTGAGCGATTCTCTGGCCTCAGCCTCCCAAGTAGCTGGGACTACAGGAGTGTGCCACCACACCCAGCTAATTTTTTTATATTTTTAGTAGATACGGGGTTTCACCATATTGGCCAGGCTGGTCTTGAACTCCTGACCTTGTGATCCGCCCGCCTCAGCCTCCCAAAGTGCTGGGATTACAGGCGTGAGCCACCGCACCCGGCCAAATCACAGCTATTTTCATATCATATTGCAGTTGTGCATACATACGGTTTATATTCCTCACTGCTTAGAAATTCTGGAAGCCACCAGATCAGCTAGAAAGGTTATTTAGTGCATTAACAAGCACTAAAGGATATCACACATTTAAAAATATTTGGGGACTACATTTTCCCCATTTCCCCTTTCCCAATATTTTGGGCTGGCATCCACCCTGCAAAGAGGACCGAGGAGTGGGCAGCATGCAGGGGCAGCCCTCCCTCCTGCTCAGACCCACAGGAGCCCTCGCCTTTCAAGGTGATTCCGGCGCTGCAGTGTGCCTGTGTGTGTGCACCCTCACCCTCCAGTTCCCTCGCCAAGTTTTAGCACTGCTCTACATCTTTTCCTAACCTTTCAGTTTACATTTTTATGTGTTGTGCCGAGACATTCATCTCTCTTCAAAATTCTATGTATACGGTCAGGGAGGGTGAGGAGTGTCTTAGAGAGGAAAAGTGGTTTCCGTGCTGTGGTATTTCAAAATGGAAAGAGCTTCTACGACTGATGATAAGCTACTTGTTTCTAATAAATACCTGGGATCTTGCTTTGCTTGTAAGCCATTCATCACAGAGGGGAGTCAGTGCTGGATGCGTCCATCTGGAACCTCTTGAGAGGAGTGTGTGGGTGGCCATTTAACCTTGGGAGCACGGACCCTTCTAAGGCCACAATTTTAGTCTATATCCAATTAATTGCTTTAGGTGCTACACATGGAGATTCAGCTTGAAGTGTGTATTTCTTCGTCTGTGTAATAAGCTTAGTGTTCTTAGGAGTTTAGCGGTTACCATTAAAATATTGATTAGAAATTCAGTTATTAAGTTTTTTTGGGGGAAGGGCATGTCTTGGGGAGTGCAGAGCTGTGTGTAACTAGTATCTGGTCTTTGGTTATGGAGAAGAACCTTGCGTGAGTATCTGGAGCTATAATGTGTGGCACATGTGTAGCCATAATAATAAGATTTGGGTTAAAGGAGGGAAGCAAGTCTGCAGACCTTGACCAGAGTAGTCCTCAAAAAGCCTGACCCTCCTCCAACATAGCAGGTGACTTTCAGACCCAGAGATCTCTCCAGCTCACTTCCACTTTGGAGGGAATGCACGTACCTGTTGATGTTCATGTTGCAGTGGTTTGCAGACAAAGTATTACTGGTGGAGGTGGCCAGTCTTGAAGAGCTGTCTTTCTCTCCCTGGGACTTCTTGATCTCCCTGTAGTCGTCTTCGTTGTCACACTGTATGGGAATAAACTAAAGTCAATCAGCACTGGATTTCAAGAGGTATTATGAGTTCCCAGGCACCGACTTCCACAGAGCAAGGCCTCCTGGGAGCCCCACTCACCTGGCTTCCCCGAAGCACAGCCTGAGCAGCTGTGCCCCTGCCATAGCTTCCCCATTAGCTCCTCAACAAGCAAGGATGAAATCTGTCAGTTTTACAATTGACAGCTGATGGAGAGGAGAGGCACGACGCCATGATTCAACATTTTGAATTCTGAAAGCTGCTCTGCCATCAACCGGCTTAGGATTTAGCCCTCCAACTGGTCTGAGTTCCCACTGCAGCTCCAGCGGCACTCACCTTGGCATTTCTTGGTATCAGAATAAAGTACAGCAAGTGTGTGTTCTCTGGGATTCATGCCATAAGGGCAGTGGCAAGCCTGGACTTTTCTGTTTTAAAAATTCTTGCTTTGGCCAGGTGCGGTGGCTCATGCCTGTAATCCCAGCACTTTGGGAGGCCGAGGCAGGCGAATCACGAGGTCAGGAGATCAACACCATCCTGGCCAACATGGTGAAACCCCATCTCTACTAAAATACAAAAAATTAGCCAGGTGTGGTGGTGCACGCCTGTAGTCCCAGCTACTTGGGAGGCTGAGGCAGGAGAATCGCTTGAACCTGGGAGGCAGAGATTTAAGTGAGCTGAGATCACGCCACTGCACTCCAGCCTGGTGACAGAGTGAGACTCCGTCTCAAAAAAAAAAAAAAAAATTATTGCCTTTTGTGAACTGCAAGCAGAAGCTATTATCTCTTGGTGCCTTAATTCTAGTTTTCAATTACTATCCCATGACATCTTAGAATCCATAAAGTACCTTTTTCTAAAACAGTACTTTGATTGGATCCTTGTTGCCATGATTGGGTTTAATTTTATTTGTTTATTTAGAGACAGTCTTGCTCTGTCACCCAGGCTGGAGTGCAGTGGTGCGATCATGGCTCACTGCAGCCTCGACCTCCCAGGCTCAGGTGATCCTCCCGCCTCAGCCTTCCAAGTAGCTGGGAATGCAAGTGTGTGCCACCATGCCTGGCTAATTTTTTGTATTTTTTGTAGAGACGGGGCTTTGCCATGTTGCTCAGGCTGATCTCAAACTCCTGGGCTCAAGCGATCCTCCCACCTTGGCCTCCCAAAGTGCTGGGATTACAGGTGTCAGCTATCAGGCCAGCCTGTGTTTAACTTTAGATATGTGTTAAGGTGCAACACAAATATATTCAGAAAGTACCATTTTCCATGAGATAACAGGAACCTAGTATGGTATCCTCAGGGCTGTCTGCATTGTTTTCCAGGAGACAAGTGCCAACACCAAAGAGAGAAAGACTCTGACTTTCTCGCTCTGGCTGGGATTTTGCCACACAGCCTCTGCCACAGGGGCTCCCAGATGCCCACACTGTAATAGTACCCCCATGGAGGGCCCAAACCAAAGCTCCGAGTTCTTAGTCCTTAGCTCCAGGGCTCCAGCAGGGCGAGACTCCACAAATTTGACAGCCAGGTCTATGGGGTCCCATCTCCAGCACCCAGTACTGGGGTACTAATGCCCAGAATACCAAGTAAAGAGCACTATAAGAATGTTCTTTCACTTCTCTTGTGTCTGTGTTTAATGATTCTTTAGATTTTATGAGTACAGCCAGGTGTCAGGCTTACTGTAAATGAAGCTTCTTAAGTTAAAATAAAAATGGCCATAAGTAATACAACTATTTAAACACAGAATATTACGGAATTTTATGTAAGTCTTTCTGCACATCTCTCTAGTAAACTCTGCATGCCTGGATGGCTTTATGTATTTCCAATCTGTCTATATATTACCAATGTCTATCTCTGCATATTTCATGTGTATATTTCCATCAGCGTATTCAGTTAGCCATCCATCCCAGAGGTAATAGCCACACTCATTCCCAGATGATTAACTGATTGATTGATTCCTACACTCAACAAAGACTGAGCACCAGCAAGTAGTAAGGAAGACAGGGTGTGTAGAGAAAAACAGGAGGAATAGCAGGTAGGGAAGAAAATGAGCTGCCAAGTATTACTGAGTTGCATTGTTGGAACATATTGTGTGAATCTGACAACACCCCTGCAAAGATGTCAACATTTTTTTTTTTTTTTTTTTTTTTGAGACAGAGTCTCACTCTATTGCCAGGCTGGAGTGCAATGGCATGATCTCAGCTCAGTGCAGCCTCTGCCTCCAGGGTTCAAGCGATTCTCCTGCCTCAGCCTCCTGAGTAGCTGGGATTACAGGCACGCGCCACCACGCCCAGCTATTTTTGTATTTTTAGTAGAGACAGGGTTTCACCATGTTGGCCAGGATGGTCTCGATCTCTTGATCTCGTGATCTGCCCACCTTGGCCTCCCAAAGTGCTGTGATTATAGGAGTAAGCCACCACGGCCGGCCCAGATGTCAGCATTTTCTAGATGGAGAAACTGATGTTCAGAGAAAGTAAGGTCACCTGATTAAGGTCACTGAGGAGGCCAAGGACCATAAATAACCTTCTGGGTCTAGCGCAAAATGAAAACGCTGGGCCCTTTGTTCAAAAAGCAGGAAAAGAGTGATGTTATAAAGCCCTCAAATAGAAAACATTCTCCATTCTTTCACAGTCTCTGTCATGGAGGTGTCTACAGTATTTGCTATACACACTGTACTTCTTTGGGCATGGGGATACTTGGGGAGGCAAGTGTAGCCTCTCAAGGGCTCTGTCTGCCCTTGGACAAGGTATATGTGTGCAGCCCACCAGTGTGGGCGTTCCCCTTCTGCCAATCAGAGGCCCTACCTGTGGTGCCCGAGTTGTCAGGCATTTCCCCAACAACCCACAGCAAGTGGGCAACCCCCAGGGGATTTCAAGACCCTCTTTGGAATGTCTTACTACCTGGATGAGGGATGGGCAAGATTCTTCCTCTGCCTGCACCTAGGCCCCTTCTTGGGGCAAGGGCAGCAATAGTCCCTGGACTAAGACAGGAAGTGGGAGGCTGCCTAGGGCCCAGGGTGCCAGGAGGCAGAAGCGCAGGCAGAACCTGCCCTGCAGAAACAGGCAGGAGGTGGGAACACAGTGAGTCAAAGCTCCATATGCCCCTGCACATGTACCATCAATTTGCAGCATCACAAATTCAAAGATTACAGGAAAAATTTTAAGATGGCAGCCACAAGCATTCAATTCCAAGGGGCCCTGGGTGATGCACACCACTATGGTCCCATGCATGGGGCCCATGAAAAGCTGGACCTGCAGGAGGGAAACGGTAAAGACAGGATTTGAAGTCAGGACACTTTGGTGTGAAAATCCACACACTTTCCATTATATGTGAGCACTCTCAGGGCAATGGGGACCAACTAAGGGCGCCCACTGCCGGCTAATAATGGCCAGTGCTGGGTGGAAACTATGTTGGGGCCTCTTTATAAAATTATCTTTGCTGGCCACGTGCAGTGGCTCATGCCTGTAATCCCAGCACTTTAGGAGGCCGAGGCAGGCGGATCACCTGAGGTTGGGAGTTCGAGACCAGCCTGACCAACAATGGTGAAACCCCGTCTGTACTAAAAATACCAAATTAGCCAGGCATGGTGGCACATGCCTGTAATCCAAGCTACTCGGGAGGCTGAGGCAGGAGAATCACTTGAACCCAGGAGGCGGAGGTTGTGGTGAGCCAAGATGGTGGAGCATCATTGCACTCCAGCCTGGGCAACAAGAGCGAAACTCTGTCTCAAAAAAAAAAAAAAAAATTTTTTTTTCTTTGCATCCATACCAAGGAAAAGCAAAAAGCTGCCCCTTGAACATATTTCTTTTCATGAACTTTCTTGCAAGGGCTTCAAATTCTACTTTATAGGGATAAATTACTTAATGTTATTAATATTATGTGAAGAAAAACATCCTTTGGTACTTTATTTTTTATTTTATTTATTTATTTCTTTGAGATGGCGTCTTGCTCTGTTGCCTAGGCTGGAGTGCAGTGGCATGATCTTGGCTCACTGCAACCTCCGCCTCCCAGGTTCAAGTGATTCTCCTGTCTCAGCTGCCTGAGTAGCTGGGACTACAGGTGTGCACCATCATGTCTGGCTAATTTTTTGTATTTTAGTAGAGATGGGATTTTACCATGTTGTCCAGGCTGGTCTTGAACTCCTGAGCTCAGGCAATCCGCCCATCTCAGCCTCCCAAAGTGCTAGGATTAGAGGCTTGAGCCACCGTACCCGGTCTGGTACTTTAGAATGAATTTCTCTGGTCATAGGTGCCCTTAGGTTACAAAGATGATTGTCATAAAAAGGAGACTGAGTGCCTTCTCCATGCGCACTTACAAAGCAAGAAATATATTCATCGTGGCCAGGACAAGGTAACAAGCTGTACTCCTTAGTCCCCTTCTCAATCAGGGATTCGAAATAGCTGTGAAACGTATGTGTCCAGTCTAACTTTTCTATTGATAGACTAGACTGTCTTCAGAAAACTGGAAAATATACAGACCTCAGACTGATTTCTTATTGTGACGCTCTGAAGCCAGACAGCCTGGGTTAATTCCTGGCTCAGCCCCTTAGGACCTATGTAACCTTGGGCAAGTTGCTTTAGGCTCTCTGAGCCTCTGTTCCCTCTCCGTAAAATGGGTATGACAATATTTGCCTCATAAAGTTATAAGGATGAAATGATTTAACATGTATAAAGTGCCTAGAGCAGCATCTGTCATGGGGACCTATATACCTGTGAGCTGTTGTTACTGAAAACTTTGTCCTAAATTTGGAGCCATCCATGCATATTGCAATCTTGGTCTGTCACCCATTGTATTTTTCACAGTGATAAAAATTACTTATGAAGATACAGTAACAGGAGGGGTTAAAAACCCTCAAAATTGGCTTTAATGGATGATTAAGGTATTCCCCTGCACAAAAACCTTCGAAATGGGCTACACGTTCAGGCTCTGCTGCCAGAGATGCCCCCCAGCTCTCCCTGTCCTTGCTTTTGCTGCCCTTCTCACTCCCTGGACTCACCGCTTCCATTCCTGACCCTGGACGTATTCAAATATCCCTCCTCTACAGAGCCCTGTTTTCAGGGCCCCTCCACCATGAAGCCCTCCTTGATCAATGCTAACAGAAGCAACAGCTGCTGGTTCTGATGCTGCATCAGGGTCTGCCGTATTCATTTTCACCTGCCACAACCTTGAACTTCATGAGGCCACTGGCCTCTTGGGCCAATGAGTGATCCCACCATCAATGTCACCCCATTCCTGCCAGCAAAGAGTGAGGGTTCTCATGTGTTTAGCTTTCTCACAGGCCCTACATCCAGCTGCGTGTGCACACGCTTGATAAATATTTCCTATTTTGACATGCAGTGGGACAAGGCTTAATTACCTATAACTATAAAATAGGGATAATAGGCTGGGCGTGGTGGCTCATGCCTGTAATCCCAGCACTTTGGGAGGCTGAGGCAGGCAGATCACTTGAGGTCAGGAGTTCGAGACCAGCCCGGCCAACATGGTGAAACCCTGTCTTTACTAAAAATACAAAAAAATTAGCTGGGCATGGTGGTGGACACCTGTAATCCCAGATACTTGGGAGGCTGAGGTAGGAGAATCGCCTGAACCTGGGAGGCAGAGGTTGCAGTGAACCGAGATTGTGCCATCGTACTCCTGCTTGGGCGACAGAGTGAGACTCCCTCCCCCCCCCCCAAAAAAAGGGATAATAATGGTACTTCCCTCACTGAGCAGTTCTAAGGACTAAGTTAGATGTTAAGTGCTTACAACAGTGTCTGGATATAGAAAGTACCCTAGAAGTGTGTGTTAGGTAAGGACACACAAAACTCCTGCGGCAGCCTACCGTCCCAAACAGCAGCCTATGGGTGCTCTATCCAAGTACCCACAAGTTAAGAGATAGCCCCTTCCCCTCCACGCCCCCGCACCCCAGTCAGCCCCAGGCCTACCTTGCGTTTCCTCTTGGATTTTGGCAAAGCCTTTTCTGCAGGTGTGTCCGAGGTGTGGCTGGGCGGTGCGCTCTCAGAGTCCTTGGTGGCAGGGGCGCTCAATACCCCTGGCTCCTGGGGCAGGTGTTCTGGGATCCTGGACAGGAGGGTCAGGTCGATTTTGACCCAGAGAGACCTGATCTCATCACTGTCCTTTAGAGGGGAGAGAAGTTCGTTCCGGCCAAAGGGGACCAGTGTGTAGAACTGCTCCTCCAGCTCCTTGGCGATGTCACTGGTGGTCCTGGCGTTGATGGAGCCTACAGGGGCCCTAGGACCACTGCCCCCGTTGGCAGCGGCCTCCTTCAGCCTCTGATCATTCCCGGAGGAGGCAGAGGCAGCCACGGTCTGTGCTTTGGACAGAGGGTACTCCTCCTGCTCGGACTCCAGGTCGGAGTCCGAGGAGGAGGATGAAGATGACGACTCTGTCTCAATGAACTCCTTGGATTTGGGGACGATCCTGCTTAGCCCCCGCGTGCGGCGCTTCTCGCAGGTCACGGAGGAGCGCAGCTCCTTGCGGTGGCTCGCTCTGTTGTTGCCACAGGGCCTGGTTTTGGTGGGCTCCGGGGGGACCACCACGCTCGTCCCCAGCGCGTCCGCGGCCGCGGGCTCCTCGGGCCGGTGGCAGTTGGCGCCGTCCCCGGCTGAGGTCCTCTCGGTGCGCCTGGTGGGCTTCTTGCCCGCGGACCTCCGGGCAGGCGCGGGCGCGTTCTCCGCGGGCGCACAGGGCACTGCGGGTGGCGGGGCGGCTGCGCTCACCGCCACGGCCACGGCCGCGGGCGGGGACTTCTGCTTCACGCCTTTACTCCCAGGGGCCTTGTTGGCTGTCCTTGGCCTTTGCTCCTCCTTGCAAGTGCTCTTGATCTCCTTCTCTCTCAGGCTGGGCTGGCAAACGTCGGGGACTTTCCCACAGTCCTGGACGTCCTCTTTCACCGGGTTGTAGTACTGATTGCTCTCTGACCCGTGGCTTTCATTTTGGATCAGAATAGGAGGCTTGTGGGGATTAACTTTGTTTAGCCATTTATCCAGCTGCCACTTGTTAGAGGATGCCGGTTCAGCCTGAAAGCAGAAAACCGGTGACAAACAAAACATCTTTCATTACAGGCTCACTTAAAAGGGGCCTGGCTGTTTTTATCTTGACTTACTTCTCTAAGTATATGAGCAGAAAACGAATGGGCTGGAAGCAAAAGGAAAATGGAAGCATTAAGCGTGTGTGGCAGCCCCATGTGGCACTCAGGATGCCTGGATGATGCTGTCCTTACCGGCCCGTGGCACTAAATGTCCTTGCAGCACTTCCTCTTTGGAAAAATAAGGAAAGCATTGTGTCTCATTAGAACCCATTTCCTAGTACTTTTGAGTGTTAGTATAAATTTTTTTATATAATTATATGTACATATGTAAACTTGAAATTCCCCAAAACTCAGAGAATTGTTTAGAGGCCCTGAGCATAAATCACTTGTTTTTTTGGTGAGACTTAAAACTTTGGGGAGATCTGAAGGGGGACTAAGTGGAACCTACAATCCCAAACAATTAACACATGATTTATGTGTTGAAGGCAGGTAGGCTGTAGTAATTTGGTAGTAGGAGCAATGACCTTGGGAAGATGGCTTGTTTTGCATATAGAACTATTTCAGAGGTATTTGTGCATCTTTGGCAGCCTGACTGGGTCAGTCTATCCTCAACCTGCTTCCATCACACTTTGCTAGAAATATTTCAAACATGGAGGTGAGATGGAACACTTTCCTGCAAGCAGGTTTGCTAACTTAGAGCAACTCATGAAAGTCATTGGTTTTGAACTGTGGCCCCACAGGTTGGCTCTGTGGTTGAGGGTGGGGGGATGGCTAGGGAATGCCCTGAAATGGATGGGAAATGTGTAGATGCATTTTGTTTCTAGAAGAGGTCTGTACTTTTCAGTTGTGTCTCTAAGAATCTATGTCTCAGAAGCAAAAAAAAATTAAGGACCAATCCAATAATTTCACAGGGAGTAAATGCTGATGTCTAAAAAGTCAATTTATCCAGCATTATGATAATTAAGAGAAAACAGGTGTATTGAGAAGAATAGAATTTTAGCCAGAGTATTTTCAATTTGTGACTCTAAGTGAAATGGGGAAAGTATTTTGGCTAAGGTGATGTGTTTTTTCTTCCCTATGGCCTTCCACCTTTCGAATTCGTGGCATCCATTGTTTCAGAGGAGACCAGATACCAGGCTAGAGTAAGAAGACACTGCTTAGCTCCATACTTCAAGCTTGATCAGTTCAAGTCTAGAGCAAATTGGGTCTGTTGCCAGAGAAAAAATGGTTTAACACAATAAATAAAAATAATAAAGTTTAATAAAATTTTAATAAAAATAATAAATACATTTAAATAATAAAATTTGAAAAGGTTCCTTTGAAGTATCAAGGTTTGTTTTTCAACAGTGAGGCCTGTATTAAGAGCAGAACTCAGGGCTCTTGGCCTCACCCCAGGCACTGAGGATTTCAGAAGGGGAATAAGAGGGCTGTATCATAGAAGCAGGGGCCTTGGCTGAGTCCGGGCACAACTCAGGGAAATGGGAAGCCTCTGATGGGCCAGAACGGGTTGGGGCCAAGAGGAATTGGCCACAGAGCGTGGGGATCAGGCAACCAGAGCTATGACAGGGACCATGGACATCTTGCTGGTTGCCCCAAACCAGATGGGACCAACTGCCCTTTGGGGCAGACTGGCACAGGGTGTCTGGTGACTTGGAGAAGCAAGAAAATTTCAGTGAAGGCCAGAATGAGGATGAAGGCCCCTTCCCTGGGCTGTGAGGATGCGGAAGCCCATCCTGGAGTGCAGGTGGGGAAGGGGGGACCCCCTGGCCCCGACACAGATTCTGGTCTTTGACGTGACATTTTTCTTTGCTTGTTTTCATGGCCACCAACGGAACCGGGGCACCAGAGAAATATGCAAATGAGTAGAAAGACAGATGGTTTTTGTACCTCTGAGTTCTGCGTAAATCATGACCTCGCTTTATTTGGCTTCTCCAGAGAAAGGGAACACGGGAAACCTATGGAACATGCCCAGTGCATGTGGCGGTGGCAGATGCCCTCCCATGGTCAGAGAAAGCAGGACAGTGGGACACGGAACAGCTTCTCGGCCAAGGGGGATCCCTCACCTCCCCTGAGATTAGCTGAGAGTGCCTGAAAACTAATTTGGTGGCAAAAATCAATGGCTTCTAATTTTGTCTCCCTCAACCCCCATTTCTCTCATCAAGTCAGTGCCTTCGCCTGTGCCTCAGCTTCCCTAGACAAATGGGACACAGTAAACAGGAATGGATGCTGAAGGGGCCTCTTGCAGAAAGGGTGCACATATTGGAAGAGGGCACACACACACACGGCAGAACACACCCCTCACACTGGCCCCGCCACTGCGTTTCACACTAGTTCTCCCTCACTGCTACCATCCGGAGCCTTCTATAGCCCACATCTCATATGTGAGAGAAGTCTGTTTGTAGCCAAAACACAGCTGCACACAGGAAAATTCACACTGAAACTTCCTAGCAGGAGCATTAACAGAAGGGCAGAATTTAATACATTTAGTACAGGCCCACTGCCTGGTATGCTTTAGGGTCATTTTTTCTGCACTTCACAGCTGAGGAAATCAGTTTGAAGTACCCACTTTCAACACATCACTAAATCATACTTTTTTTTCCCTCAAGGATCTACAATAACCTCCTATTGCCTCTCAAACAAAATCCAAATTTCTAAGGGGGGCGTTTAAGGGCGTCCATTATCTCGTAATCATCTTTCATTGTCAGAATACCTACAGTTTAACTCCCACTTCATGTGTATTATCTCATTTAATCTTTACAGATAAGAAAGGTTATCATCCCTAACTTGTAGATGAGGCTCAGAGAGGCTAAGGGACATACCCAGAGCTGCACAGCTACCGGGCTCTACGGAGACTAACTTTGTACTCATCTAGGTTTAAAGACCAATTGTCTCCACGGCTGCATCACTGTGTCTCCCACTGTTTGGCATAGCCTCGTGAAAGGGGGACCGCATTCCTTTGAGAAATGTCAGTCTTCAACTTAAAATGACAGAATTAGATCTGAATTTTGGAGAAAACACCAAGAACACTCCAAACAGTACTTGTTGCCCTCTGTTATACTCAATTGCGTTGTCTTTTGATGTTCGTATTTGTTTCATGTGTATATATGTCTTGTGTCTTCAAAAAAGCCAAATGCTTCTTTCAGGCAAGGGCCAGGTCTCTGTTTCTTTAGTATCCCTTGCAGCATCTATACTAGGTCAGGGAGGCAGATTGCCACATCTCTCCTCCTAATAAGAACAACTCACAATGAGGTGTCACTCAAATTGTACCATTTATTCCTTTATTATCATCATTTTCCCCCCGACAACCTCACAGGTTAGGCAGAGCATGATTATCTGCCATTCTGGAAATGAGGCAATTGTGGCCAAGGAAGCTGCAAGGATACAGAGTTTAGTGGCAGTGAGGAGGGGAACCTCAGGCTGCAGACGCCAGGCCACTGGCATGCGGCTGGCCACAGTCCGCCTCCTGAGCCGTCCATCCGGGGTTTCTGCCCAAGGTTCTGGTTTGTTTGCTGGCTCACTGCTTTATATTTTCAGCCATGACTCTCCTCCCTAATTGATCTTCCCTCTGACTCACGCACCAGCTCTCCATCATGCACTCTGGTCCCTGCTTCATCTAAATCCTTCAAGTACCCGCTGCCATGGACCTCGTAGGCACCTAATAAATGAGAAGCTTGTTGAGTCAGCGAGCAACTTGAATCACATTTCTGTTGATTTTTAAGAACGATCTAGGGCAGCATTTTCCAAAATGTGCTTTTAGCTCATCTATCCCATGAAGGAGGGTTTCCAGAGTCAGATCAATCTGGGAAATGCCACAATGGAAAACACAGTACACCCGAGCAATAGTAAGGGTTGCGTGATGATTCGATAGGTAAAGAGGTGGAATCAACCTATTTTGTCCCAGATCTCTTTAACATTAGGTATCCAGGCTTTTTTATTTTATTTTTTTCCTCCACGTAATATATATTGTACAACAAAGGCCGAGTGAGTTCCGTGTGTGGGGTCAACATGTTAGCTGAGTGCAAAAGCAACTTCTCCTGCAAAGCTCTGGTATAAGAGGCTGTACAGTGCCTGGAAAGCAGATTAGACTCCGGTGAGAAAAAGTTGTCTGAGACCAATGAAGCCCACATCATGCCACAGAGAGGGCCCCTCCATGCTACGCGGGAACATGGCATTACCATACTACAGTGATTTACGTGAAACAAATTGGCTCTCAACACACACAGCCAGAAAGAACATCTCCTACGCAACCCAGCTGAGCCCAGTGGGTTTTCTGAGTGCTGGGACATGGTGGGGAGAATACAGGGCGCCTCCTACGCCCATAGCAGGATGTTACAGCAGGGGAGTGAGGAACAGAGGCGTTCTGCTTCAAAGCAGCACAAACTGGTCTGAGCAGCGGAATGTGAGGTGCATGGCTATGAAGAGCCTGACTGTCATGTGGGGTTCAGGAAAAGGAGTCTTACAGCTCTCTGTAAGGTGACCTGGGCCAGCTCCGCCAGACCAGGCAGCACAGCTGTGGAGGACACACAGGGTGATGTTACTTCCTGCCTTTGCCATTTGCAGTCTGCAAACTCATTTTCTTTCTAAAGGGTGTGTGTGTCTGTATTATCCTTAGGAAAAGTGTTAAAAGAACTTTACTTTTATTCCAACAAATACATTTCTTTCCTGCAGAAAGAACGAACGTGCAGCCTGGCTAACACATCACCTGCTGCTTCTGCAGTCCTCTGTGTAGGGAAGCCAGGAATCCAAAACCACACATAGCATCAGGTGACTTAAACTTTTAGGACTGACTCCTTTAGGAGGCTCTTGCCCCTCTCCTTAGCGAGGGGCCTCTGATAGCTGCTGGAAGAAATGACAAGAGCCTCCTTTCATCACCCAGGAGTTCAAGTCTTTGTAATTATCTCAGTGACATTTAGAAAGCATTTGCTTAAAGCACTTTATAACTGTACTGCTCTTTTTTTCTTTCTTTCTTTTTCTTTGAGACGGAGTCTCGCTCTGTCACCCAGGCTGGAGTACAGTGGTGTGATCTTGGCTCACTGCAACCTCCGCCTCCAGGGTTCAAGCGATTCTCCTGCCTCAGGCTCCTGAGGAGCCGGGATTACAGGCGCCCACCACCACACCCAGCTAATTTTTGTATTTTTAGTAGACACATGGTTTTACCATGTTGGTCAGGCTGGTCTTGAACTCCTGACCTCATGATCCACCTGTTCAGCCTCCCAAAGTGCTGGGATTACAGGCATGAGCCACTGCGCCCGGCCAACTGTACTGGTCTTAAATGAGGTTCCAGCCAACACAGGAGCTCTAGGACCTACATTTCAGGATGAAAATAAGCCTGAACATTCATGAATTTAACCTGCAAAGCCACAAGGAGGAGCCTGGATGGATGATCTTCACAGACACAAACAGTTTTTGGATATCCTCACTGCCTGCCCTGTCCTTGCACTGTCCCTGGGACGCAGTTATTTCTTATAACTAAATATTCCAGAATTTCTCCACAAAGTATAGCATAAAGCAGGCTTTAAAGAAGCCTGCTTAACTCTTCTACTTTATTTAACTCCTGTATTTTTTTCATTTTGAATTATCCCCATTAGAATGTCAGCTCTATGAAGATAGGGACATTTTTTGTCATATAATTGTGTATTCCAGGGCCAAGTACTGTGTGACTGATGCTCAGTAAATATTTGTTGAATGAATTCTGAATGAGTAAATGAATCAATGAATGAGTAAATGAAATTATGCTGAAGGAATAATAATTTAGTTTCTGGGAAAAGCCAGGGTTATGTTACCATAAGGCTTTCATAGGTTAATGTTGCTAAGAGCCTTCCCCTCATACAGAGATTGATAGATGGATAAATAGATGGATAGATACAGATGGACAGATGGAGAGGCAGAGACTGAACCTCATGGGAAGGAGAGCGTGGAGAGATGGCTTGGTTCAGGATGAATGGAGAGTCCTGAGCCAGGGCAGAAAGGTGCTGAGGAGAAAATGAGGAGTGTGGGGAAACAAAATGTCCCTGATTTCACAGTGCTCCTGCAAAAAGCTTTAGCCTCCTGAAAGAAGTAGGGAGGGGAAAAACCTGAAGGAACTGAAGAGCCACTCTGTGAACCTGAGATGGAACCACTGCTTTCAGGTGTGATAACATCCAAGGCACCGCTATAAAAGCTGGACACGGGGATGCTGATCGGGCCCATTAAGGTGCTCCCCTCCCACTGAGATGGTTTGTAGAAGTGGGTTTAGTTCCATTTCAGAGCCTATTTAGGAATATGGCCCCCCCAAATGGTACAGAGGGCTGTAAGTAAAAAATTAAACCTGACAATCATTAGTCATGTCAAATGTTTACGCACTCAAGAAGAAACTCTATTTTACTCCTTGTTTAGAAATTAGAGTCTACCCTTAGAGCTCTGCAGCCTGGGGAAGTTTCTCTCAGCCCTCTCCCAAGAATCTTCATGCTCTGAATTACTATTTAATTTTCCCCTTCCTACTTTAAAGTAGAAACAGCAATGGTTTTTATTGGTACCTTCTAATGTTTTTATAGGAGGCACCTAAATCTTCCACATAGATACTCATCACAGCTATAAAAGGTTTCATCATTTTTTTAGGGTGATGCTAATTTTTCTTTTTCTATTTTCACAAAGAAAACACAGTTAAGAAGGTTTTATTAATATTTATAGCCCTTCTTCTTCTGATCCGTGACAAACCGCAAAAAGGTAAGAATCTGACCATGTCCAACCCATAAAACCCCTTTCCCTGTGATTTATGGGTGGTCACACTTCCCAGGCGGTGAGTGGCTCTGTCCAGCGACTGCCCTGGCTGACCCCAAGGGAGACCTGAGCCATAGGTTATTTCCTGTCAGTGATGTTTATAGCATACTTGGAAATTTCTGGAAGTCAAGAGAGAATCTGGGGGCAATGAAAGTTGATGTTTCTGTACTTCAAAGGAACCTGTGAAATTAGGAGACTGTGAGGAGGGGGAAAATGTGGAGCCCGAAGCCCATAGCCTCCTCCTTCCCAGCACCTGGCTTGGGGTCTGCAGGAGGGAGGAGACCTGCAGCAGTGTGACAGTGACAATGCCCGGACTTGCTATCCTCATAGAGACAGAAGTGGGCAGAGGAGAGGCCTGAGCCAGGCAGCGCTTACCTCGGGGCTGGAGAAGTGGGGGGGCTTGCTGCCCTCACTCTCGCTGGAGCTGCTCTCGGTCTCCGAGTCAGATCCGGAGCTGCTCTCTGAGTCGCTGGAGGAGCTGCTGCTGCCGCTGCTGCTGCTGCTGCTGCTGCCCTTGCTGGAAGGCACCGAGGTTCTGCAGTTGGGCTGCTGGACCACGGCGCTGCCAGCCCGCGAGGCCCCCGGGAAGCAGAGGGAAGGAAAGCCAAGTGAGCAAACAGGAAAACACCACCAAGCTGTCATGCACCCTAAAGAGGGAGGAGGCACGCAGCCTACACATCTGTCAACCATGACCTGGAACTCAAAGAGCAGGCATCGAGGTCAAAGTCATCCTAAAGGTTAAAGCAACTCATATACAGAAATAAAATTGGGGGTGAAGTTGGTGCCCCTTGGTAGTCGGGCACTGGTTATTCGTGTGGCCATTTTGGAAGGGAAGGTGGTATAACATCCAAATGGCTGTTTCCATTTTGCTGCTGTTCTGGGAATGGCTTTTCAAATGCATCCCCAAATCCAATCATCTACAAAAATGCAAGGAAATCCAAAAAGCTTGAACTATTTTGCAAAGCATGAAAATGACTGCTTTATTTTTGCCCTAGAGGAAAATGCAGCATGATGGCAGGGATTAGGCAGAGGGCTGTCAGGAAGGGCACGGCGTTCTGCTCTGAGCTTTCATGACCTGCTGGAAGGTTCCAGAGACGAAGGGACTGTCCAAGTTCATGTCTTGCTTCCTCCCTTTTCCCACCTGTAGTTGAGTGCTGTAGCGATTACAGGTGCTGGGATGTTGTTATAAACTGTAACCTTCCTTTGAGCCCTTTCCTAGAGAACTGAAGATCCCTCACTGACACACTTTCGTATATTCCGGACTTTAAAATTCAATCCCGGTGCTGTGACTTATAGGAACTGCATTTCACATTTATACTTGATGTTTATATCCATGCTGAAATTTGCCAGAAAGTCATTACATACTCAAAGATAACAAGAAAAATTGACTGATGCTTTCCGATAGTAATTAATTAACCATAAAAATTCAAATAGCATACATCCACCCAGAAAGTGTTTGAGCAGAAAAGAAAATTTCAGTACTCACATAATATTCAACATCTTCAAAGTCCTTTATTAACAAAATTGAAACACACCATACTGTGTTCTTTTGAGGTCAAGCTCTAAATACCAAAAATGCCGGTCACTCTTGTATGTTGAGTCAGCAAACTGCTTCCAACTGTGACCAGTGCTTCTATAGGACCGAGCATCAATGAAGGCCAGGGGCCAGGGAGCTTGTGGGGGTTTACGGTCTCAAGTGCAAAGCAGCCTGGACATGGTAAAGGACTTGTTTCACCCATCCCTTAAATCTTTGATACGTGCTTTGCCCAAAGAGGACTTTCATAAATCCTGGGTATGGGGGTGGGGATGGAGGTAATACTCATTGGAGCTTTGTTTCTATAAAAACCACCAGACAAGAAACTGTCTTGCAGGGGATCTAAAAATAAAAGCACCTCTTGGAACGGCAGGGTTAGGGGAACCAGAGTGTGAACATAACTTTCCCTAGTGGGGTTTTCATTTCTTCCACCAATGTCACGGTCCACACTGATTGTCTGACAAAATTCTTCAGCAGCAGACAACATCTGCACATTTATGCCTTGCCTGAGCTGCAGCGATTTCTTTTCCAGCCTGTTATTTGTGTCTAGAATTGAGTGAGGAATCCTGGATCTTAAGACAGAGTAGGGCAAGGCACAGTTAGAGCTCAGGGGCTGTAATATTTCTTTCCTTCCTTATGAACAAAAATCTGTCTTTCCTGTTGGCTGAATCGAGATGGTTACTGTCATTGGAATCATAAAAAAAGGACGATTGAATTCTGACTGAACATGAACATCTGGGATCCATGTTAATAGTCTGTAGAACCTGACAGAAACAAGCAATGGGGAAAGGATTCCCTATTTAATAAACGGTGCTGGGAGAACTGGCTAGCCATATGCAGAAGACTGAAACTGGACCCCTTCCTTACACCATATACAAAAATCGACTCAAGATAGATTATAGACTTAAATTTACAAACTAAAACTATAAAACCCTTGGAAGACAACCTAGGCAATACCATTCAGGACATATGAATGGGCAAAGATTTCACGACAAAGACGTCAAAAGCAATTGCAACAAAAGCAAAAATTGACAAGTGACATCTAATTAAGCTAAAGAGCTTCTGCACAGCAAAAGAAACTATCAACAGAGTAAACAGACAACCTAAAGAATAGGAGAAAATTTTTGCAAACTATGCATTTGACAAAGCTCTAATATCCAGTGTTTATAAGGAACTTAAACAAATTTACAAGAAAAAACAATCCCATTAAAAAGTGGGAAAAGGACATAAACAAACACTTCAAAAGAAGACATACATGTGGCCAAAAAGCATATAGAAAAAAGCTCAATATCACTGCTCATCAGAGAAATGCAAATCAAAACCACACTGAGATACCATCTCACACCAGTCAGACTGGCTATTACGTAAAAATCCAAAAATAATAGGTGTTGGCGAGGTTGTGGAGAAAAAGGAACCCTTATACACTGGTAGAAGTGTAAATTAGTTCAACCATTGTGGAAGACAGTGTGGCGATTCCTCAAAGACCTAAAGATAGAAATATCACTCAACCCAGCAATCCCATTACTGGGTATATACCCAAAGGAATATAGATCACTCTATCATAAAGACACATGCACGCGTATGTTCACTGCAACACTATTCACAACAGCAAAAACACAGAATTAACTCAAATGCCCATCGATGACAGACTGGATAAAGAAAATGTGGTACACATATACCATGAAATACAATGCAACCATTTAAAAAAAAAAGATTATGTCCTTTGCAGGGACATGAATGGAGCTGGAGGCCATTATCTTTACCAAACTAATGCAGGAAGAGAAAACCAAATGCCACGTGTTCTCACTTATAAGTGGGAGCTAAATGATGAGAACACATGGACACTGAGAAGGGAACCACACACACTGGGGCCTATTGGAGGGTGGAGGATGGGAGGAGGCAGAGGGTCAGGAAAAATAACTAATGGGTACAGGCTTAATATCTGAGTGATGAAATAATCTGTACAACAAACCCCCATGACACACGTTTACCTATGGAACAAACCTGCACATCCTGCACAGGTGCCCCTTAACTTAAAAAAATCGTTTTTTGGTAGATCCCAAAACACTCAAAACACTGGGGGGAAACACTCAAAAATAAAAAAGCAAAACAACACATGGCTCAAAAGCTTCCTTGTTAGAAGGATGGGGTTGGGGGACATAGATGTGGAGGAAAGATATGTGTTTCTCTGTCACCCTCTGGAGTGACATCTGCCAAAGATTAGCAAATGAAGATGAATAAAGAACATTCTGATTGGTGATCAAAGCCATTGGACATCATAGAAAACCAATCAGTATATTCTATCTGCTTTCACTCAACAAAAAACATGCGATGCTGGTTCTGTGTGCTCTGGGCTTTGCGTGTACAGCAGAGGCAGCAAGGTGTGTGGGATTCCTTGTGGCTTGCACCACAAAGTGACTGTCTTTTGAAAACTGGCACTTTAATTTCTGGGAAAGCGCCCATTCAACAGTTACCATGCTGCCTGCCTTTAATGGCTGCGGTCCTGAAGTGATGAGGCACACTAGCCCAAGGAGGCAGCATCTCCGATCTGAATTACATTGGCAGAAAAACCTTATACGTTAATGTTTTCCTTTCTTAAATTACGAAATTCACTTAAAATGACAGTTTTACTGGCCTAACTATTATTTGTTTTTAAAACAGCTGAGAGAGCCAAGAGTTTAGGTTTTTCTTCATACTTTACTTGTAAGGGTTGTGAAATTTATGATGTCTGGATTAAATATATTCATGTTTCAATGGTCCCGGTAGAGCATGCATAATATCCAGAAACAATCATAGCAAAGATGGGGGCAGACTTTCCTGGAAGGGCGCTGGTAGCTCCAGTTGTGGGATCAAGATCACTCTCCCCACTTCCACAAAGGCAACTCCTCTAACCCATCCTTGCATGGGGCCTTGGGGTCAGCTGACCATTCTGGCCTCAGTGTAGTGACTGCTCCCACCACGGGTGCTTGCAGCTGCTTTACCCATCGTGGGGCAGCTGCAGCAGTGAGGGTGGCAGAGCCAAGATGAAGAAGCCAGGAATGGCATTCCCTGCAGACGAGTGCTAGTGAAAGGATGGACTCGGCTAAGCCACAAACACACACATATACATACGTCTATAGAATTTGTTGTTGCCCAGGCTGGAGTGCAGTAGTGGTCATAGCTCACTGCAGCCTCGAACTCCTGGGCTCAAGCAATCATCCCTCCTCAGCCTCCCAAGTAGCTGGAACTACAGGCATGTACCACCATACCCGGCTAATTTTTGTATTTTTTTTTTTATAAAGACAGGATCTTTCTATGTTGTCTAGGCTAGTCTTGAACTCCTGGCTTCAAGCAATCCTTCCACCTCAGCCTCCCAAAGTGCTGGGATTACAGGTATGAGCCACTGCACCCAGCCTAGGCTTTATATATTTAAAATTGCAAACTGAAAATTTTGGTGTGCCAATTGGTTGTCATGTTTACATACCAAAGATGCTTTAAAAAAATTAACTTAAGCCTGGGCAGCATAGTGAAACCCTGTCTCTACCAAAAAAACAAATTAGCTGGGTGTGCTGGCATGTGCCTGTGGTCCCAGCTACTCAGGAGGATTACTTGAGCCTGGGAGGTCAAGGCTGCAGTAAACCATGATTGTGCCACTGCACCCCAGTCTGGGTGACAGCAAGGCCCTGTAAAAAAAATATATATATTATAGTGGATTTTTTCCTGAAATGATAACACGGATTGGTTGACATGATGACATAGGCTTGGACAATTTTTAGCATGCTACCTACCAAGTTCTTGGACCCAGTGCCATCTCATGAACACGGTGCCATTTGACAGCAGCCAGAAAACATTATTGAGATCATGGAATAAAAGTCTTTGTGTCACCAAAGCTCAGCACAGTGCCTGGCACATAATAAGCGTTCATGTGTGATTACTAAATGAAAAAGTAAAGAGAAAAAATCCAACACTGGGTTAATGAGTTTTTTTTTTAAAAAAGAGATTGAATCTTTCGAGAAGGTTATAATGTCACTTTTCCAATTAAAAAATATTTAAAAGTACTTCAGGACGGGCGCGGTGGCTCACGTCTGTAATCCCAGCACTTTGGGAAGCCGAGGCGGGAGGATCACGAAGTCAGATCAAGACCATCCTGGCTAACATGGTGAAACCCCGTCTCTACTAAAAATACAAAAAGTTAGCCAGACATGGTGGCAGGCACCTGTAGTCCCAGCTACTCAGGAGGCTGAGGCAGGAGAATGGTGTGAACCCGGGAGGCGGAGCTTGCAGTGAGCTGAGATTGCGCCACTGCACTCCAGCCTGGGCGACAGAGCAAGACTCCGTCTCACAAAAAAAAAAAAAAAAAAAAAAAAGAGTACTTCAGCAACCTTTAAGACAGACTTCTTCCCTTCTGAGAATATTTCTTTAAATGTACTCAAGTTTCATCTGCTATAATTTAAGCACAGTTCCCTCTTGGATGGTTTGTTTACTTTTTGCATTTTGACTTCATGAAATGTTTGGCTGGTTTTGTGAGTGGTCAGAGCCAAATACACCTTTGAGAGGGGTCCAGCTTTCTCTAAATGATCTGCTTGGTGTGTTTCTTCCTATGGCTGTGATGACACCTTCCTTTTGGAATCTGGCCTTGGCTAAGTCTGAATGCAGATCATAAAAGAAAAGATCTGGAGGCTGGGTGCAGTGGCTCACGCCTGTAATCCCAGCACTTTGGGAGGCTGAGGCAGGCAGATCACAAGGTCAAGAGTTTGAGACCAGCCCGGCCAACATAGTAAAACCCCGTCTCTACTAAAAATACAAAAAATTAGCTGGGTGTGGTGGTGGGCGCCTATAATCCCAGCAACTCGGGAGGCTGAGGCAGGAGAATTGCTTGAACCTGGGAGGCGGAGGTTACAGTGAGCCGAGATTGTGCCACTGCACTCCAGCCTGGGCGACAGTGTGAGACTCTGTCTCAAAAAAAAAAAAAAGACCTGGAACCAAAATGACAAAATCTTGGATCTCACAGTCAAGGGTGCTCCTGCCTGCCAAGTGTATTGTGGGGCCTGAATACATATCCAAAATTGTCCACACACTTTTAACTGACAAGTAACTTGGAGAGAGGCTCTCTGCCTGGTTGTTGCTGTGTGGACAGCTGTGGTGCCCACATCGCACCACACATGCTGTGGGCACTCCACTGGGATTGACTGAATAACAATGTTTGCTCCTCCTCTTCAACACTCTTTGAGAACACATGCTTGATATCCAAACCATAATCAGTGTCCTGGCAACAGTATTCCTTTATTAATAGCATCACTATTGATATTAATTCATCTAAAACCATACCACATGGTAAGTGAAAATGGTAAATGCGGGATTGAAGAGGTTTGCTATTGCTAAGAATTGTCGTCTAAAAAAAAACCCAACTGGCAGGACTGTTGCTTCTATCCTGAAATGTAATTGTTTGTTCTGCAACACTTCCAAGAATGATTTCTCTATACAACTTGGCTTTTGAAGCTCTTCAGGGTCTGGTCTCAATCAGATTTCCAGCTTCACCTCAATGGGTCTATCCCTAAACCTTGGCAATAATACATTTCTCAGCGTCTGGACAGGCTGGGTCTGTTTCCAGCAGGGTGCCCTTGCATATGATATTTTCTGTGCCAGAAAGTCCTTTCTCCCTTTTTCCTTTGAGTTACTGTTACCTCCTACTCCCTCTGCAGGACTGAGTGGCTATGTTTCCCTACTCTGTAAAGGTTTTCCCAGCTCCCCTAGGCATCAATGATGTTTCCTCCTCTGAGTCCCTCTAGCACACTGCCCACTTCTCTATTGCAGCCCTTACCACGTTAAGGATTGGAATCATCTAATTTATCCATGCAATGTATTTTTTTCTGTTCCCTTGGGAATATGCAGGAGTTCTTAAAACTGGTAACTTTAGAATGCTATCATTTACATACGTATCAGGTTGAAAATTGAGAACCCACGGGGGCCACGCAAGTAGCATCCATGAGTGAAGTGTTCAGGTATAAGCAAAACAAATGTGTAACATTATAAATGGCAGTAGACCCTCAGCTCCCCAGCCGAGGGGAAGGAACCAAACTGGAGAATCCCACTAGGTCGAATGCTGCTTCTCCAGGCTAGCCTATCTCTGTACCTGGAAACAAGAGCTCATTATTACCAAATCTTTTGATTTTTTTTCACATGAAGCCCCAAATCCTTATGTTTATATCAAATCTCCTGATTTTAAAATGCTGGTAACTAATTTGAAAAGTTTTAACAATGAAAAGTTTCATTGTATTTTAGCAATGAAACACATTTGGTAAAGAAAACACACGTGGGTAAGAAGAGGCCTGTGGGGCACCATTCTGAGACCTCTGATCTATGTCCCATTATTACATGTTTTGAGATGGCTCAATATAAAATAGAAAAATATAGAGACCACAACCAGAAGAAGTTTTACCCACTCAGGAATTTAGACTAGCAGGGCCAGGGACAAACAAGGGGTGAACCAAACACTCTCACTTCCTCAGCCCACCTTTTTTTTTCTTAAAGTGAAAGCAAGTTTATTAAGAAAGTAAAGGAATAAAAGAATGGCTACTCCATAGACAGAGCAGTTACCAAACACCATTTTGTATTTTTTTCTTTATTTTTTTAACCTTAGGATTTGTTTTTTTAATTTTTTATTTCCATAGGTTTTTGGGGGGGAGGGGAATAGGTGGCATTTGGTTACATGAGTAAGCTCTTTAGCATTGATTTATGAGATTTTGGTGCACCCATCACCCTAGCAGTATGTACTGAGCCCAATTTGTAGTCTTTGATCCCTCACTCCCCTCCCACCTTTCCCCCAAATCCCCAAAGTCCATTGTATCATTCTTATGCCTTTGCATCCTCACAGCTTAGCTCCCACTTAGGAGTGAGAACACACGACGCTTGATTTTCCATTCCTGAGTCACTTCACTTAGAATAATAGTCTCCAGACCCATCCAGGTTGCTGCAAATGCCATTAATTCATTCGTTTTCATGACTGAATAGTATTCCATGGTATATATATACACCACATTTTCTTTATCCACTTGTTGATTGATGGATCAGTCCACTTATTTAAAAAATTCTATTTTGAAATAAATACAGATTCACTGGAAGTTGCAAGAAAAATAGTACAGAGATCGTTCTTGTGCCCCTCACCCAGTTACTCCCAAGGTTAAATCTTATGTAACTACAGTACAATACCAAAACCAGAAAACTGACAATGGCACAATATACAGTTCCTTGTAATTTTATCACATGTATAGATTGTCAGGCCTCTGAGCCCAAGCCTGCATGTATACATCTAGATGGCCTGAGGCAATAAAAAACTGCAAAAGAAGTGAAACAGCCAGCTCCTGTCTTAACTGATTGACCAACCTTACAACATTCCATGATGACTTGTTCCTGCCCTGCCCCAACTGACCGATCGACCTCGTGACATTCTTCTTCTGGACAACGAGTTCCATCATCTCCCCACCATGCACCTTGTGACCCCTCCTCTGCTGAGAATAGATAACCACCTTTAACTGTAACTTTCCACTGCTTACCAGCCTTGTTGCTCACACAAAGCCTGTTGGTGGTCTCTTCACACGGACGCGCTTGACATAGATTCATGTAACCACCACCACGATTAAAATGTAGAACTGTCCCATCACCATAAAGATCTCCCTCATGACACCCTTTTAGGAGCATTCACGCCGACCTCTGCCCTCTACCATTCCTAATCTCTGGTGACCACTCATCTGTTTTCCGTCTCTAAAATGCTGTCATTTTGAGAATGTTATAGAAACAGAATCACATAGTTATGTGTTCTTTTTTAAACTAAATTATTGAGATACAATTTATTCATAGTAAGTGTCCTTTTGAGATGGGCCTTTTTTCAGTCGACACAATGTCATGAGAGCCATCCATGATTTTTAATATATCCATAGCTTGTTTCTTTTTATTGCCGGGTAGGATTCCATGGTACAGACCTTTAAAGGTTCCTCTGTTTTTTAACCATTCACCCAATGAGGGACATTCTGGCTGCTTCCAGTTTTGGACTGTTAAGAATAAGGCTGATATGAATATTTCTGTATAGGTTTTTATGTGGATGTAAACGTCCATTTCTCTGGGACACTGCTTCCGGGACTTTCAAATTTGTCTTTTGTCTTCAGAATTGGACTCTGATGAGTCTGGGTGGGGATTTCTTTGAGTTCACCTTGTTTGGGATTTGTTAGCTTCTTGAGTCTGTAGGTTTATGTCTTTTGTAA